>NC_000023.11:19107184-19410215 GCF_000001405.40 Homo sapiens
CTGGCCAGTCCCAAACCTGCTGAATCCGCATATGCATTTTAACAAGATCCCCAGGCAATCGTTTTGCATGTTGGCATTTGAAAGGCACTGCTGTGCATGACACTATCTGCTAATCGTTTTCCCTGCCTAAAAATTTGTCTCCCACCAAAATCAAATGGAATGTATTTGCTTCATTTCAGACAATATTTGCTCTATCCAGTTGGTCAAATGACCAGATTAGCTGAGAGGAGACAGAGAAAAATACTACTGTCAACCAATACACCACAAAATAAAGCATAATTTAGTTTTTTAACCCTCCTTCTTTCTTCCTTTCTTTGTCCTTTTTACTTTTCCTTGGCAAGACTAGGAATCAGTGCTGAATAAGCCTGTACCATTCTAAAGCTATTCGGGTGGTAAACCTTTACCTCTATATCTGCAAAACACATTCAGCAGTTCCAGGAGTTTTGTTTTTTGTTTTTTTTTTTTTTTTCATTTCAAAAGAAATACAGCTGGGGGTGGGGATGGTGGGGGCAGGCAGGAAAAGAAAAAGCAAGCTAAAATTCTTAAGATATTTTAAAATGATGATATGATATAGGTAGTTGGTAAAGGAAAAAATCAGCATAGAAACCAATTATTAGAAAAAAATTAAAGTATAGGCTGGGCGCGGTGGCTCACGTCTGTAATCCCAGCACTTTGGGAGGCTGAGGCGGGCGGATCACAAAGTCAGGAGATCGAGACCATCCTGGCTAACACGGTGAAACCCAGTCTCTACTAAAAATACAAAAAATTAGCCAGGTGTGGTGGCACGCACCTGTAGTCCCAGCTACTCAGGAGGCTGAGGTAGGAGAATCGCTCCGGGAGGTGACACAAGGTTGCAGTGAGCCGAGATCGCGCCACTGCACTCCAGCACTCCAGCCTGGGTGACAGTGAGACTCCGTCTCAAAAAAAAAAAAAAAAAGAAAAAAGAAAATTAAAGTGTAAAAACAACTAATGCTAGAACTTAATAAAAAAAGTTACAGAAAGCCAGGTGCGGTGGCTCATGCCTGTAATCCCAGCAGTTTAGGAAGCTGAGGCGGGCAGGTTGCTTGAGGAGTTCAAGAAAAAAAAAAAGTTACAGAAAGAAAGTCTCATCATTGTCTATGGATACAGATGTGTGAGTTATGTCCAAAGGTGGCTACTAATCCTAATTGCATTCAGAGGAGAAAATAATTGACAGTAACCATAAAAACTATTAATAATCTATTTAAAGCATTCTTTTAGGTATTTACCTGGTAGTAATGCACATATATGTTCACTACAAGATAGGCAAGAGAATCACCCACAGCACCACTCATAAAAGCCAAAACTGCTGGAAACCAAACAAAGGCCATCAGCAGTAGAAAGGATAAACCATGGTAATCATGCAACGGAATATTATTCGGCAGTGACAATCACCCAACTATAACCACATGCAACGATATGGAGGAAATTCACAAACAATACTGAGCAGAAGTCAGGTAGCCTGTCTGGTACCACATATAGGAAATTTAAGAACAGGCACAATATGTGGCATTTGAGGGAGAACAGTAGTCACCCTTGGGGGGCAGTGAGTGAAAGGAGGCAAGAGGAGGGCTTCTAAAGGCTGCTTGTGTGGGATTCTTGATCTGGGGGCTGGTGACAGGGATATGCACAGTTTGTGAAAATTCATTGAGCTGTACATTTGTAATGTGTATAATTTGTACTTCAATAAAAGTTTAATTTAAAAAATATATGTAGACACATTGGATCCACTTTTATGGATAAGTCAAAGAGAGTAACACTCAGGCTGAGGCAGAAGGATCACTTGAGCCCAGGAGTTCAAGACCAGCCTGGGCAATATAGGGAGACCCCATCTCAAAAAAGAAGAAGAAGAAGAAAGAAGAAGGAAGAAGAAGAACGCTCTAAATATGTCCATGAAATACTACTTGACACACTTGCCTGCTTTCATAAGGATGGCTGCTTGAAATGATGAATCGTGATGAACAGGTGATCAATATCACAAGCTGAGTAATGGCGCCCAGCTCTTGACTCATGTATGAACTGTGAATACAATAAGCATTTGGCCCAGTTTAAAAAAAAATCCTACTGGGTCAAGGGTGATGGTTTCTCCAAATACCCCAAAAACATGTGGTATATTTCTGTCAAAAAGCGAATCATCTGCTGACAAAATCATTAGTCGTGTTCATTGGTACAGATTTTTTCCTGGAAGCTTTAAAATCCACTACAAGAGCTTTCCCAAAAATCACACCAATCTTCAAATAATACCTCAAAGGGAAACCACTTCAGTATACATCTTCCCAATCTTCCTCACTCTCTCCCCACATATTCAAGTCATGAATTTTAGACCAGTACAAAGTACTAAACATTTTTTGGTGCCCTTTTCTCAGATTTCAATAACACACACGGCTTATCACTTGTGTTATACCAGAGCTAACGTTGAAATGGGCACAGGAAATGATACTATTAACAAAGGCAGAGAAGAATGCCACTTCCTTTGCTATCCCCTTCTTCCCACCTAAAAATCCACGTGATCCTCCCAAATGAAGTGTTTCAAAAATTTACACGACAGAATCCCAAGATAAAACATGTCGATTTTGTGGAATCTGAGAACCAGTCTTGTAGTTAGGAGGGCCAGGAAAGTCCCACACTGAAAAATGTGACACTAATGATCCCTGGAATTCTATCACTGTTTTTTTCTTGGTAAAATGTAATTCCCCTTTGTCTAGAAACCCTAATAATCAGGATCCTAACACAGAAATATGAATCTCTTTATCAGATGATTGTCTTCACTGGAAACTTCTAGACTAGCCCCAGACACAAGAATGTACTCTTGGGGAAAGACAACAAGAGGACATTTAGTGAGTATCTTCCATGTGCTGAGAATCATGCATGAAGGATTAAATGTATCATTTATTCATCAAATATTTATTAAACACCAAAATTGAATACTACATGCCAAATACTATTCTAGGCACTGGGGGTAAAGATGTGGACCCTGCTCACATTCTAGTGTGAGGAGGGTGGAAGGAGGAGAAGAGAACAATAAATGTACAAATCAACAAGGAAATTAACAGATAATAAATACAGCATTGAGAATTAGAGTAAGGTGAGATGATATAGAAGGTAACCTGGTGGCTATTTTGGATCAGGTCATCAAAGAGGAGATATTTAAACTGAGATCTGAATGATGAGGAACCAGCAATAAGAAGATAAAGGAGGGACCAGGCGCGGTGGCTCATGCCTGTAATCCCAGCACTTTGGGAGGCTGAGGCGGGTGGATCCCTTGAGGCCAGGAGTTTGAGACCAGCCTGGCCAACATGGCAAAACCCCATCTTCTCTACTAAAAATACAAAAATTAGCCGGGTGTGGTTGCATGCACCTATAATCCCAGCTACTCAGGAGGCTGAGGCACAAGAATCACTTGAACCCGGGAGACAGGGGTCGCAGTGAGCCAAGATTGCGCCACTGCACTCCAACCTAGGTGACAGGGAGAGACTCTATCTCAAAAAAAAACAAAAAACAAACAAAAAAAAAAAACAAAAAAACAGAAGATAAAGTAGAGGACAGAAAGAACATTCCAGGCAGAACAGTTAGTATAAAAGACTAAAATGAGGTTAATGTGCTGGAAGAATCAATAAAGAAGCACAGTCAGCAAGAGAGATAGAAGAGGGGCAGGGACTAGAACATGGCAGACTTCCATAGTCCAGTAGGGAATGACACAATCCAACTAATGCTTTTAAGAAGATACTCTAGCTGCCATGTGGATATTGGATTCTAGGAGGCCACTACAATCATCCAAGAAAGAGACGGAGAAGGATGGAAGTATAGTGGAATAGTAGGAGTAGAGAGAAGTGGGAAGACTTGGGATACGGTTTAGAAGCCAAATTGACAAGATTTGTTGATGGGTTGGATGTGGGGCATGAAACTAGTAGGTGTGGAGCCTGAACGATGGAGTGAATGGTGATGTCATGGACTGAGATGGATTTCACAGGGAGAGAATCAGGTTTTGCATGAGGGTGACAGGGAATCAGGATTTTGCTTTGGAAAATATTGAGTTTGAGATGCCTCTTAGAGATTCATGCAAATTATTAAGTCTTAAGTGTAGGAAAGGTCACAACTGGAGATACTGGCATCTAGATGGAATGGAAAGCCATAGGAATGAATGGGCTCATCCCAGGAGAGTAGGTAGAAAGAGAAGAACAGTTCCCAGTGCCTTGGAGGGACATCAACCTTCATAGGTAGAAGAGAGGATGAGGAGACTTAGAATGAGCTACCAGAAAGATAGGAAAACCAAGAGAGCGTAGGATACTGGAGGCCACAACAAGAAAGTGGTCAAAGAAGGAGGGAATGACTGTCAAATGCTGCCGCCAAGTAAAACATGGTAAGTAAAGAAGTGATGGCTGTATTTGCCAATGTGGATATACTGAGGACTGACAATGTGGTGTGATAAAATATGAGCATCCTTTTAAGAAGATCTTCTGAGAAGGAGTGACTAGAAATGGGGGTGGGGAATGAGTGGAGGAGAATATGGAATTGATGAAGATATTAGACATTAGAGCAGGATTGTAAGCTGATGGGAATGATCTAGAACAGGGAGAGAGGAGTTCATTAGGCAGAAAAGAGAGAAGGAAACAATGCATAATTAAGTCCTTTACAATTTGTGCACTAAAATAATTAAGTATAGTAATGAATTGCAGACCTATTTTGAAAATATGAATTATTTGATACCAAAAATAAATAGATGAATCAATCAATAAATAGGGGAGAAGGAAGGGCTCTGGACCAAATGTGGAGGGAATACTAGAGTCGAAAATTATTATTTTCAACCATATTAAAGAATAGATCATACAAAAATCATCACTGGATGCTAAATCTAAAGGGAATTATTATTATTATTATTATTATTTTCAGACAGGGTCTTGCTCTGTCACCCAGGCTGGAGTGCAGTGGTCCGATAATGGTTCATTGCAACCTCGATCTCCTGGGTTCAAGTGATCCTAATACCTCAGCCTCCCAAGTAGCTGGGGCCACTGGCACATACCACCATGCCTGGCTAATTTTTTAATTTTCTTTGTAGAGACGGGGTCTTACTATGTTGCCCAGGCTGGTCTGGAACTCCTGGGCTCAACTGATCCTCCAAGTAAGCCTCCCAAAGTACTGGGATTACAGGCGTGAGCCACCACACCTGGCCCTAGAGGGAAATTTTGAGCAGGATATTTGTGTCTTCCCACAGACTGTGGATTTGGAAAGAAAAACCAATAACTACACAGTGGAGAAATTAGACAATGCCCTGGCCAAGTGATCAAAATTAACATCACCAATGAGGAAGAGATGGACATTATGAGCCTCCAAAATAAGATACCCTGAGAAGGATATAATGTCATCCACGCAGTGTTCAGGCTAAAAATGCATAACCTGAGTCCAATCACAAGAGACATCAGACAAACCAGACATGATTAATGTTCTATTAAAAAAAAAAAAAAAAGGCCGGGTAAGGTGGCTCACACCTGTCTGTAATCCCAGCACTCAGCACTTTGGGAGGCCAAGGCAGGTGGATCACGAGGTCAAGAGATCGAGACCATCCTGGCCAACATGGTAAAACCCCGTCTCTACTAAAAATACAAAAATTAGCTGGGTGTGGTGGCTTGTGCCTGTAATCCCAGCTACTCGGGTGGTTGAGGCAGAAGAATTGCTTGAACCCGGGAGATGGAGGTTGCAGTGAGCCGAGATCGCGCCACTGCACTCCAGCCTGGCGACAGGGTGAGACTCTGTCTCAAACACAAAACAACAACAACAAAAAAAAAACCAAAAAAAAAAAAAAAATCAACGTTACAAAGGACAAAGAAAGGCAATAGAAGTGTTCCAGACTAAAAGAGACTAAGAGACATGACAACTAGATGCAACAACTCTAAACCTGCCGGTGCGGTGGCTCACGCCTGTAATCTCAGCACTTTGAGAGGCTGAGGCGGGCAGATCACCTGAGGTCAGGAGTTTGAGACCAGCCTGGCCAACATGGCAAAACCCCATGTCTACTAAAAATACAAAAATTAGCTGGGAGTGGTGGTACGTGCCTGTAGTCCCAGCTACTCGGGAAGCTGAGGCAGGAGAATCACTTGAACCTGGGAGGCAGAGGTTGCAGTGAGCCGAGATTGTGCCACCGCACTCCAGCCTATCTCAATCAATCAATCAATCAATGCAACAACCCTAAACTGGATCCTGTACTAGAAGGAAAAAAATGCTGTAAAGGATGTTATCAGGTCTATTGTCAAAATTGGAATACAAACGGCAGATTAGATAACAGTATCTTATCAAAACATTTACTGAGATTGATAACAGCGCTGTGATTATTTGAGAGAATATTCTTATACTTAGGAAATCCCTACTGAAGGATTTAGGAGTTAAAGTTCTTGCTGCATGAAATTTATCTTCAAATGGTTCAGGAAAATCCTAGGTACACGAGCAAGAGTGTAAATGATAAAGCAAACAGGATAAAATGCTAACAACAGAGGAATCTGGATTAAGGGCATGGGGTGTTCTTTGTACTTTTTAAAAAAAATGTTCAGCTCATTTGTAAAGTTTAAAATTATTTCCAAATAAAACGTTAAGGCCGGGTGCGGTGGCTCACGCCTGTAATCCCAGCACTTTGGGAGACTGAGGCAGGCGGATCACCGGAGGCCAGGAATTCGAGACCAACCTGGCCAGCATGGCGCAACCCCATCTCTACTGAAAATACAAAGAAAAATAGCCAGGCGTGGTGATGGGCACCTGTGGTCCCAGCTACTCAGGAGGCTGAGGCAGGAGAATCACCTGAACCCGGGAGGCAGAGGTTGCAGTGAGCCGAGATTGCACCACTGCACTCCAGCCTGGGCGACGGGGCAAGAATCTGTCTCAAAAAAAAAAAAAAAAAAGTAAAAAAAAAAAAAGTCCCTGAGAAGACAAAGAGGATGAGGGACCCAGAGCCCAGAAAAGCAGCCAGTTTTTGATCCATTAGGGGCATTTCAGTCACAGCTTCACAGTGGCACTGGGGAACACTTTATTTGCACAAATATGGGCCTGTTGGGGGTCCAGGTAGTGGGTTATGAGGAGGCTCCTGTTGAATGAGCCAGAATCAGCAACTGATCTAGGAGGGGCAGAGGAAATAAAAGGTGTCAAACAACTGTTTTGGAGAATGGAAAAACAAACCCACTAGGCAAGCATGGTAGGACTGCAGGCCATGTTGAAGGTCCATTTGAGGTTTATTAAGGTCAGGAACAAGACCTGGACATCGGTATTGATTTATCAAGCTCCCCCAGTGATTCCAGTGGGCAGCGGGCTTTCAGAACCACTGTGCCACGGCAGGGTTTCTCAACCTTGGCACTATTAATGCTTGGGCCGGATCACTGTTTGTTGGGGTGAGGGTGCTGTGCTGTGCACTGTAGGATGTTTACCAGCATCCTCGACCTCTCCCCACTAGGCGCCAGTAGCACCTCCAAACCCTGCCAGTCATGACAACTAAAAATGTCTCTTGACATTGTCAAATGTCCCCTGGGAGGCAAAAATCACCTCCAGTTGAGAACCACTATGCTAAGCCATAAACGTGACAGGCTTACAAAGGTCAGGAATTGTGCGCACTCCTTGCTCTAGCTAGGAGCTTGTGATGAAGAACACAGGCTCTGAAATCAGATGGTCTGTATTCAAACCCCGGACCTACTGCTTACCTTCTGTATGACCTTAGACAAGTAACTTAACTTCTCTGTACCTCAGTTTCCTCATCTGTAAAATGATGAGAATTGTACCTGCTTCAAGAGGTTGGGAGGATTAAATGAGTTAATAGATGTAAAGCAATAAGGGTAGTAACTGCTCAGTAAATATTAGCTATCATTATTATTACGAGAGTGTCAGAAATATAGTGGATACCAGGTGAGTGTGTATTGGTTAATGAACTGCTTACATTAAAATACTCCACGCTTAACCTAAAGAAATTTCCACACTAACATTGGAACAGAAAGGCAGGGCACATTATACTTCTCTTAGGACAAGTGTCAGATTTTATCTATATTCTAGGCTCATTCATTCGGTCATTTGACACGTGGATAAAGCACCTACTACGTCCCACTGTTCTAAGTCCTGACAACACAATGATGAGCAAACTACACAAAGTCCCTGCCTTCCTGGAACTTATATTCCAGGAAGGAAAAGAAGACGCAGCATCAGTAAACAAATAACTAAATAACATAATTGCAGGTAACAGTGATATAAAGAAAACAAAAGTGGGATAAGGGAATGGACCCTTCCTGTGGTAAGTGGGGAGTACGGTTTTAGAATGAGGGTTAGAGAAGACTCAGATGAAACAAAGAAACTATCTGGTGAAATGGTGTTCTGGGCAGGTAGCACAGCAAACGCTTGGCTTGGGTGAGGAACATAAGCACGGAGGAGGCTGTGTTTGGAGAAGTTGAGAATAGGGAGTAAAGGAGGTACCAGTGAGGCCCTAGGGATTGATTGTAAGTGTGGTAGGAGGCGGCGCGGTGGCTCCCGCCTATAATCCCAGCACTTTGGGAGGCCGAGGCAGGAGGATCACTTGAGGCTAGGAGTTCAACAGACTGGCCAACACGGTGAAACCCTATCCCTACTAAAAATACAAAAATTAGCTGGGTGTGGTTGCATGAGCCCAGGAGTTTGCGGCTGCAGTGAGCTATGATCACACCACTGCACTCCAGCCTGGGCTACAGACTGAGACCCCATCTCGTCTAAGAAAAAAAAAAGTGCAGGCCGGGTGCAGTGGCTCATGCTTGTAGTCTCAGCACTTTGGGAGACTGAGGCAGGAAGCCTGCTTGAATCCAGGAGTTCGAGACCAGCCTGGGCAACACAGGGAGACCCCGTCACTACAAAAACTTTTTAAAAATTAGCCAGGCATGGTGGGGCAAGCCTGTAGTGCCTCCAGCTGCTCAGGAGGTTGAGGTGGGAGGATCGCTTAAGCACCGAAGGTTGAGGCTGCAGTGAGCCATGATCATGACACTGCACTCCAGTCTGGGCAAAAGAACGAGATCCTGTCTCAAGAGAAAAAAAAAGTCCGGGCGCAGTGGCTCATGCCTGTAATCCCAGCACTATAGGAGGCCGAGGTGGGTGGATCAACTGAGGTCAAGAGCTCGAGAAAAGCCTGATCAATATGGTAAAACCCCGACTCTACTAAAAATATAAAAATTAGCCAGGCATGGAGGTGTGAAACTGTAGTCCCAGCTACTAGGGAGGCTGAGGCAGGAGAATTTCTTGAACCCATGAGACAGAGGTTACAGTGAGCCAAGATCGCGCCACTGCAGTCCAGCCTCAGCAACAGAGATTCCGTCTCAAAAAAAAAAAAAAAAAAAAAAAAAGTGTGGGAAGAGGTCATTAGAGGAGTTTGAGTCATGGACTTATAAGACTGCATGTATTGGCTATTCTGTGGGGTCAAAAGTAGACACTGAAAGACTGGTTTAGAGGCTACACAGTAATTCAAGAGAGAAATAGGTAGTTACACTGATCTCAGAGCATAATAAATGAACTTACTTTGCATCATAGCAGGATCTGATATAAAATGAATCGGTTCTGGACATAATCCAGCAGTTTGGGGACTTAGAAACTAAATGAGCAGTTTTACAAAACAATGTTTTTCAAACTGTGGGTCAAAAAATCAAATGAAAGGGTAGTCAAATCAATTTGGAAAATCATGATCATCAGTTTAAAATGAAATAGAACAGATGAAAGATAATTGAAAATATCAATACATTGCACACAGGAGAAAGACAAAGACTTTGTGAGAGTTTGTTTCCATTATATACAAGTATGTTTGGACTGAGCTGAAATATAAAATGTGGCCAGGCGTGATGGCTCACGCCCGTAATCCCAACACTTTGGGAGACCGAGGCGGGTGGATCATGAGGTCAGGAGTTCAAGACCAACCTGGCCAAGATGGTGAAACCTCGTCTCTACTAAAAATACAAAAAAAAAATTAGTCGGGTGTGGTGGCGGGCACCTGCAATCTCAGCTACTCGGGAGGCTGAGGCAGAGAACTGCTTGAACCTGGGAGGCAGAGGCTGCAGTGAGCTGAGATTGCGCCACTGCACTCCAGCCTGGGCAACAGAGTGAGACTCTGTCTCAAAAAAAAAAATTAAAAAATTAAAAAAAAGAAAGAAAAAAAGAAATATAAAATGTACTTATTGTGAATGGTGGGCAAAAAAAGTTTGAACACTAGAAAAAGCTACCTTGTTTATACATGAGTAGGTTATAAACTGTCTCTTGATTCTCTTTCTTCCTCAGTACACCCAGCATTCCCCCAAATAAGAACATTATTAAAAAAACCTCCAAAGGTAGGTTCTTCATCATCTAAATAAAATGAATTACCAGGCGCAGTGGCTCATGCCTGTAATCTCAGCACTTTGGGAGGCCGAGCCGGGTAGATCACTTGAGGTCAGGAGTTCGAGACCAGCCTGGCCAATATGGCAAAACCCCGTCTCTACTAAAAATACAAAAATTAGCCAGGTGTGGTGGTGCGCCGCCATAGTCCCAGCTACTCAGGAGGCTGAGGCAGGAGAATCACCTGAACCCAGGAGGCGGAGGTTGCAGTGAGCCGAGATTACTACCACTGCTCTCCAGCCTAGTTGACAGAGCAGGACTCTATCTAAATAAAATAAAATAAAATGAATTGACTTAATGCTACACTAACTTCTCCTCCAGTGAGATCAAAATATGAACTTCCAAAGTCAAGAAGCAAACTAACTGATCCTAAACCTCTTAGGCTTTCAATGGGAAAAAAAAAAAAAGAATTCCAAGCAGAACAAGAAATTTTAAAATTAAACTTTTAGACTTTTAGCAAGCTAACAATGGAAAAGAAACATCCTGAGGATAATTAAGGTAGCCACCAGAACCCTATGGCAAGCACAATAGTTAATGGTAAAATAGTAGCAACTACTACTCAACATTATCCTACAGGGAAGCCTAGCCACTAAAGCAAGAAAATAAAATGAGGTAAAAATATTGGAGGGAAAATTCCCTATATTATTGCCATTTGCAGACAATTTGACTGTCTACTTTGAAAATCCAAGAAAATCAACTGAAAAACTATTAGAACTAAGAAAAGTTCAGTAAAATGGCTTGAATGTAAGATAAATGTACAGAAAAACAATTAAATAGCCTTCCTACTCACTACCATAGAAAATGAAGTGGGAAAAAAGGATACAATTTCTTTTTGTTTTTGTTTTTCTTTTTTGAGACAGAGTTTCACTCTTATTGCCTAGGCTGGAGTGCAGTGGCCCAATCATAGCTCACTGCAGCCTCAAAATCCCCGGCTGAAGAGATCCGTCTGCCTCAGCCTCCTGAGTAGCAAGGACTACAGGTGCATGCTACCATGCCCAGATAATTTTTTAATTTTTTTTGTAGGGACGGGAATGTTGCTATGTTGCCCAGGCTGTTCTTGAACCCCTGGCCTCAAGCGATCCTCCCACCTTAGCCTCCTGAGTAGCTGGGAATCCAGGCACGAGCCACTGTGCCCGGTTATCAGTTTTTGATAAAGCTCACATACAACATAGCCATCTTCTACGTGTTTACCTGAGTGAAATAAAAGTTTACATTCATCCAAAAAGCCATATGTGAATATTTATATTGGCTTTATTCATAATCATCAATAGTTGGTGAGTGGATAAACAAACTTTGGGATACTGCTCAGCAACAGTAAGGAATGAAGTATTGATCCGTGCAACATAGATAAACCTCAAATGCATTATGCTAGGTGAAAGAAGCCAGGCTCAGAAGCCTACAGAATACATAAGTTCTTTTACAGGACATTCTGAAAAGAACAAAATTATAGGGACAGCAAACAAATCAGTGGTTGCCAGGGGCTGAGAGTTGGGGGAGGCTGACTACAAAGAGTCAACAGGGAATTCCTTGGAGTGGTAGAATTCTTCTACATCCTGATACGGTGGTGGTTACATGACTATATACATTTGTCAAAACTTCTAGAACTGTACACTGAAAAGAGTGAATTTTACTGTAATAAGTTACACTTCAATTTGAAAAACATGGAGTAGACTGAAGAATCCATTAAATCGATTTGTAAAATGGGACAGTGTTTACCACAATTTATTTGATTGCGGGAATTTATTTTATGATAGCTTTCCCCAAATGTTAGCCCGTTTAAGTTCCATCACCCACCACCTCACACCACAATCCCAAAATAAATTCCATGCGGATTAAATACCTACACATTTTTGAAACCATAAACATTTTAAAAGAACTTTTTTCTTCCTATCTTGTGGTCAGGAAAACCTTTCTCAGTGAAGCATAAAAACTAGCTCCCAGGTTTTAACTAAAGTCAGAATCCCTCCTTTCTATCTTTTGAATCATGGACATCACAGAAACACCTCCCTCTCCCTCCTTTTGTTAATTTAATAGCACTCTTCCCAGTTTGGATCGTGTATTTGAAAGCGACTTGGCACGCTCAGGCAGAAAAGTGGAAAAATGTGTTTTTCAGTTTCATCTGAGCCGTCAAAGCACCAAGAACATATGTCGTGATGTCCTGCTCTGAGTCCCCACAATGATCACATCAGCCATGGAAAATCAGCTTCTTTGCTGGCTCTTCCTTGCACCTGAGCAAACTCACTTTGCCATTTCTGGAAGGCTGTTCATGGTACCAAAAACACAGCAGCTTTCCTTTCCCTGCCAAACCCGCCAATGAAATGCCACTTATCTGACTTTTTCTCCCTCTGCTGAACAAAATCATATCCATAGTTAGAGTACAATCTTTTTCTTTTCTGTATTTCCAACATTTCTTTTTTCTAGAAAAATACACACACCTGGAATCTGTGTTTTTTGGGCAAGATTTCTTCACAGACAAAATACTGATGCTGGCCCTGCCTTTCTTCAGTGTTTTTCAGTAGCTAAATATGCTCTATCCCCCTTTTAATGAAAGTCACCTTGCAGAGATGTGGGAGTGATAAAAGCAGAAGGGAATCCGATCCGGGCTGGCATCACGCTGAGGCCCTGTAAAAGAATACTCCTGAAAAGCTACAAAATTTGGCCACTTTTTGTTTTCCAGCTTTGCATTTGAGCTGTGAAAGCTGCCAAACCAAGCAATGTCCAGCTCATCTTAGATCTTAACTAAGCAAAATTTTATGAGATGCTAAATAGAGACTCCCCAATCCTTTGAAAATAACACACAACTTGTCAATAAACTTACAAAATTATTTCAATATCAAACTTAATTGTATTGTCTATCAATAATTAAGCTCCTAATAAACTGTTAACTGTTGATATTAATAAAGTAATAAATTTTGTCACACCATGCATGCCTGGGTATGCTCTTAGACTTATCTCTTCAGATAGCCAAAGAGGAGTTGAGAAAGATTGGAGATAACTGCAACATCTAGCTAGTCTTCCCTTAATAAACCTCTACTCTCCATCACCCACCATCTCAAACCCTGATCAAAAAATGGGTTCTCTTTCCACGTATGGTGACTATTAGGATCAGCTACATAATTTGTGGGACCCAGTGCAAAATGAAAAGGAGAGGCCCCTTGTTCAAAAATTAAGAATTTCAGCATTAAACCAAGTGCAGGATGCATGTCCATGAAGCCAGCCCTGCTATCAGATCATGTATTTGGCTAGAAAGTTGGTAAGAAAAGTAAAATATTTCGCTATTAAATGAGTAGTGAAGGAAATCAAATCATTTTACCCCAAAATATATTTCTTTGACATATTTTGAAATAGTTGACATATTTCTAAATATTGACGTATTTAGAAAGCCAGCCAGTAGAGCTAATGCAAAGCTGTCCTTGGTGCGGAAGATTTGCATTTGTAGAGAATCTGCACGGATGTAGCCAGGCTTTATCGAGGTCCTCCCTTGTCCAGATCTAAGAGAAATTAACTGAGGATCTGACCCCTTTAAAGGTCTGAAAGAAACATTTACTGTTTATTCTCTCTGAGGGCTGCCACCTGTGAGGTTTCATTGACATCTCCAGACCATTTTTGCTGGCCAAGCCTCCTCTTCTCCCCCTCTCACAACCTCTTTTACCACCATAACCTGTTTGGGGCCATGCGTTGAGACCCCTTTCTTTCTGTAACCTCAAGATAATCTACATGCTTCTGTACCCCATTGGGGGGCTGGGGGTAATCACTCTATTGTTCTCTCCCCGTGGACACATTAATACATTTGCATGCCTTTTCTCCAATCAATCTGTCTTTGTCAGTTAATTTTTCAAGCGAACCTTCAGGGGGCGAAGGGAAAGTTTCCCTTGGCCTTTATAGTAGCAAGTGTTTTTGCGTGCGTTTGGGGGTAGAGGTGGCAAAGAGGTATTAAAGCTATACATACTGTAAAGTCTTAGGACCTCGTCTCCCAATCTCCCACTTTTCCTAAGGTTTTCAGCCTGCTGGACAAAAAGTACTTCCGTAGGGCCTGCCGGATAAAGTGTGGTCCATGGAACAGCATCAGCAGCCACTGGGAGCTTCTTAGAAATGCAGACGCTCGGCCCCCACCCCAGACCTGCGGGATCAGAATCTCATTTTAACGGGATCCCTGGGGGATTATCGTGCACAGTACAGACTGTCACTGTCGAAGCAGCCACGGAAAACCTGTCCCCTGCTTCGTCTGGCTCTCGGGAGGTCAGCTCTCTTCTTCCCCCTCACTTTTTATCGGGTTTCGGAGCCTCGAAACTCGAGTCCCTGCCGAAATGCGCTCACTCCGAGACCACGAGCCCCCTCCTTCCCCGGCGTGCTCACCCCCTGGCTCCGGGCCGCCGCTCCGTCCCTCGGTGCCCGGGGCCACCTGTTCGGGGCCGCGCCGAGTGGTGCCGCCCCAAGCCGTCCGGGGCCCGGGCGCGTTCGCGCTCCGCCAGCACCGCCGCAGCCCGACCAGGCGCGCGGAGCCGGGCTCCCGGGAGTTGGCGTCTAGCACACCACCCGCGCGAGTCAGGCTCGTGGCTCAGTTTCCCGCGGGTTGGGGAAAGTACGGCTCCGTCCGAAGGTTTTGGAGACGCGCGTCTCCCCTTGGAGCCTCCTTTCCCACGGCGCGCGGGCTCCCCCAGTCGGGGAACTAGCCCCGGGGCTGGGAGCTACGCCTCCGCCTTTCAGGATGTTCCCGGGCCCCGGCTAGGAACAGCAGCCGGGCGGAAGGCGCGTTCGTCCCGCCGGCCCGCTGGCCCGCCGCCCTCCGGGGCTAGACGCTGCGCCCGAGCCTCCAGCGCCCGTGGCCGGCTGTGCGAGTCTGGGTCTCAGGACCCCAAGGGGCCAGACCCGTCCTGGCGCCGAGCGCTTACCTGCCGCTCGCGTCCTCGGGGCTGGCTGCTGGCGCCGTCCGGCCCGCCTTTTCCCCTCTCCGGGGCTGCGGCCCTCCTCCCCCCGCCCGCGGCCTCGGCGCCGCCCCCGCCGCTCCCGGCCCGCTCCGCCGCCAGCTCTCCAGCTGCCCAGCGCGGCGTGGCGCGTCGGGCGCTCGGCGGCGGCGAGGCTGGGCGCGGAGGTGGGGAGCGGGCGGGGCGCGGAGGGAGGAGGGGGAGCGGGCAGCGCGGCCGGCCGAAGCCGGGCTGGGAGCTCGGGGCAGGGGCAGGGGCCGGGGAGAAGCGGGGGCGGCGAGCTCGGCCGCCCACCCCACCGCAGCCGGGGGCCCCGCAGCGCTCCTGGGCTCCAGGCACTGCGGGACCCTCAGATGCCCGGCGTCCAGCCCAGCGAGCTCCTCCTTGGGGACCCCAACGGACCCCAACCTCCAGACTCAGCGGCTCACCTTTAGGGCTCGCCCCGGTACCCATATGCCCGTTTCAGTGTCGCACGCTGTAATGGGTGGGAGCCCCGAGGGCGCACTTCTACCAAGATATTCCTGAATCCGGAGATCAGATGTCAGACCACTTGAGAGGGGAATTTGGAGAGAGCAGTAAACGAGAAATGTCCCAGTAAAGGATTCAGTTCGATGGTTTTCCTGGTGAAGGACTGGAAATACACCGGGTTCCCAGAAACCGGGATCTCGGGCGCTCTGCCTGCTGGGGGTCGAGGTGGAGGGGGTATATAAAGTGAGTTGTCCCTGGTCCCCTCTACCTTTCTGTCTCAGCATCTCTCCTCCTGCATGGTCATAGAATAAAAACTAGATCTGGATAGGACTTACAGATCCCCTAAGCAATTTGTCAAAGTACCCTATTTTACAGATGGGAAAATGGAGGCTCAGTTCTACAATACGAATTAGTTGTAGAGACCAGGGAAAAAATAAGCGCTCTGAATTCCCTTTCCGGCTCATTTTACTGCCCCCCTCCCCCGCCGCCTTTATAGTCGAATAACACCTGTGTTTGCAAAATGCTTTGTCGTTTTAAAGGCATCGTTCTCTTTCGTTAAACCTGCGGGAGAATATACCATTTTTCCTTTACAACTAGAACAAAATTCTGGATTCTGAATTGCATTCACAGCCCTGGAGACGCGATGGTTATCAAGTGCAGATCTTTAAGGCATATCCTGGCTGACTCTGCCATTTTAGACACATGATGGGCGAGATGTATATTCTGCTTTGCAGGAGGGGTTGAATTTGTTTTGCAAACACCAGTTTATTAACACTCACAACATTCTAACTGAATAAATGAATGGACAGTCTTTTCAGAGAGACTTTTAACTGATTGGATTAAGGGAGAGTAGAGTCAGGAAGCTCATCCAGGTTACATAAATTAAAAGTTTTGATGAAGGGGAAAATGGTGTATTAAATAAACACACCCGGTATTACTCCAACGGGTTAAATTGGTTCCGTTTGAATGAACTTAACACGTATTTTTAACTTACATATAACTTTTGCATATTAACTTCTTTATTTTTGCTTTACATAGACCTCATACCTAAAGAATTTTCATACACCGCTAGTGGGAGTGTAAATTTTTACAAGCATTTTGGAAAACTCTTTGGCAGAATCTATTAAAGCTGAGAGTACAACTACCCTCTGACCAGCAATTCCCCTTCTGGATGTACACACAACCTCAATCAGTGTGTATGTTTACCAAAGGATATGAACTAGAATATCATACCAGTATATTTGCAATAGCCCAGATTGGAAATGACCCAGATGCCCACCAACAGAATGGATCGCAGACATTGTGATGGTATAGTCACAAAGCGGAATCCCAGACAGCAATGAGACTGCATGAACCACTGCTATGCTTAATATAGATGAACCTCTGAAACAATGTTGAGTGAAGAAGTCAGGCCCAAAAACACAGACACTATATGATTTTGTTTCTGTAAAGGATAAAACAGGCAAAACTAACCTATGCTGTTAGGATAGCGGTCACTGGAGAATAAGAAGGGCTTACAGGTAATGTCTGGCTTCTTGATCTGGGTACAGTTTAAACGGATCTATGAGCACTTTTCTGTATGTATGTCTCACGTCAATAACAAGTTAATATATGTCTATCTCATATTAACAGTTGCTTGAATTTCTAAAGTTAAGCGTGATACCAGAGTAAGTATGCTTTTCCTTTAAACAAACTTGCTGTTTAAAAAAGGACTTTAAGGCTCTTTGGGAGGCTGGGGTGAGGGGATTGCTTGAGCCCAGGAGTTCAAGACCAGCCTGAGCAACATAGTGAGACTCCATTTCTGTAAAAATAAAAAATAAAAAAAAATCAGCCAGGCATGGCGGTGCATGCCTGTAGCCCCAGCTATTGATTATTGTGAATAAAGGCAATATAAATATTCACATACAGCTTTTTGTGTGAATATAAACCTCTATTTCACTTAGGTAAATACCTAGAAGTAAGAGTGCTATGTCATATGGTAAGTTTAGCTTTATCAAAAACTGGTAGCCAGACACAGTGGCTTGCCCCTGTAATCCCAGCTACTGAGGAGGCTGAGGTGGGAGGATGGCTTGAGCCCAGAAGTTGGAGGCTACCATGAGCTATGATCATGACCCTGTACTCCAGCCTGGGTGACAGAGTGAGATCCTGTCTCTAAAAAAAAAAAAGAAAAGAAAGAAAAAGAAAAGAAATATGTCTAAAAAACATAAATAAGACAGTTCTTAAAAATTCATATTTTGCTGCACTTTCAGCCAAAGTTTCATTCTTCTTGACACACACTCTCAGATTCACATAACTCTGACATCAGGGCCTATGGAAGAGGAAAGAGGTTGGGATTAAGGAGGGAACCCCGGCCCTCCAGCCACAGGTTTTTCTGCCTTTTCTGAGAGAGGGAGCCCTAGTCACATGCCTTCTACACGGGTACTATCTGGAGATATGAAGGAAGGCTATGGCTGCTCAGGATTTGCAGGTGAATATTTATCCAAAGCCTGTGGGCTGATGTCCCAGCAACTGAAGAGTGGGTGGCTTTGGCTGTAGTCCCACAGGGTCTTTGAACCAGTGATGGAGCTTGATCAGCAGGCATCAGTCAGGCAGCAAATATGGCAGAGACCGAATAGAGAAGGCAAAAGTTCTTGTCACCTTGCCCCCTTCCCACTGGTAGGTCCCTTAATGAAGGTTCTTGGCAAAGGGAGGTGGCAGAGGAGGACAGCTCACCAGTGCTCAGGGCACGGCTCTCCTTAGAACTTCAAATGTAATTGACCTGTGGCCAAATCGTCTACAAATAGAGCACATGATGGTCTAAAACAGATTCATTCTTTCCCAAGGGAAACAGAGCATGAAGAGAACATGGGGCTCAGGTGCAAATCAAGACGGTGAGCTGGGCTGGGCGTGGTGGCTCATGCCTGTAATCCCAGCACTTTGGGAGGCTGAGGCAAGAGGATTGCTTGAGCCCAGGAGTTCGAGACCAGCCTGGCCAACATGGTGAAACCTCATCTATACCCAGAAAAGTACAAAAATTAGCTGGGCATGGTGGCGTTGCCTGTAGTCTCAGCTACTCAGAAGGCTGAAGTGGGAGGATCGCTTGAACCCAGGAGGTCAAGGCTGCAGTGAGCCGGGATTGCACCACTGTACTCCAGCCTGGGTGACAGAGTGAGACACTGACTCAAAAAAAAAAAAAAAAAAAAAAAGACTGTGGGATGAGGGTTTAGGATAACAGTAACAATCGACTAATACTGCTAGATCTTTACATACTTTATACTTGATTTCACAAAATCCTCGTGGCAACCCACAGAGGACTGTACAGCTGAGGAAACCAAGGCACAGATAGGTTAAGTGCTTTTCCTAAGGTCCACAGCTAGTAAGTGGCAGAGCCAGGACTGGAATAAGTCAGAGCACAACTCTCAAGCCCCTGCTCTCTTAACACCTGGGTGTGAAAGGTGGAATGGTGTCATAGCAAAAGCACCAGGTAGACAATCAGGAAACGAGGGGCTTGGTGTTTACCAGTGTTGCCACTAACTAATGGGTATCATCACTTAGACAGTCTGGGTCTCAGTTTCCCCACTTGTAAAAGACATAGGAGGTGGCAAGGTCAATTGAAACTTCAGTGATAATGCCAAGGTTTGGTTTGGGGGGCTTTAGGCCCCCCATAATCCCCATCAGCACTCTCATAGCCCAAATAAAAGACATGTAATAAAAATAGTGTACTATGCAAACAAAACAAGAAAAGTCCCCTCACCAACATGGTCCTCACTTCCCACACACGTGTAATCAGATTACCATGTCTGAATCTCTTCTTTATAGAAAGGAATTCTAGAGCAACACTGCTCAGCAGTCTCTTCTGGCTTAAGTCATTCATTCATTCATTCAACAAACATGTATTTTATGCATATGGTATCAGTGAGGATAGCCTAGGTTATTCTGCAGTAACAAACAACCCTCAAAATCTCAGTGGTTAGTATAAACAAAGGTGTTTTGTTTGTTTGTTTTTGTTTTGTTTTGTTTGAGATGGAGTCTCACTCTGTCACCCAGGCTGGAGTGCAGTGACGTACTCTGTAACTTCTGGCTCTGGGTTCAACAATTCTCCTGCCTCAGCCTCCCGAGTAGCTGGGATTACAGGTGTGTACCACCACACCTGGCTAATTTTTGTATTTTTAGTAGAGACCGGGTTTCACCCTGTTGGCCAGTCTGGTCTCAAACTCCTGACCTCAAGTGATCTGCCTACCTCGACCTCCCAAAGTGCAGGGATTACAGGCATGAGCCACCGCGCTTGGCCAAAAACATTAATTTTTTTACTCACACTACATGTGCATCATAGGTTAGAAGGGGGTGTTTACTTATTGCAGTCAATCAGGGATCCAGGATGACTGAGTAGCCACCTTCTCAAACATTGCTGGTTGCCGAGCTAGAGGGAAAAGAGAGCTCTGGACCACAAGTATTTAAATGCTGTAGCCTAGAAGTGGTGTACAACGCTTCTGCACCCAACTCATCAGCTGGAACTGTGCAAATAGTTGCACCCAGACACAGAGGGCCAGGAAATGCAGCCCTAGAAGGGCCTGCGAAGTGAAGAGTTGGAAATACTTGGTGAACAGCACCGATGACTACCACACCTACTACATGCCAGACCCGGGGCAGATGAAGATGGGCAAGATGCAGTCCCAGCCCTATAGTCCCCCCTCACAATCAAACCAGAGAAGTCTCTGGTGATGCAATTCTACCTCCATGGTATAGGCTTTGGTGGATCTAGGTGAGAAACCAATCACTGCCAACTTGAGTGAAGTCACTGTGTGATACAGCATTTTTTTTCTGGAACATTGTGTTAGTTGCAATGGTGGTGAACCTATTGCACAACGGATGAGATAAATAAATCACACACTGTCTCGTGGGAGGCAAAAAGGCCCTCTCTTGGGAAAACACTGAATGAAGACAGTTGGACATGTTGTCATTCTCTTCAATGAAAGTTACAAATGGCAGTTTAATGAAAAATGAAACCAGACCTTGGCCTCAACCAAGATGAGGAAGGTGGGACCAGCCCTTTTTGAGAATGTGTTCCAAGTTAGGAAGAGCTGGTGGCCCTGTGCCAACACAAATAACCCGAAAATCCGGAGGAAACTAAAGGCAGCACAGTCAATCTGCACGCTGGGATTAGTTTGTGAAACTCACCACCACCCTGCCTGGCAGTGAGTGAGCCCAGGGCTTGGGGGTTGGAGTAGGGAGTTGAGGGAGGAGGGCAAGCACATGTGGCTCTTTAGTAGTGAGAAGAGACAACTCTCAGGGCCAGGTCACATCTAGCTCAGTCCAAATTTGAACAGCAATGGCCCTTTTTGTTTCTTGGAGGAGTCCATGAACTCCTGGCCGTGCGATTTTAAACCAAATCTCTTGCTTTTCCTGTCTCTGAAACCACAGGGCACATTTCAGGAGAAAATTCTGGACAGACACATCCCTATAGCACCCTAGTTTGCCTTCTCTATCCGTTTTCCCCTAGAGGAAGATACTTCGAGACTATGCAAATATCCTGTTTCTCCTCCAACCTTCTCCCACTAATTTTAGCATCCATCGGTAGATCATGCATGCAACAATTATTCCTGTGGTGTTCTAAAGGCGATTTTCTATTTCCCTCATTCCTTCTATGTGAATTCATTGGAATCCTTCTATAGGGAAGAATTCTCTCCCATTTATTTATTCAATTATTTATTTATGTCAATATGAATTCATGGACAAGGAGTTTAGTCTTTGGGTTAGAATCCAATGTTGTTATTATTGACTTTATTGTCAGTGTCCCAGCTTCAGTCATTGCAAGCTCTTTCAGGCTGGCTCCTGTGTCTCCATTCTTTCTTGAGCACTTTCTTACTTTCTGGCACCATAATATGCTCCAGGCTCATTTGTATATTACCCTATTGTTTTTTTCATTTCACCTAAGAATATGCCTCATTTTAAGTCCCCTTCCTTTTTTTTTCTTCTTTTAGCCTTCTTTCTTTTTCTCTTTCCTCTTTCTTTCTCCTTTCTTTCTTTCTCTTTCTTTCTTTTCTTTCTTTCTTCTTTCTTTCTTTCTTTCCTTCTCTCTCTTTCTTTCTTTTTTTTTTTTTTGATGGAGTCTCATTCTTTTGCCCAGGTTGGAGTGCAATGGCGTGATCTTGGCTCACTGCAACCTCTGCCTTCTGGGTTCAAGTGATTCTCCTGTCTCAGCCTCTCGAGTAGCTGGGACGACAGGCGCATGCCACTACGCCTGGCTAATTTTTGTATTTTTAGTAGAGATGGGGTTTCACCATGCTGCCCAGGCTGGTCTCAAACTCCTGACCTCAAGTGATCCGCCTTCCTCGGCCACCCAAAGCGTCGGAATTACAGGCATGAGCCACCGTGCCCAGCCCCCATTTGTATGTTTTTAACCAATTCTCCAATCAAGGACCCACTGCATAAAGTAATGCTCCATTTTATTTGTACTAAGTTGCTTTTCTCAAGTTGTAACAGTTATGCTACCTGGATCTAGAGTTTTGGAATTTGGGGGAAAAATGCCTGTTAACTTAATTACATCCGTCATCATATTAAAATATTTTTGTTATGCCCATTGGCTTCATACTTCCTTAGTTTCATCTGTCGTTACAACATTTTTGGCTATAAGGATCAGAAACCACAAATCCACTGGTTTAAATCATAAGGAAATATATTGTTCAGGGAACAGGAAGGCCAGAGGCATAGTGCAAAGATTCTGGCTCCTTTTTGCTGTGGTCCTTTCAGCTCTGCCCTCGCCCTGGTTTTCCTCATGGTCATATGCTGGCAGTCAGTGGCAAAGAAGGCAACACAATACCTTGGCTGTGTGCATCAAGAGGGATAAGAGAAGGGGCAGGAGGGGGAAAAAAGAAAACACCTCTCCAACTGTGGAGTAAATAACTTTCCTTTCAGTCTGATTGGGCCAAAGTAGGTCACATGACCACCTCTGGACCAATTACAGATGCCAGGGGAAGGCCAGAAATGGATTGGCTTAAGCCTGGGTTCAGGAACCAATAATTATCAAGGGGAATGTGATTACCATGATCCGTGAAGACCGGTGGTTCTCCAATGTCAGGCTGCATCAGAATCACCAGGAAGGCTTGTTAAAATACAGATTGCTGGGCCGGCCCCAGCCTCAGAGTTTCTAATTCAGTAGTCTTGGGTGATGTTTGGGAATTTACATACCTGATTGTACATTTCTTTCTTTTCTTTTTTTTTTTTTTGAGACGGAGTTTCGCCTTTGTCACCCAGGCTGGAGTGCAATTGCGCCATCTGGGCTTACTGCAACCTCTGCCTCCCAGCTTCAAGCAATTCTCCTGCCTCAGCCTCCTGAGAAGCCGGGATTACAGGCATGCGCCACCAGGCCTGGCTAATTTTGTATTTTTAGTAGAGATGGGGTTTCACCACGTTGGCCAGGCTGGTCTTGAACTCCTGACCTCAGGTGATCCGCCCGCCTCAGCCTCCCAAGGTGCTGAGATTACAGGCGTGAGCCACCTCGCCTGGCCTCATTTCTAACAAATTCCCTAGTGATGCTGATGTTGTTAGTCTGGGAACTACCCTTAGAGACTAATTCTGCAGCTGGGGATGGGATCAGTGGACCCTGAGTCACATGGGCTGCATGGAGGTGGGATGCAGGGAGGAATGGGTTCAGGGTAGACCACTGTTATGGTCTGAATGTTTGTGTCCCATAAAAATTTTTTATGTTGAAACCTAATCATCAATGTGATAGTATTAGGGAGTGGGGCCTTTTAGAAGTGATTAGGTCATGAGGCCAGAGCCCTCATGAATGGGATTAGTGCCCTTAAAGAAGAGACCCAAGAGAACTAGCCATGTGAGGACACAGCTAGAAGGTGCCATCTATGAACCAGCAGGCCCTCCCTACACACGGAATCTGCTGACACCTTGATTTTGAATTTCCCAGCCTCCAGAACTGTGAGCAATGAGTTCTTGTTGTTGATATAAGTACCCAGTCTAAGGCAATGTGTTGTAGCGGCCCCAATGGACTGAGACAGCCACCCACTGGTGTCCACTGGATTAGCACGCGTCAAATCTCAATGTGCACATGAGCCACCTAGGAGTCTTGTTAAGATGCAGATTCTGTTTCAGTAGCTCTGAGGTGGGGCCTGCGATTCTGCATTTCTATTGAGCAATGCTGATGCTGCTGGTCCATGGACCCCACTCTGATGGGAAAGATACTCCACTGCCCTTTCCCTTCTTCAAATCCTCCTCTGCTCTCTCATCTATTGATTCTACAATGATCTGCCAATCCCGGGATGCCAGACAGCATCCTATGTCCTTCCCTCCACTGAATTCCCAAAGCCCTCACCATCTGCAGCATTCATTAAGCACGGATGACTCATGGCCTTGAATGTTGGATTTAAGTCACAGTTTTCATCTTCAACTAGAATATAAGGGCCTTGAGAGCAAGCCCTGCTGCCTCATTTTTTCCCCCTAAGTCTTCATGCCTGTATCTAGGTAGACTAGATGTATTTGTCAAATAAAGTTAGGCTATGCTGCAGTAACAAACCTGAAATTCAAGGGCTTCACTCCACAAAGATGGATTTCTCCTTACATGAAGTCTGAGGCAGGACAAGATACCTCTCTCTACCTTAAAGGTAAGGCATCAGGAACATGTACTCCCAAGATGGCTGAGGCAGGGAAGAGAAGGGTGGGAGAGGCACTGGGCTTTTAAATGCCTTGGTCCAGAAGTGACACATATCACTCCTGCTCATGATTGATTGGCCAGTCCTAATCCTGTGGCCCCAATGTAACTGCAAGGGAGGCTGGGAAATGTAGGAAAGCATATGGAATATTTGATACCAACCATGCCATAGTAGGTATCAATAGTTTCTTTTTTTTCTTTTTCTTTTTTTTTTTTTTTGAGACAGGGTCTTGCTCTGTTGCCCAGGCTGGAGTGCAGTGGCATGATCATGGCTCAATGCAGCCTTGACTTCCCGGGCTCAGACAATTCTCCCACCTCAGTCTCCAGAGTAGCTGAGACTACAGGCACATGCCATCATGCCCAGCTAACTTTTTGTATGTTTTGTAGAGATGAAGTTTCACCATGTTGTCCAAGCTGGTCTTGAACTCCTAACCTCAAGTGATCCACCGGCCCTCAGCCTCCCAAAGTGCTGGGATTACAGACGTGAGTCACCGTGCCTGGCCTAGTAGTTACTTCTTGATTGATAATTTGAGTCTCTTTCTCATGGTCTTTCCTAGTTTCAGTAGATCTTTCTTGAGAGTTCATCACCAAGACCACACCAGATTCCAGTAATGTCTTCCCTGACCAACCTATTTATACTTTAAACTCCTTCCCTCACTACTCCTGGCTGAATCGCTGTTTCCCTGCTTAGTTTTTCTCCATAGCACTAATCACCAACTAACACACATTACTTCTTTTGTTTATTGTTTGTCTCCCAAAAAGACAAGTCAGGAGGTAAGTTCCATGAGGCAAAGTCTTATTTTTCTTTTTTCTTTCTTTTTTTTTTTTTTTGAGATGGAGTCTTGCTCTGTAGCCCAGGCTGGAGTGCAGTGGTGCAATCTTGGCTCACTGCAAACTCTGCCTCCTGGGTGCAAGTGATTCTCCTGCCTCAGCCTCCCTAGTAGCTGGGATTACAGGTGCCTGCCACCACGTCCAGCTAATTTTTGTATTTTTAGTAGAGACGAAGTTTCACCACGTTGGCCAGGCTGCTGTTGAACTGGCCTCAGGTGATCCGCCTGCCTCAGCCTCCCAAAGTGCTGGGATTACAGGCGTGAACCACTGCGCCTGGCCTTTTTTTTTTTTTTTTTTTTTTAACTATTTTTGTGGCTATTGTGTCCCCAGTCCCTGGATCTGTGCCTAGCACATAGTTGATATTCAATCATTATTAATGAATTAATGTGTGGATCATGGATTTCTGTGAGAGGAGGTCATGCTTTTGTTTTGCTTTGTTTTTTAACCAGTGCCTTCCTGGATGACATTGGCCACGCTGGAGTAGATGTAGTATATACTGACTATCAAAAGCTTGCACTATCTAACGTTGGTGGTGCCAGCAACTTCTCTTGGTCTTTTGCTCTGCTCCTTCCTTTGCCCATCTGTACACTCAAGAGTAGGAGAAGAAGAGACTAAAGAGAAAGCGTCAGAAATATTGGTGCCAAGCCCTTTCATCTCTTAGGTTTGCCTCTGGATGGACCACGTCCCCGGGGCAGGCTGGGCAAATCACTGGAAAGCAGCCTACTAAATCGAGTTTCCAGGGCCACTCTGGGACACTGCTGCTCTCTCTGTCCACCTGAAAAAGAAAGTTCAAAACCACAAGTTACTCTCCAAGTCACCAGGTTAGGTGCCCAGTTTCCCTCTGAGGATCTGCTGCCCTGGCAAGAACAATCAAATCCCTTTCTTGCAATTGGAGAGGCGAGGCTCTTAGGAATAACTTCAGCCCCATGCCTTTTGTTTCATCCTCCTATTCCTCCACTCCACAAAGCGAAATATGATAGTAGCAGAGTTTCTGTAGCTTTTCTAAGAAATTCCTCTTTGCTGGCACATAAAAAGGACTCTCTTGGATTTCTGCCATTGGCTGTGGAGTTTTAACACATTGTTGTTGGCTCATCTGGGGAGCCAAGATGAGTAAAATATTCTCCAAACTCCTGTGGAAACACATAGCAAGTGTTTCCAACCATACTGTATTATTTGACCCAAAATATTTTCCCCCCTCCTCTTTGCCAATCCATGTGTTACTTCCCTCAATACTCCAAGTGGCCCTCCTTCCCCAAACCCAACAGCTCTTGGATTACTAAGAGGGTCTGGGGCCACACTAACTCATTTTGTGACCTTCAGCAAGTTAACTCCCTTTTCTGGGCCTCTGGTTTCACATCTCATGGAAAGGATGTATTAGAACAGTGTTTCTCAAACTTTAGAGCCGATCAAAATCATCTAGAGGGCTTGTTCAAACTCATTGCTGGCTCCACCTCCAGACTTCCTGATTCAGTAGTTTTGGGGAGGGACCCCAGGAGTTACATCTCTAACAAGTTCCCAGACGAGGCTGACGCTGATGGTTCAGTGACCACACTTTGAGAGCCATTGTATTAGATGAACTCAGAGGTTCTTATAGCTTGTTCATTCCATGAGTCTAGGATCAGTCTGAGTCAGGGCTCTTTTGGTCACAAGTGACAGAAACTTGACTCAAACTAGCTTAAGTAAGAAAGCGAATTTGGCTGGGCACCGTGGCTCACACCTGTAATCCCAACACTTTGGGAGATTGAGGAAGGAGGATCACTTGAGGCCAAGAGCTTGAGGTTAGCCCGGGCAACATAGCAAGACCCTGTCTCTACCAAAAATAAAAAATTAGCTGGACATGGTGATGCATGCCTGTGGTCTCAGCTACTCAGGAGGCTGAGGCAGAAGGATCACTTGAGCCCAGGAGTTGGAGGCTGTAGTGAGCTATGATCACACCACTGCAAGAAACAAAAAGAAAGAAAGAAAGAAAGGGAATTTATCAGCTCACATATCCGGGAAGGACAGAAGTGGAGTGGATTCTGGATACAGGAATTCAAATGATGTCATTGGATTTTTTTGTTACTTTCTTTTCCTTTCGTCCTCTTCCTCTCCCTTCCCCCTGCCTCCTACCTCTCAGCAGCTGGTCCCCATATTTCTCCACAAGGGTTTATATTGGCCCTGGTAGCAATCCTAGAGAAGAAAGAGAACTCTTGATCCCTGGTTCAGTGTATATTCATCCCAGAGACAGACTCTCCTTGGTCTGGCTTGAACCATCATATGGTGAGGAGAATGGAGCATTGTGATTGGCTAAGCGTAGGTCACACGCCTCCTCTTGAAGTCAAGGACTAGGATATTAATGATGGGCAGATTCCTTTTTATATTATAACCTCTAGATCTGTCTTGTTCATTGCCATATTTTCAAGTGCCTAGAGCACAGCAGGTGCTTAACAAATATTTGTCAAATGAATGACTCAATCACTTCATGAATAGTGTAAACTATTAGTGAATCCAGCGATCTTCAAAATTGGTGATTCTATGCACTCTGGGGGTAGATGTGAAATTTCTTGAGATTTTCACAATTTTTTTTCTGTACCCAATGAAAGTACAGTTTGTTGCTCTTTTTTTTTTTTTTTTTCCCTTCCAGTGGGGATGAGAGACATTATGCTAAAGCCCAGCACATCCACCACCCCTGACATCCTTCTGGGTTTCTGAGGCGAATTCTGATCCTGAAAACACAGTCATATATCTTTTTGCATCAGAATAATGTAAATTCATTCTAAATTAGATCCTCTTTAGTCTCTTTTAATGAGTATCCTATAGGCTTTTGTGGGTTTATCACTTAATAAGGTCTATTTTTCTACAAAGAGAAACAACTCCTCCCAACCCCAGACTGTATTACAGTAGCTGCTTTTTAGGATATTTGCTGAATCTCAGGACCTGGGTTTTTTTGTTTTTTTTTTTTTTTTTTAAATCACAAACACTGACCCTTTGGAGGCCTCAGTGTCCTCATTTGTAAAAGAACAGGGCTGACTTAGATCAGTGGTACTCAGATTTGGCTACCCATTGGAACCACCTGGAGAGGTTAAACAAATTATTGATGCTTAGATCCCATCCTCAGAGAATCAGATTTATATGGTGGAGGCATCTGTATTTTTTAAAACTCTGTAGGTGAGTCTAAGGTGCCGCCAGAGTTGAGAACCACTAGCTAGATAATTCTAATTTTAAAATGTAGACAAAGTCATAATGCCAGCCTGACTGCTGGGGCAAATTACTTCATCTCCTTAGTACTTGGTTTTCTTCTCTATAAAATGGAGATATTAATCGTACATAAGGTTATTGTGAGGTTGAAAAGAGATGATCCAGCTAGAACCTTGCCATTCAAAGTGCGGTTCATAAACACAGTGGTATGTGCATAAACTGGGTGCTTTTTAGATATGCAAAATCCAGCTGGGCACGGTGGCTTACAACTGTAATCCCAGCACTTTGGGAGGCCAAGGCAGGAGGATCACTTGAGCTCTGGAGTTTGAGACCAGCCTGGGCAACATAGTGAGACCCGCCCCTCCACACCCCCTGGATCTCTACAAAAAGAAAAATTTTTAAATTAGCTGGGTGTGGGTGTGCACATCCGTAGTCCCAGCTTCTTGAGAGGCTGAAGTGGAAGGATCACTTGAGCATGAGAGGTGGAGGCCGCAGTGAGCTATTATCATGCCACTGCATTCCAGCCTGGGCAATGGAGCAAGACCCTATCTCAGGAAAAAAAAAAAAAGCAGAACCCAAACCTAAGACAAGAATTTGACTGTAAGTAGTTACAACTAATGAGTGGATAAACAAAATGTGGTAGATCTATACAATAAAATATTGTTTGGCCATAAAAAGGAATGAAGGGATTAAAAAGGCTTTCAAAATTGTAAAGCCCCACACAAGGTGCTTCCTTTTAGGTTATTTCTATAGGCTAGCAAAACATCTGTCAGTTACCAACCTTGGTCCAATCTAAGAGTCAATAATGGCTGCTGATATCCATACCCCTGAGGACAGGGGCCTCAATATGTGAATGAATGAAGAAGGTCACCAGCGAAGACCCTCCCCACTTCTTTGCCCACCTCTATGAGGGCAGAAGTCCCTTTGGGACTTGCCTATGAAAGTTACGGATATTCCTTGTCTTTAGTGAAGAGAATGATAACAGCTGGCCTTCTGGCTTCTTGCTAGTTTGAGTGTGGTTTTGGAACCAGGATTGACATCAACACCTGGGAGCTTGTTTGAAGTGTAGAATCTGAGGCCCTCACTCCACACCTCCGGCATCAGAATTGGGATTTTGATAAGATTCCCAAGTGACTCGTATGCACATTAAAATTTAAGAAACACTGTTCTAGATAGTTTTACACAATATCTTCCTAGTCTATATTTTAAAAAATTGATTTAGGAGAGGAGAGTATTGATACCTTCTCCTGAATTTCTCTCCCCTCAAAATGAATTTTTAGAACCTCAAAGCTTGCTTTTTTTTTAAATTATATTTTAAGTTCTAGGGTACATGTGCACAGCCTGCAGGTTTGTTACATATGTATACATGTGCCACGTTGGTGTGCTGCACCCATTAACTCATCATTTACATTAGGTATATCTCCTAATGCTATCGCTCCCCCCTCCCCCCACCCCATGACAGGCCCCGGTGTGTGATGTTCCCCACCCTGTGTCCAAGTAGAACTTCAAAGTTTTAATGTTTTTCATTTGCCCTCATGTTTGGGAAATGCTTTTCCCTTCATTTTCCCCCTTATTTACTCATTTTTAGTCATACATTTTATTCATCATTCCACAAAGTGATTCTTTGAAATAAGAGGACGACGTAAGACTGTTCCTCAGAGTCCCCTGGGACTATGCTAAAAACCATCACACCCCTTATGAGGCAACTAACTTCTCATTGTCAGTGCAAAGCTGTGTCCTCAAGGATAGCTTTTGCATGCAAAAATATTATTCAGAGGCTAATGTAGTTCTTGGAAATACCATAATATTCAATTCAAATGCAACTAACAAACTTTAAAACTGAAATCCTTCTTAAATTTTTAAGTTCAACTCGCAAATACCATTGTTTTCTTTATAAATACAATTTCGTTTTATCAATAATTTTACAGACACTTTCATAATTAAGCTCTTTTAAATCATTTATATCAAATTTGTACTTTTAACATATTTTATTTTCTGTGAAGGTACATTGTTCCCTAACAAGTTCCTTAAGAATGTCACTGGCTGGGCGCGGTGGCTCACGCCTGTAATCCTAGCACTTTGGGAGGCCGAGGCGGGCAGACCACCTGAGGTCGGGAGTTCGAGATCAGCCTGACCAACATGGAGAAATCCCATCTCTGCTAAAAACACAAAAATTAGCCGGGCATGGTGGCACATGCCTGTAATCCCAGCTACTCAGGAGGCTGAGGCAGGAGAATCGCTTGAACCTGGGAGGTGGAGGTTGCAGTGAGCCGAGATTGTGCCATTGCACTCCTGCCTGGGCAACAAGAGTGAAACTCCATCTCCAAAAAAAAAGAATGTCACTGATTCTAATAAATCTAATATGTTAAACTTCTAAATAAGTTCTTTCAAATGTCCTAATACTGTTGACAAGCATGATAAACTGGTCATAACAAGCCTAAATCAATTAATTACTCACATATATATTTTAACTACAAGCACAAGGCTAACTTGTTAGATAATCAAATAATCAAAATTATCTTGGACATTGCAAGTAAATATACACAGAGAATTCCCACATGTAACACAAAAATATGAATACTATAGGTTTGGCATATTTATCTCTATACTTAACTGTAGTTTTTCTTAGGGTTAAATCAGTGGTTCTCAAGAGAGGGTGATTTTTGCCTTTCAGGGCACATTTAACAATGTCCACAGACATTTTCGTTTGTTGTCCTGTCTCGGGGGCCTGAAACACTCCAATGCCTCCCATCTCCCATTGGATATAAATATTTTTTTTTTTTTTTTTGAGATGCCGTCCCACTCTGTCATCCAGGCTGGAGTGCAGTGGCACAATCTCGGCTCACTGCAACCTCTGCCTCCCTGGTTCCAGAGATTCTCTTGCTTCAGCCTCCTGAGTAGCTGGGATTACAGGCGCCCGCCATCATGCCCAGCTAATTTTTTTGTATTTTTAGTGGAGATGGGTTTCTCCATGTTGGCCAGGCTGGTCTCAAATCCCTAACCTCAAGTGATCCGCCTGCCTTGGCCTCCCAAAGTGCTGGGATTGTAGGTGTGAGTCACCGCACCCAACCCTCCCATTGGATTCTGCATATTGGTCAGGTTTTTTCTGGCTAGATGGTCAAGTTCTAAAGTCATTCTAATGCCAATTATAGTAAGGAACATATATATTTATATAAATAAATTAGTAAAATTATGCTATAATAAAGTATTTAATAAAATTATACATAATATATAATATATGGTATATAGTACATATATATTATCATATATATTATATGTATTAATATATAAATAGTGCCAAGCACTGACGTTTTATTTTACATTTATTAGTGCTCTAGACATGAGAACTATGGCTTAAACTGCTGATAGGCTCTTGCAAATCTCTCTCATTGATCAACATTGTCTATTCACTCATTCAGCAAGTATTTATTACTTATTGTCAGATACTGCGGAGGTGCTGGGGATGAAGAGGTAACCAGGATATACACAATCTCCACTCTCATTGACATTACACTCCCACTCTAGGGCTGTTCTTAGGATTAAATTATATATATATATATATATACACACATATATATATACACACATATATATACACATATATATACACATATATATACACATATATATACACATATATATACACACACATATATATATATATTTTTTTTTTTTTTTAGACAGCGTCTTATTCTGTCACCCAGGCTGGAGTGCAGTGGCGCCACTTCGGCTCACTTAACCTCCGCCTCCTGGGTTCAAGTGATTCTCCTGCCTCAGCCTCCTGAGGAGCTGGGATTACAGGTGCGTACCACCATGCCTGGCTAATTTTTTGCATTTTTAGTAGAGACGGGGTTTCACCATGTTGCCCAGGCTGGTCTTTAACTCTTGACCTCAGGTGATCTGCCCACCTCAGCCTCCCAAAGTGCTAGGATTACAGGTGTGAGCCACCACGCCCGGCCAGCCCTTTATACTTCGTAAATTACCATGCAAATTCTAAAGACTCAGGCACACATAAGCTATCGTGGCTTCAAGTGGGAAGCCTTTGCCTCTCTGGGATGTAGAGCCATCTCAGGGTTGAATTCTATAAAGTTACAATTCTTTTTTCTCTATGACAAATATCACAAAAGAACTTGGTTGCACTGCTCTTGAGTGTGGCTGAATCGGGTAGACACAGCCAGTAAGAGAGGCTCTGCCATCTTCAGCCTGTAGTTCTCCAGGTTGCCCTGGGGTCCAATAGCCAGCTGTTAGATGGAGGGAAGGGAGAGAAGAATGTGAATGGGTAGTTGTTACGGGTCACACCTGGGTGGTACATGTCATTTTCGCTTGCATTTCATTGGCTAGGCTAGAGCTCAGTCATATATGGCCATAGCTAACTGTAGGGAGGCTGGGAAATGCAGCCTGCCTAGGTGCCCAGGAGGAAGAGGATCTAGTTTTAGTGACCAGATAGCCACTCTCTAATGCACCTGCTCACACATGATTAATTATAGTGGACAGGATTATATGAAAACCCTGGACTATGCATTTTGAATCTTAATAGTTGATTCATTTTATACTCCAAAGCTTAAGACTTACATTTAAAGGGAAAGATAAAATGTTTTATTAGTTAATTTTCCAGGGCAACTCTCTTTGCCTCTTAGAGCCGGAGTTTTTTCATCCATAAAAGAGGGTGTTGAAATAATAAAGATTAGAGCATAAAGTAATAAAACAGAAAATATAAAAATGAGAAAAATCAATGAAATCAAATGTCTCTTCAACAAGATCAACAAAGTTCTTTGACAAAGAAGCTATACTGACCAAGAAAAAAAGAGGGAAGAATCGAATTACTAAAATCAGAAATGAAAGGAAGGGGTCATTATTACAGACTCAAGAAGAAATAAAAAAATGTGAGTAGACCTGTAACAAGTAAAGAGACTGAATAACCAATCAAAAAAACTCCCCTCAAAGAAAAGCCCAGGCCCAGATAGCGTTACTGCTGAATTCTACCAAATATTTAAAGAAGTAATACCAATTCTTCACAAACTCTTCCAAAAACCAAAGAGGAGGATACACTTCCCAACTCACTCTATAAGGCTAGTATTACCCTGATAACAAAACTAGACTAAGACATCATAAGAAAAGAAAACCACAGACCAGTATCTCTCCTAAATATAGATGCAAAGATCCGCAACAAAACTAATCCAGCAACATATTAAAAGGATTGTACGTGATTTATCCCAGAAATGTAAAGTTTGTTTAACATCCAAAAATAAATTACTGTGATACACTATATTAATAAAATAAAAAGGTCAGGCACAGTGGCTCACGCCTGTAATCCCAGCACTTTGGGAGACTGAGGTGGGCAGATTACCTGAGGTCAGGAGTTCGAGATCAGCCTGGCCAACATGGTGAAACCCTGTCTCTACTAAAAATACAAAAATTAGCCGGATGTGGTGGCACACATCTATAATCCCAGCTACTCAGGAGGCTGAGGCAGGAGAATTGCTTGAACCTGGGAGGCAGAGTTTGCAGTAAGCCGAGATCATGCCACTGCACTCCAGCCTCGGCAACAGAGTGAGACTCTGCTTCAAAAATAAATAAATAAATAAAAATAAAAGACAAAAACCACATGATCATCTCAATAAATGCAGAAAAAGCATTTGATTAAATGCTTTCATGATAAAAATACTCAAATCCTTTCACGATAAAAAATATTCCACAAATTAGGACTAGAATGGAACTTTCTCAACCTGATTTTTAAAAAAACTATGAAAAACCAACAGATAACATCATACTTAATGGCAAAAGACTGAATGCTTTCCCCTACAATCAGGAATGAGACAAGAATATCTGCCCTTTTTCTGTTTTTGTTTTTTTTTTTTGAGACAGGGTCTCTCTCTGTCACTCAGGCTGGAGTGCAGTGGTGCCACCTCGGCTCACTGCAACCTCCGCCTCCTGGGTTCAAGTGATTCTCCTGCCTCAGCCTCCTGAGTAGCTGGGATTATAGGTGCCCGCCACCATGCCTGGCTAAATTTTTTTTTTTTTTTTTTTTGGTAGAGATGGGGTGTTCACCATGTTGACCAGGCTGGTGTCTGCTCTTGATACTTCAATTCAACATTGCACTGGAGGTTCCAGCCAAGAACATTAGGCAAGAAAAAGAAATAAAAGGCAGCCAGGTCAGAAAGAAAGAGGCAAAATTATCTCTAATCACAGATAACATGAGCTTGTATATAGAAAATCCCAAGAAATCCACTAAGAAACCACTAGAACTAATACGCAAGTTCAGAAAAGTTGAGGCTAAAAGATCAATATACAAAAATCAATCGTATCTCTATATACTTGCAGTAAACAATCAAAAAATGAAATGAGTAAAATAATTCCACTTACTATACCATCAAACAAAATAAAACACTCAGGAATAAAATTAAAGAAAGAAATGTAAAACTCATAGTCTGAAAACTATAAAACACTGTTGAAAGATCTAAATAAATAGACAGACAACGATGTTCATGGATTGGGAAAATTAATATTGTTAAGATGGTAATCGCCCCCAAGTTGACCTACAGATTCAGTGTAATCTCTACCATAGTCTAGACTGGCTTTTTAATAGAAATTGACAAGCTAATCTGAAGATTCATATGGGAATGCAAGGGATCCAGAATAGCCAAAACAATCTTGAAAAAGAAGAACAAATTTAGACTCAAACTTACCAATTTCAAAACTTACTGCAAAGCTATGTTAATCAAGACAGTGTAGTATTAGCATAAGGACAGACATATAGATCAATGCAATAGAAGAGTCCAAAATAAACTCTTATATTTATGGCCAATTGATTTTCAACAAGAGTGCCAAAACAATTCAATAGGGCAAGAATCGTCTATTTCAACAAATGGTGCTGGGACAACTGGATATCCACATGCAAGAACTAAATTGGATCCCTACTTTATACCATATACAAAAATTAACTCAAAGTGGATCAAAGACCTAAATATTAGAGCTAAAATGATGAAACTCTTGGAAGAAAACATAGGCCTAAACCTTCCTGGACTTGGATTGGGCAATGATTTCTTGGATATGATATCAAAAGCACAAACAACGGGAGGAGGAGCCAAGATGGCCGAATAGGAACAGCTCCAGTCTACAGCTCCCAGCGTGAGCAATGCAGAAGACAGGTGATTTCTGCATTTCCATCTGAGGTACCGGGTTCATCTCACTAGGGAGTGCCAGACAGTGGGCGCAGGCCAGTGGGTGCGCGCACCGGGCGCGAGCCGAAGCAGGGCGAGGCATTACCTCACCTGGGAAGCGCAAGGGGTCAGGGAGTTCCCTTTCCCAGTCAAAGAAAGGGGTGACGGACGCACCTGGAAAATCGGGTCACTCCCACCCGAATATTGCGCTTTTCAGACCGGCTTAAAAAACGGCACACCACGAGACTATATCCCACACCTGGCTCGGAGGGTCCTACGCCCACGGAATCTCGCTGATTGCTAGCACAGCAGTCTGAGATCGAACTGCAAGGCGGCAGCGAGGCTGGGGGAGGGGCGCCCGCCATTGCCCAGGCTTGCTTAGGTAAACAAAGCAGCCCGGAAGCTGGAACTGGGTGGAGCCCACCACAGCTCAAGGAGGCCTGCCTGCCTCTGTAGGCTCCACCTCTGGGGGCAGGGCACAGACAAACAAAAAGACAGCAGTAACCTCTGCAGACTTAAATGTCCCTGTCTGACAGCTTTGAAGAGAGCAGTGGTTCTCCCAGCACGCAGCTGGAGATCTGAGAACGGGCAGACTGCCTCCTCAAGTGGGTCCCTGACCCCTGACCCCCGAGCAGCCTAACTGGGAGGCACCCCCCAGCAGGGGCACACTGACACCTCACAGGGCAGGGTATTCCAACAGACCTGCAGCTGAGGGTGCTGTCTGTTAGAAGGAAAACTAACAAACAGAAAGGACATCCACACCGAAAACCCATCTGTACATCACCATCATCAAAGACCAAAAGTAGATAAAACCACAAAGATGGGGAAAAAACAGAACAGAAAAACTGGAAACTCTAAAACACAGAGCGCCTCTCCTCCTCCAAAGGAACGCAGTTCCTCACCAGCAACGGAACAAAGCTGGATGGAGAATGACTTTGACGAGCTGAGAGAAGAAGGCTTCAGACGATCAAATTACTCTGAGCTATGGGAGGACAGTCAAACCAAAGGCAAAGAAGTTGAAAACTTTGAAAAAAATTTAGAAGAATGTATAACTAGAATAACCAACACAGAGAAGTGCTTAAAGGAGCTGATGGAGCTGAAAGCCAAGGCTCGAGAACTACGTGAAGAATGCAGAAGCCTCAGGAGCCGATGCGATCAACTGGAAGAAAGGGTATCAGCGATGGAAGATGAAATGAATGAAATGAAGCGAGAAGGGAAGGTTAGAGAAAAAAGAATAAAAAGAAATGAGCAAAGCCTCCAAGAAATATGGGACTATGTGAAAAGACCAAATCTACGTCTGATTGGTGTACCTGAAAGTGATGCGGAGAATGGAACCAAGTTGGAAAACACTCTACAGGATATTATCCAGGAGAACTTCCCCAATCTAGCAAGGCAGGCCAACGTTCAGATTCAGGAAATACAGAGAACGCCACAAAGATACTCCTCGAGAAGAGCAACTCCAAGACATATAATTGTCAGATTCACCAAAGTTGAAATGAAGGAAAAAATGTTAAGGGCAGCCAGAGAGAAAGGTCGGGTTACCCACAAAGGGAAGCCCATCAGACTAACAGCGGATCTCTCGGCAGAAACCCTACAAGCCAGAAGAGAGTGGGGGCCAATATTCAACATTCTTAAAGAAAAGAATTTTCAGCCCAGAATTTCATATCCAGCCAAACTAAGCTTCATAAGTGAAGGAGAAATAAAATCCTTTACAGACAAGCAAATGCTGAGAGATTTTGTCACCACCAGGCCTGCCCTAAAAGAGCTCCTGAAGGAAGCGCTAAACATGGAAAGGAACAACCGGTACCAGCCGCTGCAAAATCATGCCAAAATGTAAAGACCATCAAGACTAGGAAGAAACTGCATCAACTAACGAGCAAAATCACCAGCTAACATCATAATGACAGGATCAAATTCACACATAACAATATTAACTTTAAATGTAAATGGACTAAATGCTCCAATTAAAAGACACAGACTGGCAAGTTGGATAAAGAGTCAAGACCCATCAGTGTGCTGTATTCAGGAAACCCATCTCACGTGCAGAGACACACATAGGCTCAAAATAAAAGGATGGAGGAAGATCTACCAAGCAAATGGAAAACAAAAAAAGGCAGGGGTTGCAATCCTAGTCTCTGATAAAACAGACTTTAAACCAACAAAGATCAAAAGAGACAAAGAAGGCCATTACATAATGGTAAAGGGATCAATTCAACAAGAAGAGCTAACTATCCTAAATATATATGCACCCAATACAGGAGCACCCAGATTCATAAAGCAAGTCCTGAGTGACCTACAAAGAGACTTAGACTCCCACACATTAATAATGGGAGACTTTAACACCCCACTGTCAACATTAGACAGATCAACGAGACAGAAAGTCAACAAGGATACCCAGGAATTGAACTCAGCTCTGTACCAAGCGGACCTAATAGACATCTACAGAACTCTCCACCCCTAATCAACAGAATATACATTTTTTTCAGCACCGCACCACACCTATTCCAAAATTGACCACATAGTTGGAAGTAAAGCTCTCCTCAGCAAATGTAAAAGAACAGAAATTATAACAAACTATCTCTCAGACCACAGTGCAATCAAACTAGAACTCAGGATTAAGAATCTCACTCAAAGCCGCTCAACTACATGGAAACTGAACAACCTGCTCCTGAATGACTACTGGGTACATAACGAAATGAAGGCAGAAATAAAGATGTTCTTTGAAACCAACGAGAACAAAGACACAACATACCAGAATCTCTGGGACGCATTCAAAGCAGTGTGTAGAGGGAAATTTATAGCACTAAATGCCCACAAGAGAAAGCAGGAAAGATCCAAAATTGACACCCTAACATCACAATTAAAAGAACTAGAAAAGCAAGAGCAAACACATTCAAAAGCTAGCAGAAGGCAAGAAATAACTAAAATCAGAGCAGAACTGAAGGAAATAGAGACACAAAAAACCCTTCAAAAAATCAATGAATCCAGGAGCTAGTTTTTTGAAAGGATCAACAAAATCTATAGACCGCTAGCAAGACTAATAAAGAAAAAAAGAGAGAAGAATCAAATAGACACAATAAAAAATGATAAAGGGGATATCACCACTGATCACACAGAAATACAAACTACCATCAGAGAATACTACAAACACCTCTACGCAAATAAACTAGAAAATCTAGAAGAAATGGATACATTCCTCGACACATACACTCTCCCAAGACTAAACCAGGAAGAAGTTGAATCTCTGAATAGACCAATAACAGGAGCTGAAATTGGGGCAATAATCAATAGTTTACCAACCAAAAAGAGTCCAGGACCAGATGGATTCACAGCCGAATTCTACCAGAGGTACAAGGAGGAACTGGTACCATTCCTTCTGAAACTATTCCAATCAATAGAAAAAGAGGGAATCCTCCCTAACTCATTTTATGAGGCCAGCATCATTCTGATACCAAAGCCGGGCAGAGACACAACCAAAAAAGAGAATTTTAGACCAATATCCTTGATGAACATTGATGCAAAAATCCTCAATAAAATACTGGCAAACCGAATCCAGCAGCACATCAAAAAGCTTATCCACCATGATCAAGTGGGCTTCATCCCTGGGATGCAAGGCTGGTTCAATATACACAAATCAATAAATGTAATCCAGCATATAAACAGAGCCAAAGACAAAAACCACATGATTATCTCAATAGATGCAGAAAAAGCCTTTGACAAAATTCAACAACGCTTCATGCTAAAAACTCTCAATAAATTAGGTATTGATGGGACGTATTTCAAAATAATAAGAGCTATCTATGACAAACCCACAGCCAATATCATACTGAATGGGCAAAAACTGGAAGCATTCCCTTTGAAAACTGGCACAAGACAGGGATGCCCTCTCTCACCACTCCTATTCAACATAGTGTTGGAAGTTCTGGCCAGGGCAATCAGGCAGGAGAAGGAAATAAAGGGTATTCAATTAGGAAAAGAGGAAGTCAAATTGTCCCTGTTTGCAGACGACATGATTGTTTATCTAGAAAACCCCATCGTCTCAGCCCAAAATCTCCTTAAGCTGATAAGCAACTTCAGCAAAGTCTCAGGATACAAAATCAATGTACAAAAATCACAAGCATTCTTATACACCAACAACAGACAAACAGAGAGCCAAATCATGAGTGAACTCCCATTCACAATTGCTTCAAAGAGAATAAAATACCTAGGAATCCAACTTACAAGGGATGTGAAGGACCTCTTCAAGGAGAACTACAAACCACTGCTCAAGGAAATAAAAGAGGATACAAACAAATGGAAGAACATTCCATGCTCATGGGTAGGAAGAATCAATATCGTGAAAATGGCCATACTGCCCAAGGTAATTTACAGATTCAATGCCATCCCCATCAAGCTACCAATGACTTTCTTCACAGAATTGGAAAAAACTACTTTAAAGTTCATATGGAACCAAAAAAGAGCCCGCATGGCCAAGTCAATCCTAAGCCAAAAGAACAAAGCTGGAGGCATCACACTACCTGACTTCAAACTATACTACAAGGCTACAGTAACCAAAACAGCATGGTACTGGTACCAAAACAGAGATATAGATCAATGGAACAGAACAGAGCCCTCAGAAATAACGCCGCATACCTACAACTATCTGATCTTTGACAAACCTGAGAAAAACAAACAATGGGGAAAGGATTCCCTATTTAATAAATGGTGCTGGGAAAACTGGCTAGCCATATGTAGAAAGCTGAAACTGGATCCCTTCCTTACACCTTATACAAAAATCAATTCAAGATGGATTAAAGATTTAAACGTTAGACCTAAAACCCTAAAAACCCTAGAAGAAAACCTAGGCATTACCATTCAGGACATAGGCATGGGCAAGGACTTCATGTCCAAAACACCAAAAGCAATGGCAACAAAAGACAAAATTGACAAATGGGATCTAATTAAACTAAAGAGCTTCTGCACAGCAAAAGAAACTACCATCAGAGTGAACAGGCAACCTACAACATGGGAGAAAATTTTCACAACTTACTCATCTGACAAAGGGCTAATATCCAGAATCTACAATGAACTCAAACAAATTTACAAGAAAAAAACAAACAACCCCATCAAAAAGTGGGCAAGGGACATGAACAGACACTTCTCAGAAGAAGACATTTATGCAGCCAAAAAACACATGAAGAAATGCTCATCATCACTGGCCATCAGAGAAATGCAAATCAAAACCACTGTGAGATATCATCTCACACCAGTTAGAATGGCAATCATTAAAAAGTCAGGAAACAACAGGTGCTGGAGAGGATGTGGAGAAATAGGAACACTTTTACACTGTTGGTGGGACTGTAAACTAGTTCAACCATAGTGGAAGTCAGTGTGGCGATTCCTCAGGGATCTAGAACTAGAAATACCATTTGACCCAGCCATCCCATTACTGGGTATATACCCAAATGACTATAAATCATGCTGCTATAAAGACACATGCACACGTATGTTTATTGCGGCATTATTCACAATAGCAAAGACTTGGAACCAACCCAAATGTCCAACAATGATAGACTGGATTAAGAAAATGTGGCACATATACACCATGGAATACTATGCAGCCATAAAAAATGATGAGTTCATGTCCTTTGTAGGGACATGGATGAAATTGGAAATCATCATTCTCAGTAAACTATCGCAAGAACAAAAAACCAAACACCGCATATTCTCACTCATAGGTGGGAATTGAACAATGAGATCACATGGACACAGGAAGGGGAATATCACACTCTGGGGACTGTGGTGGGGTGGGGGGAGCGGGGAGGGATAGCATTGGGAGATATACCTAAGGCTAGATGACGAGTTAGTGGGTGCAGCGCACCAGCATGGCACATGTATACATATGTAACTAACCTGCACAATGTGCACATGTACCCTAAAACTTAAAGTATAATAAGAAAAAAAAGAAAAAAAAAAGCACAAACAACATAAAAAAAGATAAATTGGACTTTATCAAAATTAAAAACTATTGTGCTTCAAAGAGAAGCATCAAGAAAATGAAAAGGCAACCCACAAAATGAGAGAAAATATTTGCAAACCATATATCTGGCAAGGAACGTGTGTCTAGAAAAGACAACAAATTCTTACAACTCAATAATAAAAAGCCAACCTAATTCAAAATGGGCAAAGGATCTAAATAGACATCTATCCAAAGAAGAGAATGGACAATAAGCACGTGAAAAGTTACTCATGATCATTAGCCATCAAGGAAATGTAAATCAAAACCGCAATGAGATACCACCTCACACCCACTAGGGTGGCTATAGTTAAAAGGAGAGATAATAACTAGTGTTGGTGAGGATATGGAGAAATTAAAACCCTCATACACTGCTGGAGGGAATGCAAAATGATGCAGCTGTTTTGGAAAACACTCTAGCAATTCCTCAAAAGGTTACAGATAGAATTACCATATGATCCAGCAATTCTACTCTTTGGTATATACCCAAGAGAAATGAAAACGTATGTCCACCCAAAAACTTGCACATAAATGTTCATAGCATCATTATTTATAATACCCAAAATGTAGAAACACCCCAAATTTCTATCAACTAATGAATGGATAAACAAAATATGATATATCCAAGGCCAGGTGCAGTGGCTCACATCTGCGATCCCAGCACTTTGGGAGGCCAAGGTGAGAGGATCACTTGAGCTCAGGAGTTCAAGACTTAGCCTGGGCAACATAGTGAGACCTCATCTTTACCAAAATGAAAAAACAAAAAATTGCCTGACATGGTGGCACATGCCTATAGTCCCAACTATGTGGGAGGCTGAGGTGGGAGGATTGCTTGAACCTGGGAAGTTGAAGCTTTGGTGAGCCTGATCATGCCACTGCACTCCAGCCTGGGTATGGAGTGAGACCCTGTCTCAAAAAAAAAAAAAAAAAGATATATCCATACAATAAATATTTGGCCATAAAACAAAATGAAGGTGATAAAAAATGTGATCAAAATTGTAAAGCCAGAAATGAAGAAAATAAAGAAATTCATTTATGCTTTCATTAAAAAAAAGAAAGTGTAAAGCCCCACACAAGGTGCTTCCCTTTAGGTTATTTCTATAGGATGGCAAAACATCTGTCAGTTGTGTGGTGTATTTATTCATATACAATCTGCATTCAGTCCATATGTTCAAACAATCACACATAAAAACTCCAAAAATCTTGGGACCTTCTGCTTCAAATAATATCATATTATTGTGATAAATAACTTTCAGATTTGCTTCAGTATTGCAAAAGACCAAAGATTTTTTAAGTTTCCATGCCTTCCTGGGGGGAAAAATACTGAAATAGAAGAGAGAATAGGAAAATAAAGAGATAGATGGGGATAGAAATTTTTCCACATTCCATACTTTGGCCTTTTCTTCTCCATCCTTTTGGTACTTTTATAACTAATATTTCTCTTTTCTTTCTTTTTTTTTTTTTTGAGACGGAGTCTTGCTCTGTAGCCAGGCTGGAGTACAGTGGCATGATCTCGGCTCCCTGCAACCTCCGCCTCCCGGGTTCAAGTGATTCTCCTGCCTCAGCCTCCCTAGTAGCTGGGATTACAGGTGTGCACCAGTACGCCCAGCTAATTTTTGTATTTTTAGTAGAGACGAGGTTTCACAATGTTGGCCAGGATGGTCTCGATCTCCTGACCTTGTGATCCACCCGCCTCGGCCTCCCAGAGTGCTGGGATTCCAGGCGTGAATCACTGCGCCTGGCCTATAACTAATATTTCTTTTTCACTCCTTTTCTCCTGCTTAAATGCTGCCTTCATCTTTGTTCTCTCTTTTTTCAACTATCTTTCCATCAACCTGTGTACCAGGATGAATGAAATATGTTCATTCAGAGATGGGCAGATGGAGTTCATTTGCTGTCCGGAATAGTTGGTGAGGGGAGGGGTTAGGGCCGGCCCCAAATTGTGATATTAACAAAATATTTCTTTGTCTCTTTGAATACTTCCCTGTCAAGCTATCCCTCAAGACTTTTATGCATTGATTCAACATTCACTTACCTACTGGGTACCAGGTACCATGCTAGGTTCTGGGAACACAAAATGAGTGAGATTTCTTTCCAGACCTCAAGGAACTCATAGCTTAGTGCAATGTTTCTCAACCTTTTTTCATTATTGCCCCCCTAAGGAGCCTCTTTAGACCTTTTTGTACCCTAATCAAACCCCACGTGCCCATGAAATTTTAAATCCACAGATACACTGTGTATCTGTTTTTATATTTGTGGCCTTTTGGAGGGTCAGCAACCATTGTCATACCTAAGATTTTTGTACTTCCCCTCCCAGGAACCAAGTTTTGCCCTCTTGGGGGCCATATTGATTCCACCAAGCATGCATGATTTAGTGGGGGAGAATGATGTAAACAAGATGACAAAATGATGTAACATCATCAAGGCAGAGCAAAATGTATCAGATCTCAAAGAAAGACTTTACATCCAAAGCTACTTGGATGGCAAGAGCCTGAGCTGGGAGCTTCTAGAAATAGAAAAATCAATACAACAAGGTCTCTACCTCCAAAGCATTTTCCAAAGAGCAATTCTTCCTTCTTCCTTTGTTCCTTCCTCTATCTCTTCTCCCTTCCCTCCACAAATTCTTGAGTAACTAGTAAGTGTCAAACACTGAATCCCTTCTCAAACTTTCCTTCCCTAGTCCAGTTTTGCTCCCTTTTTTTTTTCTACTCTTCTCAGATCCCAGTGCTTTTCTACTCTCTCTTAAATTAATTTATTCAGGTCCCTTATCTCCACTAATGCATAAATGACTAATGAAAGTTGAAAATGTTACCTTTCTGTGGTCAAGACAATTCATTATCTTACATTCTTAGGTACAGAATCTTAGTTTTATTCCAGAGTGCAAAGGAACCAGTGACAAGACTACATTACCCAATCTACCTCGCAGCTAGGGTTGACGGATGTGGTGTAAAGAGAAGTGGTTGGTTGGGATGTTCAGGAAGCTTCTTTAAAAGTAGGAGCTGGCATGTACTTTTTGCCTTTTCCTCTTAATCTTTTCTGCTGGCCAGAATACATATATGACAGCTTGAGCTCCAGCAGCCATCTTGGACTCCGAGTGGAACTTGGAGGTAGAATGTACATACTTAGAATGATAAAGCAAAAAGACTAAAAGGGCTTGGGCTCTTGACGGCCTTGGGACTTCCCTCCTAACATTGGATTGCCTTCTTCTGGATTTACTATACATGAGGGAAGAATCAACTCTTAAGGGTTTAAGCCACTGCTATTTTGGGTTTTCTGTTTCATGCCACCAAATCAAAGACTAATATCTTCCAGTGGTGGTACCTGCATTTCAAGAGGCATTGAAAGTTTAACCTAAAAAATGAAACTCTGTCCCCAAGTTTCAGGCAGAAACCAGCAGCAGGATTTTGAGATCTTAGATCTTCTTTGGGATTTTGAGATCCTTGTTGGGATGCATCCCTAATATCTATAAAAATAAGAGCTGTATTTTGTAATTACCTTCTACCTGAGCACCTCTGCTATGTTAACCAATCTATAAAATAACATTAAAATGCTACTTTCTTGTGGAATTATTCATTTAAGTGTTAATTATTCATTTAAGTGAGTTAAGTGCAAAACAAAAAAAACCCTTTAAAATAAGTATATAGAGCCAAGCATGGTAGCTCATGCCTGTGATCCCAAGTGTTTTGGGAGGCTGAGGCGGGAGGATCACTTGAGCCCAGGAGTTTGAGACCAGCCTGGGCAACATAGCAAGACCTTGTTTCTATAAAAGAAAAAAATTAACCTGGTATGGTGGCATGCGCCTGTAGTCCCAGCTACTTGAGAGGCTGAGGTGGGAGGATCACTTGAGCCCAGGATTTGGAGGCTATAGTGAGCTATGATAGCGCCACCGCACTCCAGCCTGTGCAACAGAGCAAGACCTTGTCTCAAAAAAAGAGAAAAGTATATAAATGTTTAATTACTAAGTTGATTGCTTTTGATGGAAATCAACTACCTCTACAAAAGCATAATTCAGACTTATGTTTGGGCACTCTTATAACCTGTGGTTTTTGTTTGTTTGTTTCCTGGGCCTGTGCTGAGGAAACAAAAATCTAGAATAGGACTTTGATAAGCCACAATTATCTTAATATATACATGCCCATGGTAGAACGTGACTCAGGTGGTGAGTTGGTACCCAGAGCAATGTAACACTAATAAGAAGCTATCTCTGCTTAGTCACACTACCGTTAAAAATTTCAATCCTACCTACTTGGAAATGGCATGTAAGAATTCCAGTGGCTAAGAAAACATGAATCATGAGGGTTGGGGAAAGAAAAATTGGATTTGTTAATGTGATATTGAAAATCTACTATGTGTGTGGTTGTCTTACACATTTTTTGATACCAAATTATGTCTAGGGATTTAGATCCCAGGACAAGTATTTAAATGTATTTTTTTATTTAACCTCTAAGAAATTGGGAGCCAGTGTGAAGCTGCAATTCAAGTCCCTATTTCTTTTCTTTCTTTCTTTTTGTTTTGAGATAGAGTCTCATTCTGTCTCCCAGGATGGAGTGCAGCAGTGCCATCTCGGCTCCCTGCAACCTCTGCCTCCCGGGTTGAAGCGATTCTCATGCCTCAGCTTCCCAAGTGGCTGGGATTACAGGGGTACACCACCACACCCAGCTACTTTTTATATTTTTAGTAGAGATGGGGTTTCGCCATGTTGCCCAGGCTGATCTCCAGCTCCTGACCTCAAGCAATCCACCCACCTCGGCCTCCCAAAGTGCTGGGATTACAGGTGAGAGCCACTGTACCCAGCCCAAGCCCCTATTTCTGATCTCTGCCCTCATTGCAAACGTGCATTAATTCACCCAAACAGAAAGACACTTATTCATCTATAAAATTATATTATAACATACATATCTAAGTTTTCCAAAGAGTGCATTTGAGCTGCTGAACCCCTTAAGCTACCAATAAAAAAACTCCTTCTCCACACAGACCTCACTCAAGCCATGAACAGCATCTTGCTGAGATTTGCATAATCACATTTTCCAGAAATGCACCTAAATGTTTATTATGGTTCATAGGGATAAAAATTGCTTGCTAGTTACTATAATGCGTGCTTGTGTGAAACTGAATACCAGTCCTTGAGACTTTCTAATTACAAATTCATGCATAAGAAGGAGTAATCCCATGGAAAGGATCAAAATTCATGAATAAATATATTCACGAATATGTATCTACAACTACAGAAGTTCCTATAGCCGAAGGTCAAAATAATCTGCACCCACCTGGAAAATCAGTAACTTTATGTGTAAGATCAGTGATACAGTTTGGCTCTGTGTCCCCACCCAAATCTCATCTTGTAGCTCCCATAATTCCCACGAGTTGTGGGAGGGAGCCAGTGGGAAATGACTGAATCATGGGGGCAGGTCTTTCCCGTGCTGTTCTCATGATAGTCAATGGGTCTCACGAGATCTGGTAGTTTTAAAAATGGGACTTTCCCTGCATAAGCTCTCTTCTCTGGTCTGCTGTCATGTGAGACATGCCTTTCACCTTCTGCCATGATTGTGAGGTCTCCCCAGCCACGTGGAACTGTAAGTTCAATAAACCTCTTTCTTTTGTAAATTGCCCAGTCTCAGGTATGTCTTCATCAGCAGCATGAAAATGAACTAATACAATCCACTCCCCTCAAATAAAGCCAAACTGAAGTTTCAGAACAAATAAACAAAAATATAGCATTTAGAAGAAGGCAGGAAGTATAGAAGTTGAGTGAAAAGGACCCATAGCAGATTGTTCTGAGGTCAACTATTACTTAATAGTCAGGGTTCCAGCAGGAAACGGAAGGTATACTTAGCTGGGATCTGTGAAGACAGTTTGACAAAGAGAATATTTATGGAGGTGTGGGCAGGGTTAAAGAAACCAAGAGATGACAGAGCACCCAGAGACTAGCAGCACCTGGAAGCTCTTGCTCCCCTTGGGTTGGAAAAGGGAAGGAGAAGAAATGATGGTACCAGCTTCCAGTAGGAGCCAGAGCTATGGAGAGGGGATGACTGACAAAAGCTACAGTTGTACAGGGAGACAGCTGCTGTCATAACCAGGCAGATGGAGCAGGGAAAGAGCTGGGAAGAAATAGCCCAACCTCTCTGTCTCCTTCCTCCCACTCTTCAATAACCTGTGGTAGCTCCCATTGGTTGAACCCAAACAGAATCCAAGGATAAGGGAGTCCAGGGCACAGAGCAGAGCCCAGATGGGCCTAGGGTGGGTTAAGAAGAGATATTGAAGGCCAGGCATGGTGGCTCGTGCCTGTAATCCCAGCACTTCCGGAGGCTGAGGCAGGCAGATCACCTGAGGTCAGGAGTTCGAGACCAGCCAGGCCAACATGGCGAAACCCTGTCTCTAGTAAAAATACAAAAATTAGCCGGGCGTGGTGGTGGACGCCTGTAATCCTAGCTACTCAGGAGGCTGAGGCAGGAGAATCGCTTGAACCCAGGAGGTGGAGGTTGTGGTGAGCTGAGATCGCGTCATTGCACTCCGGCCTGGGCGATAAGAATAAAACTCCGTCAAAAAAAAAAAAAAAAAAAGAGATTGAAAAAGAGAATGCCAGCATGCTGGAAAATACGCAGATGGGGATAAAACCAGTATCTATGGCCAGGGGCGATGGCTCATGTCTGTAATCCCAGCACTTTGGGAGGCTGAGGCGGGTGGATCACCTGAGGTTGGGAGTTTGCGACCAGCCTGACCAACATGGAGAAACCCCGTTTCTACTAAAAAAAACCACAAAATTAGCTGGGTATGGTGGCAGATGCCTGTAATCCCAGTTACTTGGGAGACTGAGGTGGGAGAATTGCTTGAACCCAGGAGGTAGAGGCTGCGATGAGCTGAGATCACACCATTGCACTCCAGCCTGGGCAACAAGAGTGAAACTCCATCTCAAATAAAATAAAATAAAATAAAATAAAAATAAAACAGTACCTACCTCCAAAATTTGTCTCAAGCATTAAACGAGACAGTGCATGTAGAATACTGAGCACAATGCCAAGCATAGAAGAAGCAGCTAGTTAATGTTAGCTATTGTTTTTTATTGTATGGGCAATTGAAGATTCAGATATGTTTGTTTCAAGTCATGGTCAGTTTATCAATCAGTATTAAGATGTATGACCTCTTAAAGCTGGCTTACACAGATATCTTTCCAAGCTGCCTTTTTTCCATTAAATTGCATGACTTTATACTCCATAACATAACCAGTGATGTATCAGACAGCAGTTTCATCTCCCTGAAGCCTGCACACTCACACGATCTATTAAAATAATAAAACACACACCAAAGAATGTAGAGGAACTTCTCCTTCCCCCTTTGGAAAAAGAATATATTAGTTTTCTTCTCTTTTGATCTGCAGGTGGACTCATAAAACATTCACATTCTAGACTCCTCAGCTCCCAAAAATTCTTCCCCACCTGCCTTTGATGCCTGAAATTCTTCCATAAAGGAATAAAGCTTTCCTTCTGCAACTGAAGTCAAGACATGAAATGAAAATGGCCCTTGGGAAAAGAGCATATTGGCTAAGAGTTCAGACACTTCCCGGGCAGCAAGTTTTGATAGAGGCAGAAAGGGTGAGAACAGGCTTCCTTTAACTACCCAGGCCCTGCTGAGACTGACACAGAGAGAAGTGGGCGTGTTCCCCACTGCTGTGCGAGGGAAGGAAGGTCCTGAGGCCTGTGTTGAATTAAAAAGGGCGTGACTCAAAGTATTGCAGCCAGCTGCAGGGGAGAACTGGAACAGTTCTTGATGAGTGCCAAGGTCAGAGCTGGGAAGTCAATTTCATGTGTGCCATCCAAAAGGTGAGGCCAGGACAGAAAACTAGTATGGAATATTAGTTGTGCCTGGGGGCAATGGTCAAAATCCATAACAGGTATAGTAATATAGAGATATGGATATAGAAATATAATATATGTAGATAGAGATAAAGACATATTTGGACATATTGGTACATATTATATAATACAATAAAATGAAAATACATAAACATTTTTATTCTCTAACTAAATACTATATGTTTAAATATCATAAAACTGCTTATTGCATCATTCATCAAATAATTCTAATAATTTCTTAATTTTTGTTTTTATCTTTTTTGAGACAGAGTCTTGCTCTGTCGCCCAGGCTGGAGTGCAGTGGCACGATCTCAGCTCACTGCAACCTCCGCCTCCCAGGTTCAGGTGATTCTCCTGCCTCAGCCTCCTGAGTATCTGAGATTACAGGTGTGCACCACCACACATTGGCTGGGCGCAGTGGCTCATGCCTGTAATCCCAGCACTTTGAGAGGCCAAAGCAAGTGGATCATGCAGGCTCAGGAGTTTGAGACCAGCCTGGCCAATGTGGCGAAACCCTGTCCCTACTAAAAATACAAAAATTAGGCCAGGCATGGTGGCTCATACCTGTAATCCCAGCACTTTGGGAGGCTGAGGCAGGAGGATCACCTGAGGTCAGGAGTTCGAGATCAGCCTGGCCAATATGGCGAAACCCCATCTCTGCTTTAAAAAAAAAAAAAAAAAATATTGGTGCCTGGTGGCAGGTATCTGTAATCCCAGCTACTCTGGAGGCTGAAGCACAAGAATCGCTTGAACCCAGGAGGTGGAGGTTGTAGATCTTGCCACTGCACTCCAACCTAGGTGAGAGAGTGAGACTTCATCTCATAAAAAAAAAAAAAAAAAAAAAAAAAAAACAAAAAATGCTTCTGTAGCTTGGGCCCTACAGGCTGCCTCAGGAGATTCAAATATTCTTCCTATTTTCATTACTTTAATTTACAGATGTTCTATTTAATTATTTCCAATTATTATTTTTGTATGGTAGTGCATTATAAAATTTATTGAATTGAATTTATTTAAATCTTTTACTTCAGGGATCATTAAAGTTTTTCTGTAATGAGGTGGCAGGTAAATATTTTAGCATTTGCAGGACACACGGTGTCTGTAGCAACTACTCGATTCTGCTGTGGTAGTGAAAAAGCAGTCACAGACGATATAGAAACAAATGGGTGTGCTGTGTTCCAATAAAACTCTATTTGTGGACGCTGGAATTTGAATTTTAGATAATTTTCACTTGTCAACAAATATTTTTCTTCTTTCGTTCACAGGCTGTACAAAATTCGGGAGCAGACTAGATTTGGCTTGTGTGTCCAGGGAACAATTTCTGTTTGACCTGATTTATATGTTTAGTGTATCATCCAAAGATAATTGAATGCAGTGGCTTATTTTCAATTTAAAATATCCAGAAAGATTTCTAAAATTTTGACTGAAGCTCTATTTTTTTTTTTTAAGAGACAAGAAGGCTGGGCGCGGTGGCTCACGCCTGTAATCCCAGCACTTGGGGAGGCTGAGACGGGAGGATCACGAGGTCAGGAGCTCGAGGCCATCCTGGCTAACACAGTGAAACCCCATCTCTACTAAAAATACAAAAAAAAACTAGCCGGGCGTGGTGGCGGGCGCCTGTAGTCCCAGCTACTTGGGAGGCTGAGCCAGGAGAATGGAGTGAACCCGGGAGGCGGAGCTTGCAGTGAGCCGAGATCCTGCCACTGCACTCCAGCCTGAGGGACGGAACGAGACTCCGCCTCAAAAAAAAAAAAAAAAAAAAAAAGAAAAGAAAAAGAAAAGAAAAAAAAGAGACAAGAAGGTCTCACTCTGTTGCCTAGAATGGAGTGCCAGAGTGCAGTGATGTAATCACAGCTCACTGCAGCCTTGATCTTCCAGGCTCAAACGATTCTCCCACCTCAGCTTCCCAAGTAGCTGGGACTACAGGTGTGCGCCACCATGACAGGCTAATTAAAATTTGTTTTTTGTAGAGGTGGGGGTCTGGCTATGTTCTCCAGGCTAGTCTCGAACTACTGGCCTCAGGCAACCCTCCTGCTTTGGCCTCCCAAAGTGCTGGGATTACAGGCGTGAGCCACTGAACCCAGAAGAAGCTCTATTCTTTTTACCAGGCAATAAAGTTTTCCTGTAAATATTTGTCATTTCAATAACTTTTTTTCAAATACCAACAATAGAGTTTAAAATATTATTCCTTTTGCTTCTATAATATCAACAAAACCTGTTCAACTATGCTCAGAGTCTTGAATTTCACAATTTAGGTAAGTTATTAAAATACTTTTATGTGGCTGGTCGCAGTGGCTCACGTCTGTAGTCCTAGCACTTTGGGAGGCTGAGGCAAGTGGATAGCTCGAGGTCAGGGGTTGGAGACCAGCCTGGCCAACATGGTGAAACCCCATCTCTACTAAAAATACAAAAATTAGCCGGGTGTGATGGCGTGTGCCTGTAGTCCCAGCTACATGGGAGGCTGAGGCACGAGAATCGCTTGAACGTGGGAGGCAGAGGCTGCAGTGAGCTGAGATCACACCACTGCACTCCAGCCTGGGTGACAGAGCAAGACTCTGTCTCAAAATAAAATAAAATAAAACAAAATAAATAAAATAAAATAAAAATAAATAAATAAAACTTTTTTGTGTGAAACAGTTGGAGCACCTTTGATAACTTTTGACATTTTAATCTCTTTGTTTCAGATGCTTTCCTAAAAATTATTTTCTCATTTCACTAGATAAGTTCTGCAATAAGGAGGACCTTAGGTTTGGATTGCGTTCACATGCTTATATCAATATACTGTTATCTTTGAAGTTCTCATAAAAATTTCCCTTTTGAAAAGTTTGATTATTTTTAACTGCCCAGTTGACATGAAAAAGACTAAGAATGACAAATCAAAGATTAGGAGGGACCCAAGGAGAGGACTGCATTGGGCAAGTTGGGGGGCGGAGAGTTGTGGGGAAGAGGCAGGGCCAGCACTATGGTGTGAACTGTATTTGGCCCTTACTACTTGTGTGTGAGCAGTTGTAGGGGCTTGCCAGGGGCTGAAGGAAAAGTGCAGTGGTTTGCATAATGAATGGGAAGGGAGAAGCAAAGATCATAATAAAATGGATGGAAAGGAAAGGAAAGGAAAGGAAAAAATTGGCCCTGGCAAGATGGGAGAGGGAGCAAAAAGAGGGTTTGAGGCTGGGCACGGTGGCTCATTCCTGTAATCCCAGCACTTTGGGAGGCCGAGGTGGGTGGATCATTTGAGGTCAGGAGTTTGAGAGCAGCCTGGCCAACATGTGAAATCCCGTCTCTACTAAAGTACAAAAATTAGCAGGGCGTGGTGGTGGGCATCTGTAATCCCAAGTACTCGGGAGGCTGAGACACGAGAATCGTTTGAACCCAGAGGTGGAGGTTGTAGTGAGCTGAGATCACGCCACTGCGCTCCAGCCTGGGCGACAAAGAAAATAGGATAGTGTTTCTATTCTAGATGAATAAAAGGCAGAGGAGGGCTGGGGGTTGAAGATGCAGGGGAATCAGGTAATGAGGGGCTGGGAAGGGAGGGGCTCCAAGGCCCAGGATGATGGGAGGTAGACAATCCCGTCTGAGAGGAAGGGAAGATCATGAGGATAGGAGGCAGAAAGAACCTGTCTGACTGGGGGGTGGTGGGAGCAGGGGACATGACGGAGAAGTGTGAGGAAGTCACGCATACTGAAAGGAGAGGACTTTAAGGCATGTTGTGAAAGTTTGAGACCGTTGCTGTGGACAGTGGGAGAGAGGATGTGATCAGAGGCTGGGACTGTGGAATTGATTTTAAGATCCTAGTTCTCTCCAATTGCACTGCCCTGGCTTTATGATATTGCCAAGCTGTGATGTCTTCGAATAGGAAATTAAAACTATGTAGCCTATATTTTGCATCTGGAATTTTCCAGTTCCATTTCTTGCTGCTTCCTACACGTGAACAACCATTTCACGCCGAGATCCACCTCTCCACAGTAGTTCACAGAATCCTGCCTAGGAGTAGGGAGAGAAAACAGCTAAGTGGAGCCCCCATCGTCTGTCCAGCAACCTTATCACGTTATGAATCCAGAAGCAATTCCACTTGGGCTGTTTGTCAACAGAGCTCACACAGTCCAGTTAGCAGCCCCTGGAGTCCGTTCAGGGTAGCCTCGGACCATGACTGGATTCTCCAAAGGCCCCCTCTGAGTGGCTCCCTTTGTTACCAAAATATGAAATGCCCTTGGGGTCTGATTTCCAAAGTTACCTATCCAAGGAAGACCCCGTCAAGTGCTCCTCCACTCTCTGGCTTGGACACTGCCTGGGCTTTTTCAATCTGCCCATTGCCCTTCTCTGCTGCCCAATGTACCCCAACCCCCATTACTAGACAGGCTCCACCAGGCATGCCACACCTCCACCCAGCCAGTTCCCGCCATGAAATGCACTCTGACAGGCGCTTCCCTTCAGCAGCAGCTGCTCAAATCTGGGCAGAGCCAGAAGTGGCCTGTGGGGCCCCTCCCCTGTGCTTACACTCCGCAGACAAGCAGACCTCCGCTCGGGTCACCCAAAGTCCTGGTGCTCCAGGGTGGGACCCAGCCCAGCACAGCCAGGTGGTACAGTCTCACACTCCCTGGCCTCCTGGATGCTCCACGCTCCATCTGCAGGTCATCTGTCCTCTCACTCTGTCTCCAGAGCCTGTGGAGGCAGTTGGACCCATTGCTAAGGTACTTGGCCACGGAATGGCCATTTCTTCTGAGAAGCAGGCCTGCCAAATTACAGGCTGTAGGCCTTCCAACTGACCAAAGGTCTGCATTTGCAGCATGGAATTGAAAGATGTCCTTCTACCTCCATGGGCCCTATCTACCAGTCAAAGCAGAGGCTAAATACCACTTCCTCCATGCAGCCTTCCCTCATTCCTGTGATTAAATGTCATTTTTTTCCTTCTCTAAACAGCCGCAGAGCCTCACCAGGGCTTTAAGTTCATTCATTCATTTGTTCAATAAATATTTATTAAGAATCTTAATGAGGCTGGGTGCGGTGGCTCACGCCTGTAATCCCAACACTTTGGGAGGCCAAGGCGGGTGGATCACTTGAGGTCAGGAGTTCCAGACCAGCCTGGCCAACATGGTGAAACTCTGTCTGTACTAAAAATACAGAAGTTAGCTGGGCGTGGTGGTGTGCACCTGTAATCTCAGCTACTTGGGAGGCTAAGCCAGGAGAATTGCTTGAACCTGGGAGGCAGAGGTTGCAGTGAACCGAGATCGTGTCACTGTACTACAGCCTGGGCAACAGAGCAAGACTCTGTTTCAAAGAAAACAAAAAACAAAACAACAACAAAAACAAAACAAAACAAACAAACAAACAAACAAAAAGATCTTAATGAATATCCTGGGACCAGGCTCTATGTGCCATGTACTAGAACATAAGGATGAAAGCACAAGTTCTCTACCTCATGGAATTTTCCTAAGTAACTGAGAAACGGCTGTATACCCAAACAATCTAATATTAAAAAATTATTGTGTGGTAGGTAGTATAGTGGTTAAGAACGTGGGCTCTGAAGCCAGATTGCTTGGATATGGATTTGAATCTCAGCTCTACCACTAACTGGCTGTGTGAACTTGGGTAAGTGCCTTAATCTCTCTGTGCCTTAATTTCCACATCTGTAAAATAAGATAGCAATAATACTTATCTCACAGAACCTAGACCACTGAAAGTGTTCTATAAGTGAGTTCCTAGTATTGTTATTTTTATTTTCTTCTTTTTTTGAGGCAGGGTCTCACTCTGTCGTCCAGGCTGGAAAGCATGGGTGACCTCCTGGGCTCAAGTGATTCTCCCTTCCAAGTAGCTGGGACTACAGGCACGCGCCACCACACCCAGCTGATTTTTTACTTTTGCAGAGACAGGGGTTCGCCACATTGCTCAGGCAGGTCTTGAACTCCTAGACTCAAGTGACCCTCCTGCCTCGGCCTCCAAAGTGCTGGAATTATAGGTGTGCATCACTGTACCCGGCCGGGATCCTTTTCACAGTTACAAGTATGACAGGAAGTTATAGCATGGTGACAGCACTGCACCCTTGGAACTTTATATTAGAGTTCTCTATGTCTCACTTTCCCCATTGAATTCTAAGGCCCTCCAGGGCCGACTTACCTTTACCAACTGCGAAGAGCTGGACTCTGTCCCTTGCACTCAGTAGGTGCTCAATGACTATCTACTGGTTTAATGAAAATGCGTTCACCCAGATTTGGGTCAGCTCCCAGGCCACTCCAATTGGGTGTGAAAGTAACAGGAGCCGCCCCTTGCCTCCCAGACCAGATCCTGAGGGGCTGCGAGGGACTGTGGTCAAAGGAAAGGGACCAATGAAAATGAAGAAAACGCTGCCTCGCTAAGAGGTGCCACGTTTTCGTTCCGGGCTTTACATTTATTCCCTCTCATGAAGGCCAGCTGGGGTTTGGCTTTTCTACTTCCATGATGTAAACGTATTTTCAAGCATTGGTTACTTGGCTTGGGAGTTCACTGGGTGGACCTCAGCACTGAAAAATCTGTTCTGGGAGCTGTTAGCACTTTCTCACTCCCTTCCCCCTTAATAAACTAACTGCAAGAGAACCAAAAAGGTCAGTTTTAAGGTCCACAAAGGCAAGCAACTTACAGTTTCCCTAAGAAAGTCAGTTCTCTTTTCTTGGGGTTAAATTGTCATTGACCTGTTATGGAATTTTCTAGAAATTCCTCAAATTTCTTCAATTTTGAGTTGTGTGGTCCTGAAGAGAAAATATGTCATGCTGGTTTTCATGTTGAATGGCTTCCAACGTGAAGTCCTGGCAAGTTTCTCTTCTCAGTTGAACCCCAGCAGGACTTTGAATTAATTCTAGTAAATGATGGAGATGGATGGCTTGCTCATTGCCAACTTCACTGGAGTAAGTTATGGCAAGTTGACTTAATATGTTTTTCTTTCCTACCTTGGGTATCACATGCCTGGCTAATACCTTCATTACTGTAATTTCCAGTCTTCTGCAATCTCATTAGAGAAGTGTTTTAAAAATATAATTCCATAAAAGGTATGCAGAAATGCTAATTGCAAGTTCCTCAAAGAAATGTGTATTATGGAGTAGAATTAAAGGGGGCATGGATTCAAAACTGGGATTAAATACATGCAAGAATGTAATCTGTGCGTATAGGGTGGCCTGTTATTGAAGATGAAGGAATCACAGAATTTAGAGAAGAAAGTCAAATCAGAGATCTTTCTGCCCAACTACTCAGAGAACTAAGTCTCACTTACAAGATCCAGGACTGCCTGAGTATCTCCAGGGAGAAATAGACGTCTACGTGTGGCCCTGTTTTTGCTCTACCCGGACTGCCTTGACATTCACCTCTCCATTCCCAAGGCTGTTCATTGCAGACACCTGCGACTTCCTGAGGGCATTTTTGTTGGAGCACATTTGGCCCACATGCAGGGCGAATCTGGAATGCTGGGGGGTGCTTCTGGAAGCAGCTCTTCACCAATGGTTGGTGAGGAATTGATGAATAAATCCCCACCTTCCTTGTCTCTTGCAGGGAGAACTCTGAGGTACCTTCTAGGTAGTCTCGCAGGGCTCCCCATCAGGATCAAGCTCTAATTGCCCACAGCAGTAGCTGATTTGCTAATACCCACTTGCTTTCTTTCCCTCTCACTTCACTCTCCCCAGCCAGTGTTGATTGGGATCAACTCCCAAAGCAACTACTTGCATACTTGCACTGGAATCCTTGTCTCAGGGCTTGCTTCTGGGGGCAGCTCAATTAAGATAATTCCTAGTTCTGAAAGCCTAGTTCAGGCATTAGTCCGTTTTCACACTGCTGATAAAGACATACCCCAGACTGGGTAAATTATAAAGAAAAATAGGTTTAATGGACTCACGGTTCCATGTGGTTGGGGAGGCCTTACAATCATGGTGGAAGGTGGAAGGCACGTCTTACATGGCAGCAGGCAAGAGAGAGAATGAGAGCCAAGCGAAAGGGGTTTCTTCTTATAAAACCATCAGATCTTGTGAGACTTATTCACTACCACAAGAACAGCATGGGGGAAACTGCCCCCATGATTCAATTACCTCCCACCGGTCCCTCCCACAACATGTGGGAATTATGGGAGCTACAATTCAAGATGAGATTTGGGTGGAGTCGTAGCCAAACCTCATCACCCACCCTCTCCTTGATGATTTTACATGTTCTCCACCTGGCCTCCCAGCCTGCAGCGTCTTCTCCTTTCCTGTCTCACCACACATTGCTTCCAAAGCATCCTGCCTCCTAAAGCATTATTCAGATGTGTCATTCTGCCTGCTCAAAATCCTTTACTATTACCCCACATGCTAGGCAGAAACAAAAGTCCAAACCCCTCTCGTAAATCTAACCCATACCTAGCTTCTGGCTTGCAACAGCCTTGAATGTTTCACGTGCTTCTGCTGATCTCCCTATTCACAGTTGCTAAATATTTGCAGAATAAGAAGGTTTCAGGGAGGATGAAAAAAAGTCATCTGGGGAATATATTATACCTTCATCTTCTTCCTACTTAAGAGAACTTCAAAGTACTTCTTTGCTCTTCTGAATATACTATAAATAGATTAGAAGCAATTTTTTTCTTCCCCAGTTCTTTCATTCCAGAGATAGGGCTCTTATTAGTCTGATTAGAACAAAATTCTGCATGTGAGTGTCCTCCTGTAGTTTCCTAGACTGGAATTTAACTTTAATTCCAGAAGAGAATTAAGCTACTGATTTCCAACTGCTTTTTTATTTTGTTTAAAGCCCAGCCAATAAACACTGTAATGCTAAACATCTCACACAAGCAGACAGAGGGAAGGAGGTTGTCTCTAAGATCCATTTAAGAGCTAACATGCTACTAACAAGCTCCTGTGATTTGAAGGTGTGATTGCTAGGAATGAGTAGGTGGGTAGATTCAAAGACTCAGAGATGAATCTAAATGTGTTCATGCATCCCATGGTTTTAGTTTAGTCAGTCCAAAAAGCCACTTACTGTTTAAGTCCATAAAATGATCAATGAGTGTTACCCATCAGGCCGTGAACGAAAGTCGGCCACAGTCTTTTCTTCCCCCAGAAGCCCCTGCCTCCCCCGCTCTACCAATACTTTCCTGACCTTCGGACTGGATGACTCTAACATGCTTAATCTAGTCCTGGCTTCCTCTTGAGAAAAATAAATATTAAATGTGAAATGAAAACCACACATGTAATAATATTGGGATTAATGAGGTGCTGAATTGTATTCGTACTTTGCTATGGTTGGCAAGTAGGGTATGCAGCTGAATTCAAAACTGTGGAACCGTTCGTAAAACAAAAATGTTAGCCCAAAGTCTTGCGTTCACCATGTGGCTTTTATCTTACCCGATCAGCATGGCAGGGCCTTCCACATCTGGGAGGCAGGGCAGACAGTGGTGTGGCCTGGGGGTTCTGGGGAAGCCCCAATCTTTAGCCTCCGTGCTTGCTAGTCAAAAGAAAAGAACAGATTGTTCCTGCTTACCTAGCACTGGTGCAGTTTGCTGGGGAGCGTTGTCATCAGACCATTATTGGTCATTAAAATGTAAACTCTCATTAGATTCCAAGAGTAACTAGCTTCCAAGCAGAGCTGAAAGGAGATGTGAGTTAACCTTCATGTGTGCAATTTCTCACGTATTCATTCCAATACCTCTTTTGGGAAGGTGTCATTAGTCCCATTAGACATGAGAAAAAAACAAGTCTTAGAAAAGTAGGTGACCCACCACAGTTACATAGTTGGCAAGCCAGGGTTTAAACCGAAGCTTTCTGGCTGTAACTCCAGGAGTCAGTGCAGGTGCCACTCATTCACACCCTTAGAAACACAGGGATGCATTCTCAAATGTGCCTTTTCGACTGTCCTATGTGGCAGGTGAGCGTGACAGTTGGAACCATCTTTGTGAAAAGCAATTTGTACTATGGTATACACATTTTAAGTGTGTATACTTTTTGACTGCGTAATTCCACCTTGAGGGATCTTCCGGAAAGAAATGACCAGAGATGTGGATGATTACTGGAGATTTATGCAAACAGATGTTGATTACAGTGATATTTATAATAGCAAAATGCTCTGTGATTCCCTTACAAGGGGAAGGGCTAAGTCACTGTAGCAGAGGTTCCAGTTAGGCCAGAACAGAGACTCAAATATGTTGGGCGTCCCCAGCCTCTGGGTATAGGTTTGAATTAACTGATGCACATGGGCATCAAAGCAGAAAATGCATTGACTCGAGGCCACAGCTGGAGTTTGGATATAGACAGACATGTCAGATACAGTTGGTAGGGAGGAAGAGGAGGCCAACAGAAGCCGGCTTGCAAGGAGGGATGCGGGCAGGGGAGAATCTTGAAAAAAGAATCCCAGAAGAGAAGGGATTTTGGTGTGATCAGGTGGATTCGGCAACACAGTTTGAGATTCCAAGAGGAGCAGCGAATGCACTTGTGACACTGTAGGGGAGGAGTAGTGCGAAGGCTGCCTATGTGAACCAAGGGGGCCCAACACGGAATGTCTCACACGGCAAAAGGCTGCTGGGTAATTAAAGGGTATGAGGATGGAGATAATGAGTGGTCAGACCGAATCTTCCTAAATGTGTCACCAGAGGCTGGTGAAGCAGAGATCCCTTCCAAGGAGGGCACAGATGACTGAAACAGAATTCAGAGAAGCAGAAGCAGACTGAGCCCTGTGGCCCAGACTGATGGTTGCAAACACATAAAGTGTCTCTACTTTTCCCCAGACACTCAAGAAAGACTTCACAAGGGACTGGGATTTCTGAGTGAGTAAGTGGGGCTGAGAACACATGAGATGCAGGGATTGGAAAAGCTATTTCTCTGCACCCATGGTCTACAAGCCTAGGATTCGGAGTTGATGTGTTATGGCTCATTTTGCCCACCTATTGCGGGTACATTGAATTTCCTGGAACAAACTCTCCCCTCCCCCGCATTCTACCCCACAGCTCATTAAGCAGCAGTTTAGAATCTTCTCTTGGTCTGCTGTCCTGAGGATCACCTTGGCTGGTTTGTGGACTACCCTCTTGGCTTGAGTTTCACCCTGGACTGCCATCTTCCCACTTCCACTGGACACACTTAAAGAACTATCCAGTAATCATGAAAGAATAATGCTTTGAAAGGGTTTTAAGTGGAATGCATATAATCATAAGCAAGTAATGCAGGATAAAAAACTATATATATAGCATAATTTTCATTATAAGAATGCATTAAAATATTGGAAGGAAATATGCTAAAGCCTTAAAGTGGGTAGTGGAGTTACAGATGGCCTATATTTCATTTTTATTTAACTTCTTTTATTTTCCGTGAGCTGGAAGGTATTATTTTATACTTACAAAGGGGAGTATTAAAAATGTGTTCCTTTTCTCTCTCCAGAGTCTAACAAATGAAAAAGGCAGGCAGTGCACAAATCTATTAAATTTGGGTTGAAAAATAGATGGAGTTGGCCTGGAAGTTGCTAAGGCAGCCCATCTGGTTTAGCTGTATTGGATGAAAACCAGTTGATTCCTTAATTTAGCATTAGCTTGGGTCACTGGTGCTTTTATACAACCTCAGAGAGAGAATTGAGCAGTTCCATATCTGGAAAACTGAGATAGTACCATCCTGATATAGGTGGCCCAAGGGGAATAATTTTGTAAGACGTGGCAAGTTAATGTTTGCAAAGAAAATGCTGTCTGTTCTTCAAGTGTTCTCAAAAATAGCATGTTGAGACTAGACAGCGTCCCCATCCAATTGCAAAAGAACTTCCAGTTCTCATTTACGATAAGTGAACCTTGAGTTAAATATTGATTGGTAAGCCAAATGTGTGCATGAGGATTTTTATTAGATATTCATATCAGCAAGCACACACATTTATATTTTAAATTCAGAATTTATGATTTGAACCTAACCAACTTCTATTTTCACTAAGATAGCAGTAATTTATTTGTAGCATGCTTTATGCTCCCATTTTTTTCTGAAGCCTGAGAACCTTCAGCACTCCTGTATTAACTTTTGCATTGTTGCTTTGCACAACTAGTGTCCCACCAAAATTCATATGTTGAAGTCTCAACCCCGAGTACCTCAGAATGTAACCACCTCTTTAAAGAGGTGATTACGTTAAAATAAGGCCATTAGAGTGGGCCCTGATCCAATATGACTGGAAGAAGAAACACCAGGAGCACTGTCCATGCACAGAGAGACAGCCACATGAAGAGGCAATGAGAGAGTGGCTATCTTTGAGCCAAGGAGAGAGGTCTCAGAAGAACTCAACCCTGCAGGCACCTTGATCTTGGACTTCCAGCCTCCAGAACTGCGAGGAAACAAATTTCTGTTGTTTCAACCATCCAGCCTGTGGTGTTTTGTGACAGCAGCCCTAGCAAACTAATCCGGCCTCCAGCCCTGTTTGTTTCTGAAGCCCAGCACTCGCAAGTCACCCCTCTTCCCTCTGACTCTCAAACCCACATGGCTCCTGTACATCTCCTAATCTGGTGTTTGCAGATTGGAACCCAATAGTGGGTCTGGAAGACAATTTAGTGAATCTTGACCAGTATATGGAAAATGAAATAGACTAAAATACAACAGAGTGGCACAGAAGAGGATAGAATAAAATACAGACTATCAAAATGCTACATGTAATAAAGGTAAAGTATAGCTCTTGTGAAGTCTTTATTTCCATTATGTATGTTTATATGTGTATACTAGTCCATGCTGAATTTCATACTGTGGACCATGGTAAAAATAATGTGGAAGTCACTGACCTAATTGGACTCTGCATTTTTTCTATCTCCAACTTCCAAAGCACTTTCATTCTGGTTGATCATCAGCAAAATTCACGATGAACTTAACTTCCTCCAAATGTTCTGTTTAACTGGCTAAAACCAAATAGGTCTCATCAATGCAATACATCCGTAGCAAGGATAGACGCTATTAGACATGCTCTAAGCAGGAAACCTGCTTCATCTTGACCTTTGTTGGATTTATATAGAATAACTGTATATTCATTTTTGAAGGAAAGAACGAAGCTATTTATGAAAGGCTGGAAATATAAAAAATTAAATCTAACATTAAATTTCATAATTTCTCACTGAACTTCCTCTTTTCTAACATGCCATTAATTGTAAGATGGACCATTACTTAATAATGGAGTTCCAAGCAAGAAAGAAACCCTACAGAGTTGTGCTGTCCAATATGGTAGCCACTAGCCACAGGTAGCTACTTACGTTCAAATTAATTAACATTCAAAATTCACTTCCTTAGTCTCACTAGCTACATGGCAAGTGCTTGGAACTCCATGTTCTATTATAGAACATTTCTACTGTCACACAAAGTTCTGCTGGACAGCACTGCTGTGGTTTTGATGAAAAAGGAGTGAGCAGAAAGTTTTCAGGGTAGCCGCGGTTTGCAAAAGCAGTGGCGAGCAAATTGCTTTGGAGAAAATAAATTGTAACGGATTGTGCATGGGAGTAGTAGCTGGATGTTTACTTCCTCCAAGAGAAGGAAGTAAAAATTAGAATTGCATAAAGAAGGAGCCCTACAAAAATAGACGTGTCAATATAAAATAGCAATTATAATAATTTTTATTAAGAGCTTGCTATTGTCAAGCACTGTGCTAAGTGCTTTACAGATTATCTGTGATTACAACCCTATGAAGTAAGAACTATTTTTACTGATGAGAAAATTGACAGTCAAAGATTCAAGTTGTTCAAAAACGGACTGAGGAGGTGGCAGCAAGGATTTGAAGCCAGTTTCCAAGCCTCATTCTCCTTCTCTTATACCAGCAGTTCTCAACTGGAGATTGGGAAGGTGGAGGTGGGGGTCAAGAGGTGCTTTCATCATCATCAGGCCTGACTGGGAAACCAGGAACACTCCCTCTTCCCAGGAAACCTTTTCCCAAAGCCCTTCTTCATCCCACCTCCAGCCTGTCTCCCACAATGCCCTCTGTAGCCGTTCTCAGCCTACAACCGCAAGGCTGAGGCCAGAGTGGGCATCAGGTGAAGACTGTTGTAGACCCCTAGGGTTAGAAACTCTAAGTGGAATGTAAAGCCAGGGAATGTAAAAGGACAAACAACTCTCCAGGTGATTCTCATACACATGCTCCAGTTGAAAAAACCAGGCTGGGCACAGTGGAGCAGGCCTGTAATCCCAGCACCTTGGGAGGCCAAGATGGGAGGGTCATTTGAGCCCAGAAGTTTGAGACCAGCCTGGGCAACATGGCGACACCCCATCTCTACAAAATATACAAAAATCAGCCAGGCATGGTGGCACACACCTGTGGTCCCAGCTACTTTGGGAGGCTGAGGTGGGAGGATCACTTGAGCCCAGGAGTTCAAGGCTACAGTGAACTGTGACCATGCCACTGTACTCCAGCCTGGGCTACAGAGTGAGACCCTGTCTCAAAAAAAAAGAAGACAAAGAAAAAATTGTGCTACCTGGAAGGCAGTTAAATATTTAGTTGGATGAAAATAATTGTTGTAAATATGGTTACTGAATCAAATGCAAAATTCAAAACCAAATCTTGGAAAAAAACACATAATGAATACAATATAATAATTATCTGGGTTTTACAGCCCCAGATCACAATATTAAAGACAGGACTTCATAGAGGATTAAAAACAAAACAAAATAAACAAAAAACCCACTCAATTGTTAAATGGCTGCTATAAAAAATTCTGCTTTTTTCATTTAGCCAACTAGAGAAATATAGGTTTAGGGCTACATTTAGTAAACTTCAAGGTAACCACAACTTAATAAAAAGTACAATAAATATACAAATAAATTTTAAAAATTAACAAAAAAAGTAACCACTACCAGGATTAAGAACCACCTTCCAAATTACCAATGAAGAAAACAAAAACACAGTGAAAATGACATAGGCAAGAAAATAGCAAACCTGGCCTGGCACAGTGGCTCACACCTGTAATCCCAGCACTTATGGAGGCTGAGGTGGGTGGATCACCTGAGGTCAGGAGTTCAAGACCAAGCTGGTCAACATGGTGAAACCCTGTCTCTACTAAAAATACAAAAATTACCTGGGCGTAGTGGTGGGCACCTGTAATCCCAGCTACTTGGGAGGCCGAGGCAGGAGAATCGCTTGAACCCGGGAGGTGGAGGTTGTAGTGAGCCAAGATCGCACCATTGCACTCCAGCCTGGGCAACAAGAGTGAAACTCTGTCTCAAAAAAAAAAAAAAAAAAAAAAAAAAGAAAGAAAGAAAATAGCAAACCTAAAAGAGAGTACAAAGAAGATGCCAGAAATCAGGACATATGCATCAGTTTTTAGGCTAATAGTCAATGTTTGACACTGTGTAATAAAAAGCAGAGATGGGGCCTGGTGCAGTGGCTAATGCCTATAATCCCAACACTTTGGGAGTCTGAGGCAGGAGGATCACTTGAGGCCAGGAGTTCAAGATCAGCCTGGGCAACATGGCAAAACCGCGTCTCTACTAAAAATACAAAAATTAGCTGGGTGTGGTGGCATGCACCTGTAGTCCCAGCTACTCAGGAGGCTGAGGCAGGAGAATCACTTGAACCTGAGAGGTGGAGGTTGCAGTGAGCCAGGATCGCACCACCGCACTTCCAGCCTGGGCGACAGAGAGAGACTCTGTCCCAAAAAAAGCAGAGGTGCTCACACTGGGCTAAAAAGAAACAAAACATGATTGTGTGCTGCTTATAAATGACAACCTAAAACAAAATTACACCAAAAGGTTAAAATTAGAAGGACGAATAAAGACACACCAATCAAAGGTAGGCAAAATAAAGCAGCTATAGTAGTATTGCTAAAGAAAGGATTCCAGACAAAAATACTTTTCAAAATGAATATTTATCAAACACTGAGATCAAGGAGGACTTGACAAGCTTAAAACAACAAAGAACTTCTCAAAGCTCTCTTCACAAGGACACATTTTTCTAGATTTAATGATATAAAAATTTTAAGCATTTGAATAGCTAAAAGCAACACAATCAGATGGAAAAAGTAAACGAACTGATACAAATGTTTCCAACAACTGTAACACAGGATTATTAGCTTTAATATATAGTTTGTACAAATCCCCATGAAAAATATTAATGCAAAGATAGACAATTCAGAAAGAAGAAAACTGAATCAATGTAAATCAAATAAGTTAGACTAGCAATGAGATAACTTGCTTCTTTCAAATTGACCATTTTGTAAAATCCCATTAAGAGCACTGGTGGAAATATAAATTGGTATATTATTATTTGGAGATGATTCTGGCAGTAGCTTTCCAAAGCTTTTAAACAGTGTTCACTCCTTTTGAAACAATAACTCCACTCTGGGAATCAAGCCTATGGACAGAATCAGAACTGTCAGACCAAGATTTATGAGCAAAAATGTTCAGGAAACTATTCTTCATGATAGAATTTTGAGAGAAGTCAGAATGTTAAATGATGGCAGGAGTTTTCAGAAAAGTATGATATATCCGTAAGACTATTATGAATCATCCAAATAATATTTAAGAAGTTGTTGTTCCTGTAGTCCCAGCCAGTCGGGAGGCTGAGACATGAGAATCCCTTGAACCCATGAGGCGGAGGCTGCAGTGAGCAGAGATCGAGCCATTGCATTCCAACCTGGGCAACAGAGTAAGATCCTGTCTCAAAAAAAAAAAAGAAGAAGAAGAAGTTGTTAAAATAAAGAAATGATGCATGGTGTATGTTAAGTAACTTTAAAAAAGAAACCAAAAAATGGAATGCCAAATTCTATACACTGGATATTGAATTGCATACACAGTATCATCTCAACTAAATTAATAGTGTCTGCCTTTGAGTAATGAGATTTTACAGTCTTTTTTCTGCTTCTGACTACTTTCTATACTTTCTCAATGTTCTGCATTGAGCACAGGTTATTTTTATAATCAGAAAAAAATTGAGGAGAAAAAAATGACTCTCAGCCATCGTCAGATCTTTAGTTCTAGCCCACTTTTTATTAATCAGGATTCTTGGCTGCAGAAACTGCTTCTGGCAATCTTGAGCAAAAGTTAATTTGTTGCAGGGATTTGGGAGACAAAAAAGAAGGCTTGGGGGAGCCTGATTAGCCCTGGACTGTTGCATAAATGACCTCTAACCAGTCTTCATTTTTTTTTTTTTGAAACGGTGTCTCGCTCTCTCGCCCAGGCTGGAGTGCAGTGGCACGGTCTCGGCTCAGTGCAAGCTCTGCCTCCGGGGTTCACGCCATTCTCCTGCCTCAGCCTCCCGAGTAGCTGGGACTACCGGTGCCCACCACCACACCCAGCTAATTTTTTTTTTTTTGTATTTTTAGTAGAGACGGGGTTTCACCGTGTTAGCCAGGATGGTCTCAATCTCCTGACCTCGTGATCCGCCTGCCTCGGCCTCCCAAAGTGCTGGGATTACAGGCGTGAGCCACCGCGACCTGCCCAGTCTTCATATTATATCACTCAGGCTTCCAAAACCGGGGAGAAAGCATCCCATGGTCCCCTAGCATAGGTCACCTGCTGGCATCAAGATGAGGAAGCTGGCTCATTAAAATCCACCAGAGGAGACAGACACCACCACCCTCCAAGACAAGACAGAGTGGGAGAAAGGTGAGCCCCCTCAAACTATTAGGGTGCTATTAGGAAGTGGGGAATGAGATCCTGTTGAAGTGAAATATGATGTCGCCACTGTTTATCTCTTCTGTGGGTCATTTTGCGTCTGAAGTGTCTTCTCCATCGTTTATTTCTTATCCATTTAAAAAATCTCCCTGAAAAGCAACATCCTTCCCTCTGCACCATTTCAACTTTCTCCCTCAGATTCACCAATCAAACCGACTGTCAGATTCAGGGGATGTTTCTCAGGCTTGATCTTTCTAAATATTCTAGTTTGGGATTCCTTAAAAGCAGAACCTGAGACAAGAATTTGACTGTAAGTCATTTATTTGGGAGGTGACCCCAGGAAACACTGGTAAAGGAGTGAAGAAATGAGAAGGAAGGGAAACGAAGTCAACACAGTGTGTTGTTAACAAGTTATCACGATGGGCAAGCGAGGCTTAATCCCGCGGGGAACCCTGGGAAATGGTGCAGAACACGTATCTCAGAGTTAGGTCACCCAAGGGGCAAGGGGGCTGGAGTAGTTCTACACCAGCTTCTGTCAAGAGTTGGTTGAGGGCTGCTTGGCGGAGGGGGGCATTCCCTGGCATTTCCAGCCTGTCATGCCCATGGACAGAGCAGGCTCTGGAAGCCAGAGAAAGAGAGTTGAAGCAATGCAACTTCTAGCAGTTGGAAGTCTGGCAGCACACACTGGTAAGGGCCGAGGGAATGTGGGTGGGGCACTGGCAGTATTTGCTTTACTAGACATTTCTGTGTGTGGTTTCACATCACTGATGACTCTTTCTGACTCGCTTCCTTTCCGTGGATACTAGAACACCCCACCCCACTTGTTTTCTGCCCTCTTCTCTTGCCACTTCTTCCCAGTCTTCTTCACAGATTCCTTGGTTGTTTCCCCCACATCCCTGCCAACTTAGATGTTGGTAATTAGCTATTGTCTTCTCATCCCACATACTTTCCTTGGCAACCTCAATCACATCTTTTGTCACCAAAGCCCATCTATAGCCCAGCTGGTCCACACTGAGATTTCTAGCCCTGCTCTCTTTCATGGAGTCTAGACCCAACAGCCTAATGAATGCCTCCACTTGGGTCTCCCGTGAGGCCCAACAGGTCTAAAACTTACCTCTCCAGATCTCTCTCCACCACTGAGGGCCCTCTCTCAAAATGGCAGCACTAGCCACCCAGGTTCCTAAGCCACAGACCCGGAGTCATCCTTCCTTCCCTCTCCCCTCTCCTTGCCCGTGATGTCTAATTGGCCACAATCCCTTTAAGGCAGACTACTGTTATGCACCATCTTTAATAAAGTCAAGGTGTAGAAGGTGCTCCTCGCTTTGTCCCCAACATTCTTTTTGCTCTTTTTGGGCTCAGCCCACTTCCTGAAACTTTGTTGACTTCATTCCTGCCCCCCTGGCTTGCAAAGACCTCAGTCTCCCTGGCTCACCTCAGAGTGTTTGCTACAGCCTCAGAGTTGCATTTATTCTCAGGATCCTTCCACTTTTGCTAGGATTCCAAATCATTTAGGGTCCAGTTCACTTGTAAGTTACACAAATCCAAAATAACTGGGCCTTAAATAAGATAGAAGTATATTCATTTCTTATGTTTAAAAAAAAAATGTCCAAAGGAAGTCAGTCCAGGGCTGGTGTGGTCCCCTGGAGGGACTCAGTTTCTGCTTCTAATGGGGAACCCAAACTTGGACAATAGAGTAAAAATACACTTGGGGCATTTGATTCAAAATAAGAATTCCCCTGAGCACAGTTCTCTGACAACTTGGGTAAATGTCAGGTGTCCATAAATCTGTGGAGGGCAGAAGCCCTTGGAAAGTTTTCTTTTTTCCTTTTTTTTTTTTGAGACAAAGTCTGTCTCTGTCACCCAGGCTGGACTGCAGTGGCGCAGTCTCGGCTCACTGCAACCTCCGCCTCCTGGGTTGAATTGATTCTCTTGCCTCAGCCTCCTGAGTAGCTGGGATTACAAGTGTGTGCCACCATGCCCGGCTATTTTTTTTTTAATTTATTTTTAGTAGACATGGGGTTTCACCATGTTGGTCAGGCTGGTCTCGAACCCTTGGCCTCACATAAACCCTAGGAAGGTTTTCAAGAAATTACTTGTCCTCCAGGTGGAACTATGACATGACGCTGCTGTGCAGCAGTCTAGAAGAAGCTAGAAGAAGCCTAGAAGAAGGTGGGAATCAGACAATGTGAGGCTGGAGGACTTTTTCCTCCTGGGGTTCCCTAGGACACTCCTGCCCACAGTACCTCCCACCACCATCTGTCTCCCAACTTCTCAGCATCTTTCTTCTCCTCCTCCCTTCAGGCCTACTCACGGTGGAGCCCAGCGACCAGCTCACAGGCTTCCCCACCATCTTACCCCACCCTGGCTCCTCAAGGTCCCAAACTCACCTACCACTGGAGGGAGGTGTCCCTGGGCAGCCAGAGCCCTAAGAATAATCTGGAAACACCTGAGGTGTTACGAGTTGAAACTAGCTTGTTGAGTTAACCCCTCCCAGGGGATATTTGCATCTTAACTGGGAACAATCATGAACCAGTGTTTTTTGACCACATGGCTCTTGAAGAAAGTGACAATTATCTGAACCCTAGGACACATAGATGAGGCCACTCGTGGCTCTAGGCTACTAGTGCAGGATTCTGGCCATTCAGAGCCCCACCCTCTGCCTTAGGTCCCACTGGTAGCTCCAAGGGCTGAGGGGGGGTCATTATCTCAGCCACACTTTTAACACGCCCACCCCCCCCCGCCCCACCCCCAGCACACTGGCAGGAAAACCACCTTCCATTGTTGAGGGAGGGATGTGTGAATAAGCTGCCCAGAGGGCCGAGGCAAGATTGAGAATTAGTGCCTTGAAACTGAAAAAATGTGCTTTTAAAACTTTTACTTGGGAAAATTTCCAGAACGGCACAAAAGTAGAGAAGGCAAGTAACCCCTTCATACCCACCATTCAGATTCAACAACAACTCATACATTGCTGTTCTTGTTTTTTTCAGGTATCCATCCCCCAACACAAATCTCAAAATGTCAGTTGTCATGTCATTTCACTGCAATAGGCATCTGAGGGAGGAAGGGAGAGAGGGAGAGAGGGAGGGAGGGAGGGAGGGAAGAAGGAAGGAAGGAAGGAAGGAAGGAAGGAAGGAAGGAAGGAAGGAAGGAAGGAAGGAAGGAAGGAAAAAGAGTTTTCTTTGTAACCACAATGCTATCTTCACAATTAACAAAACTAACAATTTACAAATGTCATCCATCACTCAGTCCATATTTAAATTTCTAGACAATTGGGAACACAGAGGAACACTTTTTAAACGGTGTGATACTCTTCATGCAATCAGAGCAGATGTGTGTAGGAATAAATGAGGACTGGAGGGCTTGTACTCAAATCCTCTCAGAACATCCAGTTGACCCAAACTAGAATGGAGTCTTGCTAAGCTGAAAAAGCAAATTATCTCCTTATACTTAATCAGTGCAATAAAAAGGAAAAATGTGCATTTCAGTTTCGCCCTGTGCTTGTAATCTCAGGATTTCAAAGGTACTGGAGGGTCATGTTCACCCCCTTCAAAGGGCACATATTGGTCTCCCTGTGAAACAATGTGAATAAAAGAGTCCCTGTACATTCGAAGGGGGAACATTACAGTGCCCACTTGTCGTTACTTACATCAAAGGCTCAGAAAAAAAAAATGATGAGGATTTGTACATTTGTCCATGAGCCAGGAATTGTCCATTAACTTTCTAAATGATTCGGTCACAGTCTACTGAATTTGGAAGAACTGCCAAGGATGAAATAGCTTTTCCTGCTCAACTGGAACTAAAGGAAAGTGGCTTGAGACAGAGAGTGATAAATGAGAGAAAGATCAAAATCACCGCAACGCCTACAGCTTGCTTAGAAGAGACTTGGCTTTCATCTTATCTGGTAGAGCTCCTCCTTGCTTGAAAATGAGTGCATTCTAGTTACAGCTAACATTTTTGAGCTTTCACTCCAGCCCGGGCACTATTCTCAAGACCCTATATGCCTTAGCTCATTTAATCCACACAACCCTTTGAAGTAGGTATGATTATCATGCTCGCTTTTACAAATTAGGAAACTGAAATGCAGAGACATTAAGGTATAATTTGTCCAAGATTACAGAGCCAGTAATTGGAAGAGGCAGGGCTTGAACCCAGGGCATCTAGCTCTGGCCTGCACTCATAACCACTGTGTTATAGCATGTTGGGAGGAAACACTCTGATTTGTATATACATAGTCTCGTCTGATATTGCCTCCATTGTTTACCTTTATCTCGACGCTTTTGCCACTGTCTTCATTAATCTCTCCTTACCCACCTGTCTTTCTAAATGAAGCTGTGAGCTCCTTGAAAGCAAGGACTGCTATGTCCCCACAGTGCTTAGCAATAGCAGACGTTCATTAGCTGCACATCCAATGTAACAGGTCCAGGACTCAGGTGACACAAGTGAGGCACTGACCTCTGGTGCAAAATTGAAGGGGGCTCAAAAACACTTAGTCATCAATATCAATCATGTTTTAATGCATTTTTTTTGAGACAGGGTTTCACTCTTGTTGCCCAGGCTGGAGTAAAATGGTGCAATCTTGGTTCACTGCAACCTCCGCCACCCGGGTTCAAGTGATTCTCCTGCCTCAGCCTCCTGAGTAGCTGGGATTACAGGTGCGCGCCACCACGCCCAGGTAATTTTTGTATTTTTAGTAGAGACGGGGTTTCACCATGTTGGCCAGGTTGGTCTCAAACTCCTGACCTCAAAAGATCCACCCACCTCGGCCTCCCAAAGTGCTGGAATTACAAGCGTGAGCCACCATGCTCGGCCCAAACTTGGTATCTTAAAAATGGAATTTATGCTTTAGCTAAGAACGTCAAATGGCACAACTAAATGAAATCGGTGGGTAAAAAAATGGGAGTCAAAGGCTTTAGAGGTTGCTAACTAACACATTATCAGCTGCTTATATATAATATTGAAAACTGTGACTTTACTGCTACCATTTTAAAAGAATTCATAACTTATTCAAAAAACATTTAGTCAGTATGGACCATGGAGTCTTTCCCTTTTTAATTTTTTAATAGAACTGCCAATGGACCATAAAATGTCCCCAAAACCCTGGTAATCAAGTAATTTATTAGCCACCAGATAAACCAACATTAAATGAAATGGCCGTGTATTTTATTTTAAAAAATCAAAACAAAGCCTAGTCACTACTCTCAATGAATAATGAAAAAGACAAAGTAATCAAGTAATTTATTAGCCACCAGATAAACCAACATTAAATGAAATGGCCGTGTATTTTATTTTAAAAAATCAAAACAAAGCCTAGTCACTACTCTCAATGAATAATGAAAAAGACAAATAAACCAACACATTCAGTTAACAAACGTTAAAGTTATAAGAGACATCAGTTCTAGGAAACTCTTTACGCTGGCCTGAATCATTTGAGGTTGGTCCTGTTATTTCAAGCAGATTGGTACTGAGGTGACAGCCATTTACCAACACTCTTGAAAGGCCCTGCTAAGAGGACATCCTGCTAACAATGACTCATTCATTAAACTAACATTCACTGAGCACCTACCATGTACCCATGTTATGAATGGTCAGTGGCCTGAATGTGTCGCCCCAAATTTCAGATGTTGAAATCCTAACCTCCAAGATGATGGTATTAAAAAGTGGGGCCCTCGAGGAGGGATAAGGTCATGAGGGCAGAGGATTCATGAACTGGGATTCTGCCCTTATAAAAGGGACCCCAGAGAGAACCCTGCCCCTTATGCCATGTGAGGACACGGTAGGAAGGCACCGTCTGTGAAGCAGGGAGCAGGCCTTTGCCAGACACTGAATCTGCCAGCGCCTTGATCTTAGACTTCCCAGCCTTCAGCACTGTGAGAATTTCTGTTGTGTATAAGCCACCCAGTTAATGATATTTTGTGATAGTGGCCTGAACTGACTAAGACAGCCAGGTTGTGTGTTAGATGCTGGACACAGAGATGCAGAGGTTAGGTGCACAGAGATGCAAATAGTTAGGGCTCTACTTTTAAGTGGGGTGGGTGTGGGAGAAGGTCAGCAGGAAACAGTTATAAAACATTTAGAGATCTACCAGGAGGGATCCAGGGAAGGCTTCTCAGAGGGGCTAGGAGCATGCCAGGTTGAAGTTGTAGTGTTTGAAAGGACCCAATAGAAAGCCCTTCCCCACTTGAGACCTGAATCACTCATGGACAAAGACAAAGAAGTTGGCAGTTGGAGAACAAAATATCATCTTTATGACTGATAGGACTGGTATTAGAGAAGGTGGCTTCCACCTGCCAATGCTTACCCCCCAAATTAGACTGACCACCCACCCAGCATCCTTGAACCAGGGCAGACCTTGCCCACTGCAGGGGCAGAGCCTACCTCTGGAGCAGTGGAAAATGGTGACTCCTTGGGGGCAGCTTGTACCCAAAAAGGACAGGGTGCACAATACATGCCCACATGTTGTCTGTATGGTATGAATAGTGTGATATAAATGTGCATGTGTGTATAAGTAAACTTTAATCTAACTCCTAGAGGTAGTTAGCTAGAACTTGAAATACCTACTCAGAAATCCATATTCCAGAGATGTTGAAGTGCTGCAAATATTGTTATCTAAATCTATAACCAGAGAATTTGTTAATACGTATAATATGTATGTTATAAATACTTTTTATTGGTAAATGACTGGCGTTTGATCTATATCTATGTATATGTGTGTGTGCATATATATATAAGATATATCAGTCTAGAAAGATTTTGCAGGCCCAACTGCCTTTGCACAAACGAAGTATAAGGATCTGGCAAGCTGAGTCATCTAATATCTTTGGAGCAGTAGCCTGGTTTGAAATTCTCATGGGTCCTATGCCCGCCATGTCATGGAGGACTCAGCTGGAGACTTAACTATAGGATCGGCCAGTCCCATCATCAGAATTTTGTTGCACCCATCTTGGAGTGAACCCTTCCTGTAAGGTGCCTGTTGGAATGCACAAGGACAGAGAGTGGGACGCCCACGAGTTTATGAGACCATGTTTTTGTGCCTACTTGCTGACAAACAGACATTTGGTAGGATTTGTTCTAAGACTGGCTTTTGTTAGAACAGACCACCTAGTAGCTAGGTTGTCGGGTGGGGATGTATACTGCATCCTACTTTTCTCTGCTAGAGCTTACCCAAATGAAACACCACAGACTGACCACTGAAGAATGGCCGAATTGGACTGGGTCAACTCGCTGCAGCCTTTCCAAGCTCACTAATCAGTTGAGTCACTTCTCTCTAACCCCAGAGCCGGAGAGGGCAGGTGTGTTACACTTATCGCTGTCCGTTCACGGGAAAGGGGAAATCAGTAGCAGGGAATAAGAGATTCTCACAAACAGTGGATAAGCCAGTGTTCCAGGCAATAGGAACTGCATGTATGAAACCACAGAGGCCTGATGAGCACGTTCAGGGAATCATAAATCATTCAAGGCTCCTGGAGTATGAAGGGCAACAGGGGGAATGGTGGGTGATGAAAGCAGACATCAAGGCAGGGATCTGCCGCAAATCCATACAAATAATTTAAGAACCATGGAGCAGTTCTAAGTAGGAGGCAAACAGGATGGGATCTGCATATTAAGGACATCACTTTGCTGGCAGGGTGCAGCAGAGAGGGGCAGCAGCAAGACTAGAGGCAGGGATACCAAGAAAGTAAGCAAATGCCAAAAAGAGATGGGGAAATGGCCTGAACTGAAAGAGCAGAAGGGAGATGGTGAAGGAGGGAAGAACATGGATGCTATTTATTTATTTATTTATTTATTTATTTTTGAGCTAGGGTTTCACTCTGTCACCCAAGCTGGAGTGCAGTGGCTCAGTCTCCGCTCACTGCAATCTCTGCCTCCAGGGCTCAAGCGATCCTTGTGCCTCAGCCTCCCGAGTAGCTGGGACTACAGGCACGTGCCACTGCACCCAGCTAATTTTTGTGTTTTTTGTAGAGACGGGGTTTTGCCATGTTGTCCAGGCTGGTCTCGAACTCCTGATCTCAAGTGATCCACCTGCCTTGGCCTCCCAAAGTGCTGGGATTACAGGTGTGAACCACCAGACCCGGCCCATGAATTTAGAAAGGAGAATTGGAAAGATCTAATGATTGAGTACATATACAGGGTAAGGGAGAAAGGCATGTAGGGTCATCTTCATTTTTAAAGTCCATAAGTAGGCACAAGTCATAGAGAAGCATTCAATCTACACATATTTATTGAGCCACTAATGTCTAAATAATAGCAAATTTATAGCAGTAGCTAGAAATTGTAATGTATAAAAATGGTCAAACAAATGGAAATAGTAGATTGTATTTCCAAAGATGACTGCCACAAACACAAATTTCCAAGTGTGAAATCCTTCTCTCTGTTGTCTAGAGAGTGCCTAGAAGCCATGAATCCCTTAATATGTGTTCCTCATGTTCAACAGACGATTAACCTCTGCTTAGGTAGTGCCTGGCATGCAGTAGTCTCTCAATAAATACCTGCCGAATAAATGAGACGATAAATCTAGAAGAAGCATAGTGCCCTTGTATGTCAATTGTCTGTTGCTGTGTAGCAGATTACCCCAAAACTTAGCATCTTAAAGAATATCGATTATCTCACAGTTTCTGTGGGTGAAGAATCAGGGGACAGCTTGGCTGGGTGGTTCTGGCTCAAGGTCTCCCCCAAGGCTACCATCAAGGCATCAGCTGGGACTCCAGCCATCTCAGACAGACTTGACGAGGCTAGAGGCTCCCCTTCCAAGCATACTCATGTGGCTGTTGGCTGGAGGCCTCAGTTTCTTGTCTTGTGGGCCTCTCCAAAGGGCTGCTCACCCATGGCAGCTGGCTTGTCCCTGAGAAGATGATGATGATGATGATGATGATGATGATGATGATGATGAATGTGTGTGCGTAAACAAGAGAGAAAGAGAGAGCCATGCCACCCTGCCTTTTATAATCAATTTTCAAGTCACATGCCATCACTCGTGTCTTATTCTATTCATTAGAAACGAGTCACTACCAAAGGCCAGCCATCACTCTCGGGATAAAGGATCACACAATATCAGGAGGTGGGGATCATTGGGGACCAACCTGGAGGCCACCTACTGCACCTTGTGAATTGTTAATAGACGACATAAGTAGCAGCCCCCAAATGCTCTGACAAATGTGTTCTTTGCTGGTAAAGTGATTATAAATTATTTGTCAACCTTTCTCTCATAGTTTTGCAAACATGGTAACGCTATCACCTCTTTGCTCTTCAAATGCAAAAGGCACTCACTCCAGCAGGTAAATGGACGGTAATAACAACTACCTTTGCACTGCAAATAGTCCAGGTAGGTTTGGATGAATTGCTTGGAGGCTGTTTTCGTTTGTGTGTTTTGAAGCACAAGATTGTTCCTTGACTAAAAGGAAAAGTTTGGTCTGTTTTCCTCAACCCCATCTTCACCAACCCAGCAAAACAAGATACCAGGTCAAACATAAAAAAAGACCAATGGACTCTGATAGTCCATTTCATTTAAACCTTTGTTCTAAGATGACCTGTGATAAGACAAGCAAAATGTCTCTATAATCAGGAGTTTTCCCATGAAAGCGGTCAGTGTTTTCCAAAGATCAAAACGTGAATTTGCTTCAGGGAAGGAAAAAAATCATTTTATTGGTTAAAATGCTCACACTTTCTGTCTCATGAAAAATTTAAAGGAAAACTAAATGCTTTGTTTGTTAATGAACTTACTAAAGGGTGATTTGGGCTGTTAGCCAGAAGCAAAAACTGGTCTCCTAGGAGTATTTTCTAGTTGGTATGCCTTTATGGTCATTGGACGAGTTAGAGATTGCTGCCTATTTTTAGCCCATTATTTCTGCCGACTCAGGCAGCGCCTGCACGGCTCTTCATTCCATGGGGTGCGTCTCTTCATGCCTGTTCCAGATAAAAACCTCAGGGTAAGCAATTAAACCTTCCCTGGGAGCAAACAAAGAAAAGTGGAGAAAACAATTTTTCCCTTTTACAGGGCATTTGAATAAAGGAATCCCAATAGAGAAATGAAATTTGTCCACTTGGTATCAAATAAACTAAGAAAATTTCCCTAAATTAAGCTGTGGGTGTGAACATTTTCACACCGCCTTTCTCCCCAAACGGTTTTGCATGGTGCTGCCCAAGCTGACCCAGATGTTCGGCATCAGTCTTCCATGATGACGTCTTCGCCTTGGCTGGCGGGAGCTCAGTGTTTGCTCTAGCTGATTTTTCCTGAACTCTGTACCCCCAAGACCAAGTGCATCTTAGACCTTTACAGTTTTGTATCACCTTGGCAAACTCTGTGTGACTGGTAACCTTAGCCATAAAAAAGGCTTTTAAAACATTTGTTCCATAAAGTTTTTCCTTTGAAGTGTGCCTCTAGTTGGCATTTTGAATATCACGTAACAAACTCAGACTCGGCTTTTGTGCTCATGTTGGCCACGTGGCCATAGGGCCTATTAAGTTTTGACTCTGAGGCTGATTAATGGCTAGAAGCAAGTTTATCACCACCGATAGATCTTTGAGGAAAGGTAGCATTTCTCCTTTCATTAACCAGCTACCTTTTCTAGCAAATGTTTAAGTAACAATTTACGTTGGCGTCGACTAGTGCTTCTCCAACAGTAATGTGCAATGAATCCCAGACATCTTGTTAAAATGCAGATTCTGATTTAGTTAGGCCTGAGGTGGACACTGAAATGCTACCTTTCTGATGAGTTCCCAGATTATGCTGATGTTGCTAGTCCCAGACCAATTTTGAGTTTCAAGGCCCTAGAGCTCACCCAATAGTGATTAGAAGGCAAAAATTGATTTGCTTTCACAGAAATTTAGTCCTTGCTCTTAGATGAGAAACAACAGCTTCTCACCTAAAGAGATTCTCTCTCTGTCTCAGGGCAAACTTTTGAATATCCCTCTGGCTAATCAGCTCGAATAAAGAAAATAGAGTTTGAGCCACTGTTAATCTAATAGTTTAGCGTTTAGATCGATAAACACGTTCCTTGCTTCTAATAATTTATAGTAAGTAATGGAAATTGGGTGGACATTTTTAGTGGTTTGTCTTTTCTCTACAAAATGTCAGCACTTTAGCTGTGGCTTATTTACTTCGTTTGAAGTGACCTCAAATGCTGCTCAGGAAACACTCTACAAGCTACTTTAAGATAATTAATCACATTGAACTAGTGATTGGCTTTTAAAAGCCTTTCTAATGCCAGTACATTCTCAAGGACTTTTGGTGTCATTTCATCAACCTCCTCCCCTCTCCTTTCTCTCTCAACTGGCTCATGGCCTGCAGACCACAGAAAGCTTCCCAAACTCATTGATTAATACTAGTAATTGCAAGTAGCAAGATGGAGGAGCCCATTTCTTTAAGGATGCTTCATCTAGCTTCAAGAAGCAAACTGGCTAAAAGAGACTGCCAGTGGGGCACCAGCTGACAGAGAATTAGCAGCAGACTACAGAAAACCAACTCTGTTGGTTACTGGACAGCTGTCAGCAAACCTAGAAGACTGGCCACATTTAGTTCAACACACACGACTGAATTTAGCAGAACATGTTTGCTTTGGGGTCTTTTTTGTCACTTGGAGAATATGGGGTCTACCTGTGATTCGCACTGGACCTCTCTCTTGGATTGGATTGATTTGCCAAGGTCTTGTCAGAGTAGATACCCAGGACAGAAATAATGCAATTTCACAATTTCTATCTAAGTTGTTCCAATGTCTTGGGGGCCCTAGAACCTGTTTGTTTTCTAATAAGGTAGGGAGATTTACCTTAATTTTACAGAAAAAAAGAAGAAGCTACTTTTTGCTGCATTACCCTAGATAGAGAAGCCTCAGGAACCACACGGTCTGGGTTCAAATCCTAGCACTGTTTCATTACTAGCTATATGGCCTTCACATAAGGTGACTTAAGTCACATAACCTCAGTTTCTATATCTGAAAAATGGGGATAATAAAAGTACCTCCTCTATAGAGAGTTTGAAGGAATACCCCCCTGGCACAGAGGAAGTGCCCAATAAAAGCTACCTATTATTTGAATACCATTCAACACAATTAACTGCAAAATATCCAACATGGAGTATTGCAGCATAACCTACTATCAGTTTCTGTCTGTGTAATTCCAAAACAACAGATCAATTGTCTGCACCAAGTCAAGCCAATGGTTTGGTGATGTGATAAGGTAGCTGTACCTGCCCATCATCAGAGCATAGCAGATGTAATTGTTTCTACCCACCCTCCCAACCCATGAGGGCTTGAGTGAGAACATAAGTGATGAAAAATGCTTTGAGAAGTTGAATGTCCCACACCAAGAAACCCCACATACACAGTAATAATTACTATAAACTACACTAACATACTACAACCCTGAATTTTAGTTATAGTTTTGATTTTCTAAAAACCCCATGTGGCATAGGTCAACCCATATCCAAGTGTGTATTAGACCTACTGCCCTGAGGCCGGGCGCGGTGGCTCACACCTGTAATCCCAGCACTTTGGGAGGCTGAGGCAAGTGGATTGCCTGAATTCAGGAGTTAGAGACCAGCCTAGGCAACACAGTGAAACCCTGTCTCTACCTCTACTAAAATACAAAAAAATTAGCCGAGTGTGGCAGTGTGCACCTGTAGTCCCAGCTACTTGGGAGGCTGAGGCAGGAGAATTGCTTGAACCCGGGAGGTGGAGGTTGCAGTGACTGGAGATCACGCCACTGTACTCCAGCCTGGGTGACAGAGTGAGACTCCAGGAAAAAAAAAAAAAGAAGAAGAAGAAGAAAAGAAAAAAGAAAAAGATCTACTGCCCTGAATTAGGTGCTGTGGGAACTTTAAAGATGATGTAAGACAAAATTTCTGCTTTCGAAGGTTTGGCAATCTATGTTGGAGAGACCAAGTGACTGCAATTCACTAAGAGGACGGGGAGCAGTACAGATTCAGAGAGTCATGGGAGATTTTCTAAATGCCATCATAGGAATAAAATATCAATTGGTTTATCTCTATTTGAAACTCGGCTTTATATCTTAATGAATTCCAATTCACTCCTACAATGGCCAAAAATTGTGTGTGTGTATGTGTGTGCAAATTTGTTGCCCTAGTCTAGTTTAAAGCCACTATTTTTCCATTTTTCATTCATTCAGCAAATATTGATTGAGAGTATGTGTGCCAGGAATTGTGCTCTATTTATTCTAGTTACAATTGTATACACAAGCCTGGAGTCCTTCAGGCAGTCGTCTTTGCTAAAATGAACAAATAAGGGTAAAAACTTTCCACTCTTCAATTAGGCAAAATATCTATGTAGGCCAATTTTAAGGCGTAGGATTCGTTTTAGAAGCAGTCATTGAGACACTAGTGGAGAAATCCAAAATTTAAATATTCATAGATGTGTACCAAAACCAGAAATGGTTCTCAGTACCTTTACAGTAAAAGCAGAGAGCCTGTCGCCTGCCTGAATGTTCCAATGTCGTTCCATTGATACTTACGGTATTATTATAATATTAATGGTAACCTGATTGGTTACAATCAGACCCTCCCTTCAGGAATCCTGTAATAATATCCCAAGTTGCAGGATGCTGAGGGTAAAAAATCATTGTGCAACTACACAGATGGAGCCATTTTATGTCCAGCTACAGCACACAATCTTTGACACTACAATCTTGTCATGGGTAGTGACTATCTGGGGCCGGTGGCCTAGGTGATAAAGGAATTTACCAAGACAGTAGTAGGTAAAGAAAGGCAGATTTCTTAAAGAAGGTAAGAAAATATGTTGCAAGGCTGTAATGGGCAGCACAGCAGAGAAGGGGCTATCTGCAAAGAGGCAGGGGCTGGAGGGAAGTTTTATAGGGTCTTGCTGGAGGGGGCTACATGTGGAACAAGGTTGTACCCACAGGTTGTTTGTGATTAGCCATGTCTCAGGAAAATTATTCATTGTTCTTTCTCACCTGAGGCCCTCCTCCACCTGGGGCCCCTTCCTCATTGTTGCTTACTTATCAAGACTCCACAAATCTGTTTATGAATCAAGAAATGTTATAGCTTAAATCCCAGGGCTCTCCTGCCCCCAACAACTCTCTGAAAAATGCTGGAGAATATGTTGAGGCAAACAGGTTAGAAAAGCTCAAAATAGAAACAAATGCTTGATGAGCGTATCACAACTGTTGACACTTCAGCCCTGTGATAAGGTAGCTGTACCTGCCCATCATCAGAGGATGGCAGATGTAATTGTTTCTACCCATCCTCCCAACCCATGAGGGCTTGAGTGAAATGTAAGTGATGAGAAATCCTTTGAAAACTTGAATGTCCCACACCAAAAAATCCCACGTATACAGGGAAGATCAGTATCAGGGAAGGGAAGTCAGGGAAGATCTTGCTGTTTTTATAGGGAAATCTTTTCCCTTGAAATCACTTTGGAGAAAACATATTTTTTTTTTTTTTTGCCATTCGAAAAAAAATCTTTACTTATAAAATAGAATGAAAAAACTGAGCCCAAACACACAAAAGCCTTAAATTCATGCTTCTTATAATTTCCTACTGTAGTTCTGCTAGTTCTTAAATTTCATGATGCTCAAATTCTCCTTTTTGCATATCTTTTGTAGGTTTTCTCCCTCTCTGAGCAACGGTTGCCAGAGTCTTTTAGAATGACTTGTATTTGCTAATTGGATTAAAGGCCCGATAACGGCATAGATTTTTTTTTTTTTTGCAACATCCTGGTTAACATTCCTAATCTGGGCAACAGATGTTTCCACACCTTTTTGCATCTTGTGTTCAGTGATTAAGGTAAGGAACTCTTAGAATCTTCTAAATGATTCAAATTCATTTTCCACACAGTTGAAAGTGGCAAGTCATTAAGATAAAGGCTTTGAACCTCAAATGTTATAAACAGGAGGTGAAAGAAGGTGGAAAAGGGAGGGGAGTCTGTCCTCTTGTTCTTATTGTTTTCCCTATTTCTCTCAATTCTCAGAACCATCCTTCCATTTAATTTATTTATTGAAGCAGTTAATGCCTTTTATTATTCCATGCATATGGATAAAAAATATTAAAATGCACTTACTAAGTGGAAAAGGAAAGATATTTCCAACTTAGATGGTTACACCACTTTCATTACTGCGAGTTCATGCACCTAAAATACCTTAAAAAGGCAGGAAAAATTTTTTCCTGTCAGAAAAAGAATGTACTAAATTAAATACATGAATAAAACCCTCCCCGATTCCTCACAATAATTGTGTCTCAACTTGCTTTTCTTTCATTCAATGTTTATATATGTTTTGTAGGCCATTGGTGTTTGAGAAAATGGGAGGAAAATTGTTTGTTTGTTTATTTATTTATTTATTTATTTAGAGATGGAGTCTTGTTCTGTCACCCAGGCTAGAGTGCAGTGGCACGATCTCGGCTCACTGCAACCTCCACCTCCTGGGTTCAAGCAATTCTCCTGCCTCAGCTTCCCAAGTAGTTGGGACTATAACCTCCTGGGTTCAAGCGATTCTCCTGCCTCAGCCTCCCGAGTAACTGGGATTACAGGCATGTGCCACCACGCCTAGCTAATTTTTTGTATTTTTAGTAGAGACAGGGTTTCACTATGTTGGCCAGGCTGGTCTTGAACTCCTGACCTCAAGTGATCCACCGGCCTCAGCTTCCCAAAGTGCTGGGATTACAGGTGTGAGCCACCGTGCCCAGCCAAAATGATTATTTTAATATCAAAGTTGAGGTCTGAATGAAAAAATATGGTTTCTAATGTTCAAGTAGTGTTTTTTTTTAAAAAAGCACAAAAGTCTTGTTACAGCAGCACCCTAGTTGGACATGTTAACAAAATTAATTTTTTTAAAAAAGTTAAATACTACTAATAATGGGAAAAATCCTTTGGCTGTGTTTATTGGTGAGACTGATTAATCTGGCATTATAAAAACCTCACCTTTTCCACAACCAATATACTTGGAATCAAAGATGTGTGGGGCCTCTGTCTACATAGATTTGATACAAAAGCCTTGGTGTGCATAAAGAAATGGAGATTCTTGGGTCCTGCACACAGAGATTCCAATTTGATACATCTGAAGTTTGCCTGGGAATCTGCATTTTTAACCAACAGCCCTAGATGATTCTGACGTTGGTAGTTCAGAAACCATTCCTGGAGAAGCCTGATGCTGTAGCTCGACTTAAGATCTGCAACAATGCAACCCAGCCTGACATCCTTCAACAAAGATCCTCAGGGAGTTGACTTGAAAATGGTTTGATATCTTGAAATACATTCAGAATTATCCTCAATTATGACAGTTGTATTTTGCTAAACACCTTTGATCTTGTCACCAAACTCCTCTCGCAATTAGCGAATATGCAAGGACATGTCTGGTAATGCTTTACTAAGCACATTATGCGTTTGGCCAGAACTCTCTGGTTAGATAGTAGAGATGGGGTCACCTAACTCACCCAGTTTTGAAATTCAAATAAAGTGTTAGGATTCAAATAAAGGGTTCTTAGCCTACCACCATTATATATCAGAGTACTAATTGTCATTTAGAATAAATACTCATAAATGACATCTACATATATATTTTTTGAGACAGAGTCTCACTCTGTTGCCAGGCTGGAGTGCAGTGGAGTGATCTTGGCTCACTGCAACCTCCGCCTCCCAAGTTGAAGCAATTCTCCTGCCTCAGCTTCCCGAGTAGCTGGGACTACAGGCGCGCACCACCAGGCCCAACTAATTTTTGTATTTTTAGTAGAGACAGGGTTTCGCCATGTTGGCCAGGATGGTCTCGATCTCTTGACCTCGTGATCTGCCCGCCTCGGCCTCCCAAAGTGCTGGGATTACAGGCATGAGCCACTGCACCTGGCCGATATCTACATATTAAAAACACGTCAAAAGGCTAAAAGGAAGGGGTTGAAGACCCAGTTATTTTGACAATCAGTATATAGTATAGTCTGTTTTGCCAGACTTCACCAGGTATTGTTTCTGTTTCTCTTTCAAAATCAGTTTCGATGTATTCATGCAAGCGAGATTGGAGGCTTCTGGTGAATTCTAGAGTTCTGGATGGCCCCTGAGTCATTTGTCCCTCATCACAAACACTTGGAGGTGGCTACAAGAGAGAATGGCTTTTCTTCCTCTGTGTGAGTGGTAGAGCACCTCTACAAATGAGGCCAAACAAGCTCTCACAAATGAGGCAGATGGAGGAGCTCCTGTGGGAGCCGGCTATTTCCTTCCTCCATACTTACCCCTCTTTTCTGCTCTGTTGCCACCCTGGAGAAAGGAAGGGCAATGTGGCAGGAGACATTATATACTCACAGTTCTTCCACTTATTCCCTTCACTGTGCCAGGGCTTCACTGGGAGAGCATGCTTCCTTCTCTGTCCCATTGACTTTAAGCTTGGCCATAAGACTTGCTCTGAAAGTGGGAGGAAATGATAATGAATAAGTTCTGGGTTAAATTGCATTTGTTTGTTTGTTTGGAGGCAAGGTCTTACTCTGTTACCCAGGCTGGAATGCAGTGGCACGATCATAGCTCACTGCAGCTTCAAACTCCTGGGCTCAAGCCATCCTCCTGTCTTAGCCTTCGGAGTAGCTGGGACTACAGGCATGCACCACCATGTCTGGCTTATATATTTTTTTTAATTGTTTTTGTAGAGATGGAGTCTCACTATGTTGCCCAGGCTGGTCTTGAATTCCTGACCTCAAGTGGTCCTTCCACCTCAGCCTCCCAAAGTGCTAGGATTACAGGCCTGAGCCACCACACCTGGCCCTGGGCTGGATTGTTAAAAGGCATTAGGCATTTCTGCCAGGGCCTTCTTGCAGCCCTGTCATCTACCATGAGTAGAGCATGCCCCAGAGATCTGCTGGCTCCAGAATGAGACACATATACTCAGTCTGACTTGCAGGCAGCATTAAACACAGCAGCTACAGCCAATCCACAGACACATGAGTGAGAAAAATAAACATCATTTTGGTAAGCCACTAAGATTTAGGGGATTGTGTGTTATGCAGCAGCAACATAGCATTAGCTGACTGATACAGAAGGGTAATTGCTATTTACCAATGGCTCATTCCTTGCCAAGCACCATTTACATTAGCTCCTGTAATCTACAAAATTTCCTTCTGAAGTGTACTGATCCTTCCACCTTTCATAAAACATAAGCTCAGCTAAGGCAAGGCCCCAGTGATAACCACTCAGTGGCTGAACCAGCAATTCCAATTCACATGTGCTCATGTACAAACATGGTGATTATTTCACGGCCCTCTCCTACCTTCCTGAAGTTTACACCACACATAGTAGCAGCAACAACATAAAAAACAATTTTGCTCTTCTATGAAGGGCTTTACAGTTCAATGCACTTTCATGTATCTTCTTTCATCAATAAGAAAATGTCCAATTACTAATTGGGGCAACACCTTGTCCTGTTTAGTTCTGTTCCAGATTGAATCACGGTCCATGCGATTTGAAATGGTAAGTCTTTGGCTCAGAAAGTATCATGCTTTAAAAACCACAGGAAGGCTTAAAATAGACTGGAATATTCGGAGGTGCCAGGTATGAAAGAAAATCCACCAGATAAAAACCAGTTGAGCCAGTGTTTGGAGCTTTAGTTGACCAAAGCAGGCAGATGCCATAGAAACTACTCAGGATCTCACTCTGCTGCCCCACTGGAAGAGATAACCACTCAGAAGACACCAGCAGCATTGTCACTATTGCCTCTCAGAAGAAGCAGCATTTTTTTTTTTTTTGAGATGGAGTCTCACTCTGTTGCCCAGGCTGGAGTACAGTGGCATGATCGGCTCACTGCAACCTGTCCACCTCCTGGGTTCAAGCAATTCCCCTGCCTCAGCCTCCTGAGTAGCTGGGATTACAGGTGGGCACCACCACGCCCGGCGAATTTTTGTATTTTTAGCAGAGACGGGGGTTTCACCATGTTGGTCAGGCTGGTCTCAAACTCCCGACCTCATGATCTGCCCACCTCGGCCTCCCAAAGTGCTGGGATTACAGGTGTGAGCCACCAGGCCCAGCCAGGAGCAGCATTTTTCAACTCTGACTGCACACTCAAATCACCTGGAGAACTTAAGAAAAAGAAATCGCTGGGCCCTGCTTCCAAGCAAACTGAATCAGAATTTCTGGATTTGAGGCTGGGCCCCTGCAGTTGCGAAAGCTCCCCGGGTGATTCTACTATGCAGTCAGGGTTGAGTCCCACTAACCTGAAAGAGACAAGCAATGTATTTGCTGACGTTTACCATTAAAAACCAATTCCGCTCAATGACCTACACCTGGTGATGGGGTGCATCTCAGCTTTGCGTGCCTTTGAACTTCCTACCCAATGACTCTCCTATCATCATTTCTTCTCTACCACTTCCCTTTCTTGCATTGACTGTTGATGAAATCCACATTTATTTACTGAAATCCATATGTATGTCAATTCCTGAAACAGTGTTTGCCAAAGGATAAACTATACAAGTCTATAGGATTTGTAAGGAATTCACTTCACTGAGGTCCTATATATAGTAAGTTAACTTAATATATGTCACTGGCCTCACTAGCAAATAAATAAATAAATAAATAAAATCAAAGACTGTCATTTATATTGCTTCTATACAGGGTTCACACTTCGCCATAAATATTGCAGGGCGCTGACATTCTGGTTTAATTTGCACATTCAAGTTCTCAAGAATTCGCTTTGATTTACATAGTCAGAGACTGCATGCTGTCACGCCTCTTGTATAGAGACCCCTTGTGGCGTTCACCTGATTGCCTCCTCGGTTTGTGTGGGAAACGTTCCATTTCTTTTACAGTAGGATGTACAGCTCCTTTACTGCACTGGTGGTTGTTAATTTCAATACATTTGGATAAAAATAACATCTAACATTTATGGAGTACTTTCTATGTGCCAAGTACGGTTTTTTGTTTTTGTTTGAGATGGGGTCACTCTGTTGCCCAGGCTGCAGTGCAGTGGCACGATCATGGCTCAGTGCAGCCTTGACCTCCAGGGCTCAAGCAATCCTCCCACTTCAGCCTCCTGAGTAGATGGGACTACAGGTGCCCACAACCACGCCTGGCTAATTTTTTAATATTTTGTAGAGACACGGTTTCGCCATGTTGCCCAGGCTGGTCTTGAATTCCTGGGCTCAAGTGATCTGCTTGCCCTCTGCCTCTCAAAGTGCTAGGATTACAGGTGTGAGCCACTGTACCCTGCTAGGCACCATTCTTAATGATCTGTATGCATTTGTTCATTTAATTCTTAACCCTATGAAGAAGATGATGATGATTGCCATTTTATAGGTGAAAAAACTGCGGCACAGAGAAGTTAAGTAAGGTCCTCAGGGTCATACACTTATTAAATAATAAAGCTAGAAATGGAACCCAGATCATCTAGTTCTAGAGTCTGGGCTTTTGGCCACTAGCATATACCACATCCCCCAGCAGGTGGGGCACCTGTTTAGGTACATTTTAGGAGAAAGTGTGGAGCCACTGGTACTCTCATCACTGCTGGTGGAAGTGTAAATTGATACAACTACAAACAAATTGTTTGGCAGTAGCTCCTAGAGCTGAACATGTAATTCCTGACCGTATACCCACCAAAAACGTACACTCATGTTGGTGAAAAGACATGAACTTGAATGTTTATAGCAGCACCACTCATAACAAGACTGCACTGGAAACTACCTGAATGTCCATCAACAGGAAGATGAGTAAATAAATTCTGGTGTATTTATACCACTATGCAGCAATGAGAATGAACAGTCTCCCAACTACCTGAGACAAGATGGGTAAAACTCATGAACGTAATGCAGACGGAAAGAAAACAGGAAAAAAGTACATGCTGGATGATTCTATTTATATGTAGTCCAAAGACAGGCAAGAAAGAACCTCTGCCTTTAGGGACCAAGCTATTGGCTACCCTTGGGGGTCAGAGTTGTGACTGGAAGGAGCAATTGGGATGGGGGCTTCTGGGGTGTGGGTAAAGCCCTGTTTCATCATCTGGCTACTAGCAGCAGGCGTGTGTTTCGGTTTTGAAAATTCAGCAAGCTGTAGATTGAGGTTAGATACACTGTTCTGAGTGTATGGTGTATAACACTAAGAAGTTTGAAAGGGTACTATGCTATCTGCGATCAGATGTTATCTTGGTTAGAAGAGTTAGGTAAATATCTTCAAATAAACGTCTATATTTAAGGAAAATTGTCACTGCAGGCAGTTTGCGACATCTCTAGTGTTTTCCCTACTTTTCCACTTCTTATCAAAACGACCACCTGAGTTAATAATTGTAAGAGAAGATGATGGGCTCGCTCAGGCGTTCGGGACAGTATAGTGTGCTCGTGCTCGCCCCCAGACAGGGGCTCAGAGTGACTCATGAGAGTTGTGTGAAGGTGCCGTTGCTAGGAGCCATCAGAACAAAGCGTCCTGGCTTGCTGGCCTCCGTGTCTTCTGGAGCACCCACTTACAGGGGTGTGGAGAGCAAGCAAAAGCAGGGCATAGGTTTCTTTTGTAGAAATCTTCAAGAATGAGGAAATTGAGATCTGGGGTGAGAAGCAACTCTACGTGACATTCTGCTGAAGGGCAGCCCCTCTTAGGAAAGATTCAATGCAAGCGGGTGGGAGCTGCTTCAACTAAGAATTCTCACTACTCCTGCACCTGTGGAATCAACCAATAACCCACCCTCCTACAGCCCAATCCACAATGCTCCATTTACCCCACTTCTGCCTTTGAGAGAGAGAAAGAGGGAAAAATTTCATCAATAACTCACAAAGGCTAAGCTTTGCCAGGGAAATTGCTAACTTTTATTTGCTTGAGAAACACACCTACCAAAAAGACTTTTATTAACCCGGATGCCTTCAGCCAAGTTCTTTCAAGTTAATCACATAGGTAGGGAAGAGCTTTCAAATTCAGATCAGAAATTATAATCAAACAGCCACAAAATTTACCTCTGTATTAGATAAAACAATGGCTCCCCACCTCGCCCCAGCCCATGAACCAGACAATATTACCAGATACACAGAAACCAGGAAGTCAAACCTCTATCTTCCATCTCTTCCTCTGTATGTGACACAGAATTACAGTAATTAAATGAGATAACTTTGGCAAAGAGTTTTCTTAGAGTTCTGCTGATTATTCTCAGGGGGAAAATCATATTAAAAGGAACTAGTTGAATTTAATTACTGGATTCATTCATCATTCATTTTCTGAATTTGCTCCCAGGTATGATTTCCAGTTGAATTTTCAATCTCAAGCTATTTCCAGAATGGGATTTATTCTCACCTTGTTCGCTCCATCACCTCTCCTGTTTGTCTCCCCTCTCTCACCACTACACACCTGAAGTTCCCACAAGGGCTTAGTGGGACTGAAACTAAGAAGCCCAACATGACTTCAGTGGCAGGAATATTTTCAAAGATTTCCCTGTAGATGGGTCTGGATACTCAACTATTGCAAAAAGGCCTTGGCTTCCTTCTGGGCTACTGCCCCGGGGACATTGGTCTCCACCTCAGCCCAGCGGCTCGGTGCCCTTGAGCTGGACATGGGAACAATCACCAACTTTCAGAGCCTTTTCAATTCCTTATGACGGCAGAATTGAGGCTCCCAACTTCCACCACTACTGCAGATTGGATTCACTGAGGAGCTTAAAAGGAGGCATGAAAAGTCCTCATGAAGGACGGTGTCCCAGCTGAGTTCCGAACCAGGAGGCAGTCTGTCATCAGAACCACCCAGCTGGGCGTTCCTGCAGCCCTGGTCTTGCCTGAGTTGATTTCAGGTGCTTTTCACTTGAAGGTGAAAAGAGGAGGAAAAATACCTGGAGAGAAGGGAGAGGGGAGATTAATTCTAGGCCTGGTGTCTACCCCATGTCTGATCTGATGAAGGTTCTGAGACTCTAGAAAGATAGAAGTCAGGACCTAAGGCTGAGGAACTCCACTCATCAAAGACTCTCTGACATGCTGGGCCCGAGAGGGGTCATGCCCCCCATCCCTACTCTGCCACAGACCACCACATAGCACTGGCACTCTGGGCCTTGGGGTGGCCACTAATAGAGAATAGCAAGAAACAGGTACCTACCCAGCAACTGTCAGGAGCTAGGGACCCTGACAGCAAAACAGCTCAGAAGAATGTGAGCAAGCCCTTTCTTGAATACCTATAAGACACTTGCCCTGCGAAGTCCCAGGGACATTAGAGGAGGGTTGTTGTTGTTTTTTTTTTTTGTTTGTTTGTTTTTGTTTTTTCTTTTTTGTGGGGGTGAGGTGCGATGGGCTAGGGGGTCCTCATAATTTGGGCATAAATGTTAATGTGCTATCATTACCCCAAACTGCTAACATTTGGGAATATTTTAATTATTCTAAAAAAGGATGTGCTCCCCAATCTCTTTAAAAATTAAACAGATTGTGTTTTATGAAGCTACTTTCAGAATATATTAAAGGTGCGCTATATAAAGAATAATTAGATTGTCAAAATACTTTGAGAAATACCGGATATATATATAATGTCAAGCAGGTTTCTTTTTTTTTTTTCTTTCAGGACAGAGTCTTGCTTTGTTGTCCAGGCTGGAGTGCAGTGGCATGATCTCGGCTCACGGCAAACTGCCTCCTGGGTTCAAGCAATTCTCCTGCCTCAGCCTCCCAAGTAGCTGGGACTATAGGCGTGTGCCACCACACCTGGCTAATTTTTGTATTTTTGGTAGAGACGAGGTTTCACCATGTTGGCCAGGCTGGTCTCGAACTCCTGACCTCAAGTGATTCATCTGCCTCGGCCTCCCAAAGTGCTGGGATTACAGGTGTGAGCCACCACGCCCAGCCCAAGCAGGTTTCTTTACTGAAAAACTTCTCAGATCCTTGAATGTGCCAATGGGACGAGTCCCTGTATTAATCAGGATGGGCTAGGTTATGCTGCAATCACAAATGACCCCACAATCTCAGTGGCTTACATAGACAAAGGTTTATTCCTCACTGGTTTTGCTGTACATCATCTTCACTTTGGGACCCAGACTGGAGGAAGAGACTCTAGTGTTTGTTTTCATTTCTTGTTTTTACACATAATATAATGAACAGATCTTATGAATTTTGACAACTGTATACACCAGTGTAACCACCACACCAATCAAGATATAAAGTATTTCCATCATCACACAAAGTTCCTGAGTCCCCCTTTCCAGTCAGTTCCTCTCCTGGCCTGGGGCCACCACTGATCTGATTTCTATCACTATAGATCAGTTTTACCTGTTCTAGAACTTCGTGGAAATGAAATGATGTAGTATATATTCTAGTGTTTGGCTTTTTAGACTCGAGGTTTTTTTTGAGAATGATTTATGCTATTGTATGTACCAGTTGTCTATTCCTTTTTCTTGCTGAAGGGTAGTCCACAGTACAAATATATCGCAGTTTCTTTATCCATTCACTTGTTGATGGACATTTGGGTTGTTTTCAGTTTGGGCTACTATGAATAAAACTGCTACAAACACTCCTCCACCAGTCTTGTAGACATAAGTTTTCATTTCTTTTGGGTAGATACCTAAGAGTGGAATGGCTGGTCACGTGGTTGGTGTATGTTTATTTTTATAAGACAAAGAAATTGACCAACTGTTCTCCAAAGTGGTTGTACCATTTTACAACCCCACCAGCAGCATATAAAAGTTTCCATTGCTTCACATCCTTGCTAACTAGTCAGTCTTTTTACATGTTAGCCATTCTAGTGGGTGTGAAGTGGTATCTCACTGTGGTTTGAATTTGCATTTTCCTGCTGACTGATGTTCAGCATATTTTCATGCACATTCCTTTTCCTTCTTTTGTGAAGCCTCTGAAACAGCCTCTGTCTAGGAAGTTATTGGTCTCCCGGCAAAGGAAAATAAGAGACATGGTGAACCTGGAGCAGATCCTGAAGCTTCTGCTCCAAAATGATACACATTATTTCTGTCTACATGTATTGACTAAAGCAAGGTACACGGCCACTCCTGAGTTCCACAGGGCAAGGAAGTCCAACCCTCCCATGAGGAGGGTCACTGGAATGTTTGGCAAAAAGGAATATAATCTACTCCAGTCCCCAAGAAGGATATCCTAGTGGAATTTATTTTCTCAACAGGACTGTATGGTGCCTTTTATTCTCCTACTTCCTAGGTGTACCCAATGTATAATAAATGCCAATCAAGCTTGTCCAATCTGCTCACACATGTATGAGCAGCCTTGCACCGCCCTCTTCTTTGGGTTTGCTATGTGCCATTGTACTCACTTCAAGAAAAGATAAGGGGCAACTTGACTGATGCTGGGCAGGCAGGCATCCAGGAATGAGAAAAATGAGATCCCAGGTGTTCCTTCTTCTAGTTCTATAAAACTGTAAAAAGCATCCCCCATCACCATGAGAAAGACAAGACCACAGTTAGGACCTTGTTTACCTCTTGGAAAGGTCTGTTTGTGCAATGTGGTGGGTCAAGCTAGCCTGAGGAAGTTGGCTTTTATATCTGCTGGTCTTATCAGTTGTCTTTATCTCCTTTTTCTCTCTCTAAGGAGCTTGACGTGAATTTTTTAAAAAGTCTACTAATCTGTTATTTATTGCAGCTTTATTTGTAATTGCAAAATATTGGAAACAGTATTAACACCCAAGCATAGGAGAGTGGCACGTACACAATGGAATACCATGCAGCTCTGATAAAAGATGCAAAAGATCTCTATGAACTGATACAGAGTGATTTCTGGGAGCTAGTATTGAAAAAAAGAACATGAAAAAGCATATATAGGTTGCCAGTTTTGTGTAAGAAAGAAAACATACATATTTCTGCTTATCTTTACAGAAAGAAACACAAGAGGGATAAACTAGGAAACTTTGCATTTGGTATCCTGCAAGCAGGAAGTGAGTGGAAGGGATACAGGAGGGATTGACACTTCTCTGAATGTAGCTTTTGGTGTAGTTTTAGCTTTTGAAAGCAAGCTAATATTCTACATATTTGAAAAGTTAAATTAAACCCATAAGAATGAGAAAGGAAAAAAACTAAAATGAAAGCAAATGGAAACGAACCACTGTGTATCAATGAACATCAAATGAACATCATAATTACACTGTATATCAAAGGAACATCATAATTATACAGGAGGGAAAGGAAGAAAGCAAAGAGAGCACTAATCCAAGTAATTTAAGAATACAATATTTGACTATAAACTCTCGGTGTCGGACAGGGTAGAGTGAGAGATGAGGGGAGAATCACAACAAATTCCAAAGTCATTTTGTAGAGCTGTCTGTTGTAGGATGAGTGAAATAATGCTGAAACTATTTTAGAGCCATTACAGGGCTGAACAAATGAGTAAACGTGTTGATGTCATTGAGAGCCAGCATTCTCATTATGGACGAAGGGACAGAAAAATATGAAATGGGGGAGGCAGGAAATAATCCTGTGGAGATAAGCTGAAATTGGAGGTATCAGTGCAAACTCATGATTTCTGAAATGTGCACATATATGTCTATATGCATGTTTACATACACACTATATATATGTGTCCATGTGTAGGCATGTATATGTATATATACGTGCATATATCTCTTAACTCTTTCCAGTGAAAGGGCCAAGAAGCACCGATAAAATGAATACAAATAGCATAGAGATCTTGGTATCTAATACCATTCGCCATTAAAGGAGCCAGAGCTCCTAGGAAAAATAGCTGAGTCCAGGGCTGGGATAGTGTAGGTACAAGATAATCCTGGAGTATTCTGTTATGTCGGAAAGTAAAGGAGTGCTCAAAAGCATGATGGTGGCCTGTCACGAAGATTCAGGAACCAGCTTGAAGGGGCTACTGCTGGTTAAATCTGGGACAATTTATGAGTTCATACTGGTCAGATAGACAGACAGACACGTATAGGTGCAGAAATAGGACAGAGGGGAAAAGCTTCTTCTACTTATAGTTGAATGTCAAGGGCCAGAAGGTCAAGGTGGACAGGGTGTTAGAATCAGAAAAATCATCCTTTTTTGTTTGTTTGTTTGAGGCAGGGTGTCTCACTCTGTCACCCAAAGTGGAGTGCAGTGGCATGATCACGACTCACTGCAGCCTCAACTTCCTGAGCTCAGGTGATTCCTCCTACCCTCTCAGCCTCACAAGTCACTGGGATTACAGGCGTGCACCACCACAAAGTGTTGGGATTACAGGCATGAGCCACCATGCCCGGCCAGAAAAATCATCATTTTGCAAACTTCATGGTAAAAATTGGCTTGAGCAAGAATCATCAATGAATTGTAAAGCTAGGACATTTTGATGAAAAGCAGGATATTTGCATGAATTCAAAGTGTCTCCTTACAGAGTGTATATTAGATGCAAGGGGGAGGGATCCAGTGACATTATAATGGAGAAATTGGACAACACTTTGGGTGATCTCAATTAATTTCCCCCATGAGGAGCAGATGGACATCACATACCTCCAGATGTGATACCTTAGGAAAGGCACGCTATCAGCGCAGTTTTCCAGCAAAGAATACACAACCTGAATCTAACCAGGAGGAAGCAAGACAAACTCCAAAGTTCTAGAAAGGAACATGTACCCAACCTGTCCAACCACAAAGCTCATTTTAATGAACGAGCCATTAAATATGGAATACAGTGTTCTGAGGACTTGATATAGGAAGTTATGTCCCAGAAAAGGGGACATAACATGATCAGAAATGGTTTTTACTGGGGGAGAGGGGCTTGCAGAAGAAAACGTCAGTTCCAGGACCAGCTCCTTTCCAGGGTGCAGCAAGGGTGGTTGTGCCTCCTCCTTCTAGGTTTTAGACCCTGAAGAAATGTCAGCCAACATCTTCACCTTCTTGCCTGTGCATCTAGGATGGACAGATGGACAGATGGATGGGCAGATGGATGAAGCGGTGGATGATAAGGAGCTGCCCGACTTCATGGCTCACCTCTGTAATGTCACAAAAAGCTCTGGACTGGGAGTCAGGCTTTCCAGGTGGCTGCATCTGGGTCACACACACAATGACAGAAAAACATCATATGTGCCCACAGCCTCCAGAGGCTTTATGACCACTTCCCATCTGAACCATGATATAAACGAAGGAAGACACCCTGTATACAAGGGGAGTGTTTTAGTGAAACAACTCCTGTGGTAATTTTGCAAAATAGTATCAAGCGTCTCATTACCACATTGATATTAATTAAACAAATATCAGGAAAATAAGTATAATTTTGCTAAACTCAAATGACTTACAAGGCAGGAAATGATATTTCTGTCCTAACAGTATATCAAATGCACTTTATGCAATGTGATGTTGGATTTCACAAATGATACAGATTCTCTTTTTGTCAAGTTCATTGGCTTTGAAAGCTGGGGCAATGGACTGCCAAGTGCAGACAGAAGAGTCAGCCAGTTGGTAAACAACGTTGGGCTTATTTATTTAATAATTTACTTATCACAGAATTCCATCAGTGCTTTGAAAATGCCTTTAATTGATGACAAGGAGGTGGTGTTAGAGAACTTGCAAGGGGCTCTGGCTGAGACCCAGTTGGTTGACAGGAAATTTAGTGGATATAGGCAGAAGTCAAAGCAGCAGCCTCTAGGGTTCTGGTGCCACCCCTGCCCCACAATGCTGGACTGAGAAACCAAGGGATGAACTGGAAGCTTCGGGTTGTCAAAACTTTCTGTGAACAAATGCAATCAAAACCCAAAGCTCCCCATTTGAAAGGCCTATGAAAATGGGTTAATTAGGGTCTAGAAAATCCTGTGTGAAGAGTACTCAAAACATCTAAGAGTTTGATAGTGGATGATTTCTTCTCTTAAATCTTGCCAGGTTAATAGGGGGTGAGTTTGGGGCTGAAAGTAAGAATTTGGAGTGTGCAGACTTTTAAAGTTCTCCTGGTTAGTGTCATCCCTGGAAAGCTTTCTTTGGGAACATTTTTGGAGACTACAGCATGGGCAGCTTCACAGCTGTCTAACCAGTGCGATGACACAGGGCCTTGTGCTCAGAAAAGCCCTGTCTACAGTTTAATGCTCAATTGTTATTGTACTGAAATTCTTGATAATTTTTTCTTCGCATTTGTGTTTTGTAAGTGAAGCCCGATGGGATGGGACAATGGAGCAAGAGCTGGGGGGAGCTTAGAGCCTGGCCCACCTTGGGGTCACCTTCTGCTGCTCCCCACCTCTCCCAATGGGTTTTTGGCCACCCCTTCTCCTCCACCCATTGGAGCCCCAGCCCTACCTGGCTGCCTCCTCTCTGCCCTGTGACTGACCTCTGCCACCATCTACCTGGGGCAGTGCCCAGGTAGCATTGTGGGGAGGGGGTAGAGTGCTGTGGGTAGGGTGGGGTAGGGAGCTGGGGGAAAGAGTTGGAGACCCATGTTGTACCAGGCATAGGTGCCAGAAATGTCCGGGTGCCACCTGGAGCCTCTGGTCAGGCATAGCCACAGTTGTCCCTGCTCTGGGCTGGCAGCACCATGGTGGGCTCTGTGGGCCACTTGGTAGGTGCGAGCCTCTAATCCACCCCAATCCAGATACTGAGGTTGCAATTTATTGAGGGTTGGTCACCTGCCATGGGTGGGGGCAGTGGGCCGTGGGAAGGGGGTATTGACTTCCCCTGGGGCCAGGGCACCGCATACACACTGATCTAGTGGCTGGTGGGACAAGGAACTTGACAGGCAGTGGACCATGTGGACCACATCACAGGATGGGACTCCAAGTGCCTGTGAGGATTTAGTATGACACTAAGTCAGGACTAAATACACCATGACAGAGAGAGAGGGCGAGAGAGAGTGCGCATAGAGGAAAGGAAACATTTGATATTTGAGTACATATTGAGTACATTTAGCAGCATTAAGAGACAGAGTCTTATTATGTTGCCCAGGCTGGAGTGGAGCAGCACGATCACAGCCCACTGCAACCTCTAACTCCTGGCCTCCAGCAATCCTCCCACCTCAGCCTCCCATCTAATCCTGCTTTATGGACAAGGGGTCCTCCATTCTCATTTTGCACCAGGCCCTGAAAACTATGTAGTCAGCCCAGGTTACAGAATACATTTCCAATAGTTACAATGAAGGGAAAGGAAGCCATATCCACTGTCTTCCCACAGGCTGGTCTGGAGAGTGAGGCCACTCCCACTAGATAACAGTGAGCATGAAGAGGCCACTCTCACTCTGCCCTTCTTATATATTTTGGTCCTGCATCCTGTTGGCTATGGCCATATAATGTTGCCTGCTACAAGATCTGGGGGCAAGGGTTTGGAGTTGTATTTGCTGCTGGTCCTGATCTTAAAACTTGACATTCTAAATCTCTTCATTTTGCATTTAAACCATTTTGGGCTCTCTCCAGCTCCCTCTCACCTTCCTGCCTTCAGTGGGTATGTGCCCTGCTTGTCTACCTTGCAAACCAGCTGGAACGTGCTGCTAACACCCAGACACAGGCAAAACCTTTGCATTTCAAATGGTTTTGCCCCACAAGTGGGTGACAGCAGGACAGAAACGTTTCTGAGACTCTCCCGAATAGCCATGCTTGGAGTAGTGTTTGCAGGAGGACGAAGGGAAGGGCAACCCGTTTGTAAGAAATATATAGTTACTTACCTTTTTTTTTTCTTCAAATTTGAAAATGGAAGCCTAGTAATTCATCTAATAATGAATCAAAACAGACACTTCAATGGACAAGCCTAATGAAACCTGATGAGGTCAGGCCGTGGGAGAAAAAACTTCCTGCATTGAGAGAATCAGAAGCATTTCCCATTTTGAATTTTTTTTTTTAAAAAACAACAAACCAATAAACTCCAAGTGAACTCCAGTTTCAGGATTCATGAGTAGTTCAGGAAAGAACTGTTGAGTTATCTCAGCTGTGCTGAACATTTTCTTCGGTTACTCCCATCAGCGGTTGAGATCATCAATATTGGAAGGTATCCTAGTATGTCTCATCAGGCTGTTTGAAACTGTTGATGTCAGAACACATCACTCTTCCCCTTTACTTTTTCATCGATAATTAATGGATGAGAAATCCACTATGATAGTGTTAGAATCTACGGCCCCGGAAGAAGTTGGTCCTGGACTGCTGCCTGGTTGCATCTGACACCATCGATGCTGCCAATGCCTGGCCACCAGCATGCATTATAAGACAAATGACAAAAACCCACCAAGGATACATTGGGAGTGCTTGCTAAGTTTAGAGGCATCCATTAGCAGACTCTTGTTAGCGAAATGGAAGTTTGTTATTTAGAAATTTTGCCTTGAATTATTAATTTACTTAGAAATAAGAAATGCTCAGGGTTTTAAGCCAGATCAGCTTTGATCCACAAAGTCATTCTGACTATTTTAAGATTAGGAAAGGCTGTTTGTCCGGAAGAGGACTGACTAGCTCTTGAGTACCTTATAAAGTAGCAAATGACGGGCCATTTTAAGTGGCTTGCATTTAGTGACATCTACAGCCTAGTCAATATTTTAACCCTTACTTAGAGACTTTGCCCATGATGTTGTGAAAAGATCACCCTAGTGCTGGGTGGCATCTGGCTGCTCCTGGCCTCGACTTAGCACTTTGACCAGTCATAGCTTCCATTTACTCAGTGCTTTCTACAAGCCAGGAATCGCATTAAATGCTCTCTATATGTTGTTTTGTCTTCACAATCATCTTAAGACTTAAATACCATTATCCCCATTTTACAGGTCAGGGGACTACCACCTGACATGGTTCAGTCACCTACCCTGAGCCTCACAGCCATTAAGGAACAGAGACATGCTCCTTACCACATCTGCACACTTCTAAATCCAGGGTCTGGGGTTTGAAGAAAAAGGGAAAAGGCCATATAAAAATTACTAAGCTCTAAATTATCTCCCAAGTGGTAAAACTTAGACAATTGCCATAGAACCAATTATTCTGCAGTATTTCCAAACCTTGCAGAATCTACCTTGTTCAGGAGGATGCACACACACACACACACACACACACACACACATAACAGCCCTTGGCCATTCACACCAGGGCCCTCAGCAGACACCCTCATTTTGAGATCTTTTATGCTCAGAGCCAGGTTAAAAGATAGACTAAGAGGATAAGTGCTCTGAGCACCAATCTATAAGGACAACAACGTCCCCAGTGGAAATCGGTGGTACCATTTAACTTAGACTCTCATGTGACTATTTACATAACCATTGAGATCTAAACTGGTTCCACTCCAGCCAAGTACCCAGTAGAATGAAAAAAATGATCTTGGTACCAGCTCGGGTCCCCAACTAAACAACTGTTGCATCAATGTTGAAAGACTATCATCTGAAGCTCACCAAATGATTAGTTGCCTTGAGCTCCAATATGTCCAGACCCGTTTGTGCCATGGGTTCCTGCCTGGACGGCAGACCCCACTTCTGGTCTCCGAGTTCCGGATTCTCAAACACTACACCTAGTCTTCCATTTCAACTACACGGTCCACTTGCTCTCTCACGTGTGATCCAATGCATGAAGTCCAGTGCTTGCCTCTGTACTTGGACTTTCTCTCTGATTCACTATGGAATTTGGGGAGAAGATCTTGATTGACCTGCTGGCCCTCAAGCCTGTCCTGAGTTTGACTTTATATACTAGATTTTGATTTTGGCTCGGGGCAAACTACTCTGCTTGTTACATGGCTAGCAGGCATGCCCCTGAGTCCATCCAGGCTGGGCCTGGCCTGGCCTATTCTTTGCCCACCTGGGACTAGCAGCCTTCTCTTGCTTCCCAGCCTTCCTGAGAATTCTCCCAGGATGCCCCTGCTTGCTGCTTGTTCAACATCTTCTGTAGATGTGAGCTCTTTCTTCACCACTATCCCCAGCACCTGGTATGGTGCCTGTCATGTAAAAGGTGATCAACAAATATTTGTTGAATAAATAAATGGATGGATATTTATTTACTTAGCTGTTACATGGGCACTTTTTTTTTAAGAGGCAGAATCTTGCTCTGTCATCCAGGTTCGAGTGCAGTGGTGCCATCATGTTTCAATGCAGCCTCAAACTCCTGGACTCAAGTGGTCCTCCTGTCTCAGCCTCCCAAGTAGCTAGGACTACAGGCATGCACCATTATGCCTGGCTATTTTAAAAAAATATTTCGTGGAGACAGGGTCTTGCTATGTTGCCCAGACTGCTCTCAAATTCCTGGCTTCAAGGGATCCTTCCACCTCAGCCTCCTAAAGTGCTGAGATTACAGGTGTGAGTCACTGCGCCCAGCAAGACTTCTTAATAGGGCATTAGAATCACAATATTTTGATAAATTGGACTTAATGAAATGAAAAACTGTCATTTAAAAGGCAGCTACAAATAGGAAAAGGTAAGCCACAGACTGTGAGAAGATATTTGCAAAACATATACCTGACAATAGACTTACGTATAAAACATTTGAAGAACTCTCATAACTTGACAAGAAGACAAGCAATCTAATTTAAAAACTGGCAAAACATTTCAACAGGTACTTTACCCAAGTCGTTGGGATTACAGGTGTGAGCCATCTCACCTGGCAGTTACATGGCACTCAATATGTATCTGACAATGCTGTAAGGATTTTATACATATTAAACTCATTTAAATTATTTTTTGAAAACTGCTCCCCCCCAATACTGTATTATATGTCTTTTGAGGACAGAGATTGTGCTTGTTTCTTGCACGACGTCTGACAATAAATGTATAGTGATTACATGAAGATACCTATAGTTTTAATGGTTGAAGTCAGATTTCTGAATCTACATCTTTGTATTAGAAGCGATGTGAGGAATCAAATCTCTTAGTTAGGGCAGAGTGTGGGACCCATATTAGAAAATTCTCACATTTAAAAGGGCTGCATTTTGGGCAAATTATTTCAATACTTATTTCTCTAGCATGACAATTTCTGCTGCTGCTACATTTTCATTCTTTTCTTTCCTTTTCTTGAACTCTCTCTATTTTGACAATATCTTTTGCTTTGGGCCAAAAAATGTAAAATAAAGAACATTTTCAGAAGGCACTTCAGCAGCCAATTGTAAATAACGTGGGCCATGAGACTTCAAAAGGTGCTGTGTTTTCTCCTGTTTTGCTTCGATGATTATTGTATACAACTTCTAGGCCCCATTAATCTGGAAAATTCTTTTTTTTTTTTTTTTTTTTAGTTGGCACTCATTGTCTCATTTAATTCTTATAACAACTGTGAGAGATACACACTTTTTAAAAATATATTATTGGGTTTGGTTGAATAATATTTTGTTGAGGATTTTTGTATATAATCATGAATGATTTTTATCTGTAATTTTATCCTCTCCCCCTTTTTAGATTTTTTATTTATTTATTATACTTTAAGTTTTAGGGTACATGTGCACAATGTGCAGGTTTGTTACATATGTATACATGTGCCATGTTGGTGTGCTGTACCCATTAACTCATCATTTAACATTAGGTATATCTCCTAATGCTATCCCTCCCCCCTCCCCCCACCCCACAACAAGCCCCAATGAGTTCATGTCCTTTGTAGGGACATGGATGAAGCTGGAAACCATCATTCTCAGCAAACTATCGCAAGGACAAAAAACCAAACACCACATGTTCTCACTCAGGTGGGAATTGAACAATGAGAACCCATGGACACAGGAAAATTCTTATTCTTACAGAAATTTCTCTGCTGGCAACACATAATCTGCTTCATCACAGGTCAGGCAGGTTCAAAATGTGTCAAAAATGTAACACTTTAGGTGGGTGGCTCAGTGAAAAGCTAATATACTTCTCTTGCAACGTGTTTTGCTAAGATATTCAAACAACATTTCATTTAGTTGATGTTAGGTATTCCCTTCTTACCCCCAAAATATGATTTCCAAGAGAATATGAGGGTGTTGTGTTATTTCATAGTCATTGCTTTGAGACATTGGAGAGAAGGTAAAAATTTGAAATCAAGGCCTTTGTTTTTGGAAGATCCACTGGAACCTGCCTCTTCTCTTTCTCTTGAGAAAGAAAATTTTGAGAGTATTAAGGGCATTTTATCAGGTGAGGAGCCTTTTAGCTTTTGCTAAAAACAAACCTTCTGAGCTTTTTTAAGAGGCCAAAATATTTTTTAAAAACATGATACATGTTCTAGTTATCGATTGCTGCAAAACAAATTACCCCCAGACTTAGGGGCTTAACACAACCATTTGCTCACCATTTTGTGGGTCAGGAATACAGGGAAGGCTCAGCTGAACACTCACTGGGGTCTAGTACATGATCGCAGTCAGACGTCTTCTGTACTTACAGTCAGCAGAATCTCAGCTAGACAGGACAGCCACGATGGCTGGCTTGCAAGTTGATATGATTTGTCTGTGTCCCCTCCCAGATCTCATCTTGAATTGTAGCTCCCATAATTCCCATGTGTTGTGGGAGGGACCTGGTGGGAGATAACTGAATCATGGAGGTGATTTCCCCATTACTGTTCTTGTGGTAGTGAATAAGTCTCATGAGATCTGATGGTTTTATAAGGGGAGCCCCTTTTGCTTGGTTCTCAATTGTCTCTTGTCTGCCACCACATAAGATGTGCCTTTTGCCTTCTGCCATGATTGTGAGGCCTCCCCAGCCACGTGGAACTATGAGTCCATTAAACATCTTTTTCTTTGTAAATTACCCAGTCTCAGGTACGTCTTTATCAGCTCCATGAACATGGACTAATACACAAGTCGAGTAGTTGATCCTGGCTGTTGGCTGGGAGTTCAGCTGGGGCTGTCCACTGGGACACCTACACCTGCCTCTCCATGTGGCCTGGGCTTTTCACAGCCTGGTTGCTAAGTCCCAAGAGGGAGCAGCTGGAGAACATAGAGACTTAAAAGAGTCTCTATGTTCAAAGAGACTTAGGCAGAAGCTTCCAAGGCTTCTTCCCACAAGGTTGTGGAAGTCACATAGCATCACTTCTGCCACACTCTATTGCTTCCAGGTAAGGCTAGCCCAGATTAAAGATGGTGGAAGGGGAGAATTGGATGCTACCAATTTATGGGAGGAATGTCAAGAATATGTGATCTTCTCTGAAAACTGCCACAAGATTAGCAATGGACACATGAATGAATTATGATTGAATGAACGATACCTACCTAATTTTACCTGGAAGACATGCCCTCAAAATTCTCTGCTCCTTTAAAAAAATTGCATTTCTTCTGTAGCATTCTTAGGTTCAAAATCAAGTGATTTTACCATGAGAAAGAGTTAATTACACTAACTTTTTGGCATCGGGGAAGGAGAGGCAGAGCTGGTGTCTACCCACCTTGCAGGTATCCCCTTTCAAAAATAAAACTCATGTTTTCACCCATTTTCATGCCTGAAATCCTTCCAATAAAGGCTTTTCCTTCTATTGGGTCTTTAGAAATCACCTGGTGACACAGATTCCACTTGTGGAAGAATAACATCTTAGTCTTCTCACATCTCAGCTTTTGGGGGAGTTAGAGTCAGAGTGAGGGGAAATTGGAAATATTGGATGGTAGGAGTTAGTGAAGGGATCAGAGCTTTTCCCACTTCAGTGGTTGAGAACAAGGACCTCCTTACCCCGGGAGTGTGATATAGGGCAGGCTAGAAGTAGGAGAATAAAACTTAATGGGTTGATAAGAAGAAACTGAAGGTTAACTTCGTGTTACAAAATGACCAGAGCAAGCTTGGTATGGTGCATAGACAAGTTAGCAATAGAGTTTACCCTGAGCTATCAGAGAAATTCCTAACAAAGAGAAGGGAGAAAGAAATATACACCACTACCTCCTATGCATCGAGCAATGTGCTGAGTCCTTGACCTATACTCACAGATTTAATTATTATGGCGACCCTTCACAAGAATATTATCACTGCACCATTTTGCAGATGAGGAGCGCAGAACCTGAATGTGGAAGGCCCCTGGGTCCCTGAAAAACCTTCTAGGAGACTGAGCAACATTAGACTATGATGTCAGTGATAAACAAATCTACTGAGTATTCAAGGTTTATTTGGTACAGAACCAATGCTACCTTTAGTGAATACAGCCTTGGTTAATTCTGCCTCTCCATCAGTCACATAGGTTAATTCTGTCTCTCCATCAGTCACATAGGTTAATTCTGCCTCTCCATCAGTCACATAGACAACATATCCCTGTTGGTAACACTCTCGTTAGATGCAGCAATTCTCTACGTGGGGGGGCGGGGGGAGAGAGATGGAGAGGAGGTGATGTGCAGAAGGATCTCTTAGGAAAGGTGTATGTATGAAGTCTCCCCAACTCCAGTCTGCACCCTGTCTTATCAACCCCCCTCCCCCTGCCCTGACACCATGTCTCCTACCTACCCTGGGATTCCAGGTCACTGCATTTAAGGTTTTAGAGCAGGAGAACCACACCACTTAGGAAAGGGAATCTGGCGGTGGAATGTTGGATGTATTGGGGTGGTGGGGTGCTGAGTGGAAGCAGCAAGAAAGAAGCATTGGGTAACAGTTTGGGTGAAAGGGTTGCAGGCAGATTTGGAGCGCCAGGTGGGGGAAGGCTATTGAAGGGCACAGATGCAGTAAAGATAGGGCAGGTGGAAACACACAAGAGGACTGACTGGACAGGGGGTCCAAGGAGAGAAGAGCTTTTGCACCCTGGGGACTGGGAAAATAGTAGTGTAATAAACATTCCAATTGCAATCAGTCTTGCTCAATAGATTTGTTATATCATATATACGAATGATTTGGGACGAAGATTTTACAAATCATTTGATTAAAAGGAGGGCAACAGCCAGTCTCTACAACAGCTGAAGGAATCTGTTTAATTCTTTCCACTAGAAACCTGAAAAAGCTGCTCTCTTCCCTCTAGGGGATCCCCCGATGGACAGAACCCAAGATGAGCTACAAGACCCTCCCCTGATCCCTGAGGGGCACTCCTATATCCTTTGACTTGACAAAGTCTGGATTTCAAGCCCATTCGACACAGCAGCCCTTTCCTTACCCAGCCCCCAGAGCAATTGATCAACCCTTCCATAGTGTTCTAAATGCCCGGCACCCCCGCCCTCCACCTCAGCTTCCTTAGGAGTGAGTTAGGCACTGCTTCTCCGCATCTCTGCAGGAAACACTTTCCAGAACTCCCAAGCAGCCTTCCATAAGTCTCCCTCACAAGGCTGAACGTGAAGGAGGTTATGGTCCTTCCATCCTTGAAGCACAGCAATAGTTCTCTCCAAAGAAACTTCTTCACAGTCCCCTCACTTCTCCATGCCCTGACCTCTTTTGATGCCTTTGATGCCCAGTTGAGAGGCCCAGAGTTGAACATTTCTCCTGTAATTTCTACCCATTGAAGTTTGTTTGCTTCCTGTTCACTTTGGTGTCTGGTTTCTGTGGTATTAGCACTTCAGCTGAAACTGAGGCAGAGAAACTTCTGTTCTAACCATCTGTTGCATAGATTACACTATTGTATTAAAACTAGGCAAAACTTGATTTTTAAAAATCATATTTCCTGCATTTAAAAAAATATCTCAGCCACCATTTTACAAAGTCCAATGTTATTTAAAATTTCTGCTTCTTCAGCTCAGTCCTATCAATATGCTGACGGCCAGTGTAATTTTTCTCCAATCCTTGGCAATTTTTAAGCTAGAGATCACTTTTCATGGTGTAACTGATACAGTCATTTCCAAGCCATCCCTGAGATTTGCAGAGCTAAGTACAGTGACTTACATTTTTGCATTTCTTAATCTAAATGGAAAAGAAATCTATTAGGAAACAAGTTTCTGAGGAACAAAAGCAATTTTCAAGTGAACTGTCTCAATTACCTCCAATGCCCAAAACTATTTTGTATAGATTCATTTACCAGTGGAATGTTTAATATAAATTGTGGTGTGTTCATGAAAGTCATGCTTAAAGAGATGTTTTAATTCTAGAGAAAAGAATGTGCATATCTGGGTATTTTTCTTTCCTGGTGGTTTTTTACATATTCTACTTTTAAAAAGAGAACATATATTATTTTGATAATCAGATTATCTACATGTGTGTATGTTTTCATTTGAAGAGAGTGGGCTAGAAAACTCAAATGGCCTTTACAGTGCTATCCATTAGAAATATGATGCTAATATATTTGTAATTTTAAGTTTTCTGGTTGCCACATTAAAAAAGTACAAAGAGGCCGGGTACGGTGGCTCATGCCTGTAATCCCAGCACTTTGGGAAGCCAAGACGGGTGGATCACTTGAGGTCAGGAGTTCGAGACCAGCCTGACCAACATGGTGAAACCCCGTCTCTACTAAAAATTCAAAATTAGTTGGGCATGGTGGCATACACCTGTAGTCCCAGCTACTCGGGAGGCTGAGGCAGGAGAATCGCTTGAACCCGGGAGGTGGAGGTTGCAGTGAGCCGAGATTGCACCACTGCACTCCAGCCTGGGTGCTGGGTGACAGAGTGAGACTCTGTCTCAAAAAAAAAAAAAAAAAAGTTAAAAGAAACAGACAAACTTAATTTCAATAATATATTTTATTGAGTCTGATGATCCAAAGTATTACCATTTTAACATACAATCAATGTCAAAATTACTAATGAAATATTTTACATTTTTCATACTAAATTTTGAAATCTAGCCACATTTCAAGTGCTCAAGAGCCTCAATGATGATTTCCTCATAAGAGATGAATATTAGAGTTCTTCTTATTAGCCCTTGTTGGTTGAACATGGATTTCTTCTTACATGCTTGATCAAAATTCTGGGAAAACACAAAATTGCATGAAAAAAGACCTCAGTTTTTTGAGTAGAGCATTCTTGTATTTGTCACCCTACAAAAGCTATATTTATAAATGGAAACTCCCATTCCCTTTAATGATTTGTTAAATCCCAAAGCAGTGTCTAGATAAGCAATAAATTGCATCTCAAAAGCATGAGTCAACCCTAACGGAGAATAGATTAGTTCACATTATGGAGACCACTGCACTCCAATATTTCTTGGTACTTATCTCTTGAGGTAACACCTTCAAATCAATAGTTCTTTTCTATTTTTAATGTCCTTCTGCCACTAATCTGTTCTTATGTTCATTTTGCTTGCCCAGCTAAGATTTATGCAGGGATCTGACTGTTTTTCTAGAGGTTTTTCCCCCTTTGTAGGAGCAGATTATATTTCATCAGGAGTGTGTTGTCACACCAGGATTTAAAGGTTGGCAACATACCTCATTTTTAGACTAAAGGAAGATAATTCTCAGGTCTGCTGCATTAAGAATAAAACTTGAGCCTAATGTGTCCTTTTTAATGTGGTAAAAAAAAAAACCATGACATTAAATTTACCATCTTAACCATTTTTAAGTGTTCGGTTCAGCAGTTTTAATTACATTGTTTTAACAACATTGTTGTGCAATGTTACATGTCGTTGTGTGCTTTTTAAAATGCAACTTAGTCAAAGAAACAAGTAACCTCTCACCCTGTGTAGACAGGTTCATTTGTTGTCTCAAGCCTCAGAAATTGTTGGATGAGGAATTTAAAACTAGGTCATGGGCCCATAAAGAACCAGGGAGGCTCTGTCTGACAGTGAACTCTGTCTGACACCTTGTGTGATGGAAGCAGACAAGCTGTCCTGTCTTCATCATTATGAGGTTCCAGGACGTAGTGTTATCTTTACACGTCTGCTGGAGTTGCAGCACACTCTATGCAAGGGTCAGGATGGTCACCTGGGCCCCTAACGTTTCTCTTGTGACTTGGGCAGCTCGCCCCTGCTTGCTCTTAGTCATCAGCGGATGTAAGATTCATTCGATGGTGACAAAGACCGTAAAAAGCTCAGATCTTTCAGTTAAATCAAATGTTCATACCACCTGTTCAGAGTGACCCAATGTACTTTTCTTAGACACTGTTGTTCAGGAATTTGCATCTTTATAGGCTCCCACGTTAAACAATGTTTGATTGCGACTCTCCTAAAAAGTGATTTTCACTGCTAGATAATTTACTGGCCAGCAAAGTCATAGCTGTTCTATATTTGACATGCCAGTGATCAAATGACACATATTGAACTGTATAAATTTTAGACTGCAGGTGTTGACATCAATTTAGCAATCTCGTGAAATTATTTCCTTGCTGTCTAGAGATACTTTATGTTTTGTCAACTTTTTATTTTGAAAAATGTTCAACCTAACAGAAAAGTTGCGAGGCTAGCACCATGAACTCCTGAATGGCCCGTACCTTGATCTACCAAATTGCTAACAGTTTGCCACATTTGCTTTCTCTCTCTGACTAGAGATACATTTTTTTAATTGAAGTGAAATTTACATGACATAAAATGAACCATTTTAAAGTGAACAATTTGGTGGTATTTATTACATTTCATAATGTTGTGTAATCACCAACTCTAGTTCCAAAACATTTTCATGACCCTAAAATGAAGCCTGTATCGACTGAAGCAGTCATTCCACATTTGCCCTCTCCAAGCCCCTGGGAACCATCAATCTGCTTTCTGTGTCTATGAATTTAGTTATTCTGGACATTTCATATAAATAAAATCATACAATATGTGGCTTTTTGCACCCGGCTTCTTAGCATACTGTTCTCAAGGTTCATTCACAATGCAGCATGTTTCAGTAGTTTCACTAAAGACCCTTTTAATTGAGATTGTAAACTGAGGATGGGGGAGCATTCTGTTACCTATGTTCCCCTGCTCCCACTTCACCCCATAAACAGGCTGGAGAGGGTTGTAATCTCTTAAATTTCATAGTTCCTTTTTAATCTAGCATTTCTTTGGGCAAAGGGTAGTTGTTTATTCAAGTTCACATCCTATAAGCTTATTTAATAGTTTAAAATGGGCATAAAGAAGAAAATACCCAAAGATAACCACACTAAATAGTTGTATCACCCTGGATACATCGCTTAATCTCTCTTGCCTCAGTTTCTTTATCTACAGAACGACCAGGCTGGCTTCAAGCCCTAAGAGTCATTGTAATGAAAATGGTATGATTTGATTCCCCAGACAATTCAGCTTACACTTTTCTGAAATCTGTTACACCAAAGAGCTACTTTCTTCCTGTGGTTAATGAAAGCAAAATTAATATTGATGAACCACTGAATGTGTGACCCTGGAGGTTACAAACTGTAGCTTGGATGAGTTTACAATTCAGCTGGGGCTAAGAGATAGATGAGCATGTGACAACAGGGATATTCATAGCCAGAAGACAAATCTTGTTAGGAGAGATTAAATATTCAACATTGAACCACCACATGCCCTGGAGGGAAACTGGTATAAATGCCAACAAGAAATATCAGCCCGTCCTCACCTCTTCACGTATCACTGCCCTCTTTGATTTGACCAGTCATCTGTGGGTCAAATGGCTATAGAATGCTCTGGAAAGCAGGGGGCAGTTCAGGATGAAAGGGTACCTAGCTGGTACACCAGACAGAACATTCTTTGTTGAATTTCTTTTGAGCATTGCACTTGTTTTTAATTGTTCCAACATTTTATTACGAAACATTTCAAACTTAGCAAAATTGAAAGAATTTTACAGTGAACACCTGTATACCGCCTTTTAGATTCTACCATCAACATTTTACTATACTTGCTTTATCAAGTATCTCTCCATCCTTCTATTCATCCATTGGTCCATCTTGCTTTTTAAAGAATTTGGAAATAAATTACAGACATTGCATACATATTATTAACTAGAGTTCAATATTTGCTTGCTGATTTTTCTTTGGTAAAATTTATGTACAATGCAATACACAAATCTTAAAGTGTACATTCATTGAGTTTTGACAAATGCATACACCTGGGTAATATAAGCTCCTAACAAGGTAGTGAACATTGCATTTATTTCTTAATTTTTTATATAAACATGTTGTTTTAAAAAATAAAATAAAAGACTGCAGCTGCCTAACCCTTCCTCTCAATCCTATTTTTTGCTTCCCGAAAGCCACGTCTTACAAATCTTTTACATGTTTTTCTTGGTAGTCTTTTTTTATATTTCTGCCTAGAACATTATTCTTGCCATTTCTTAAGTTTTCAATTTTAGAATTAGCTATTGGTTAGCTACCATGGAAGAATAGGACTAAGCTATCTCAAATAATTCCCGAAGCATGTCCTTTTTCTTTTCCTACACCCAATATATTTATAACACAGCTCTTGTTAAATCAAGATCCAACGTTTGTGTTAATTATATAAATATCGTTCATAGTAGACAGTAAATACTGTTCCATTTTGTATTCTAACTTTGGGTTTTCTCAGAGTTACTAATCACCTGCTTTTTATTTGCTTTTAAAATATATCTCACCAATTCATCTCTAAATTCTCTAAGAAAACTTTAAAATTCCTTTCAAGGTGGTTTAACCCATTAAATAGTGCATCAGTACCATTTTCTCTTGGAGGCATCACTCTAATCTGTGTTATTTGCTCGCTGGGACCGCAACAGGGCTGCCTCCAGGGCTCCACTCTATCTTGATCCTGTGTTGGATTCCCCATTTCTGGATCCTACATTTTCCTGATGAGTTCTCCCCTCCCTTTGCTGGAACACATCCTACAGTAGTTTCTTGAGCTGGTAAACTTTATGAGATCTTGCCTATCTAGGAGTGTGTTTATTCTAACATCACATTCGATTGACCATTTGTCTGGCTGTAGCTTGGATATCACTTTCCCTCAGAAATTGGAACATGATGTCCCACTGTCTTCTGGCTTTCATTTTTGCTATCTGAGGTCATACTGTTTTCTGATAGTTTATATGTACCTTTGGAACGTTTTCTGTGTCCTAGTGTTCTGAAATTTTATGTTTGTATGCCTTGGCATGCCCATTCAATCTATTGACATTCTTTATTCCTGAGGGATGTTTTTCTATTATTTCTTCGATGATTCCCTCTGAGAGAATATTTTCTCAGTTCTCTTTTTCCGTAACTCTTATTACTTGAGTGTTTGACTTCTGATTTGAGCCTACAAGCTTATCTTTTCTCTCCTATAAAACAAATTTTATTAAATATTGAATAAATTAAAAATTATCTTTATAAAATATGTGTAAATTAAAAGAATAACAATGCAAACAGTGCCACCATCAACTTTAACAAGAGTGACACCAGTGAACTTCAAGCTTCCATGTGACCTTCCCAGATCCAATTGCCTTCTTTCCCACCTTAGAGGTAACCACTACTCTGAATTGTGTTTACAGTGCACTTTTCTTTGTAGTTTTATCACATACTTCTGTATCTCTAAAGAACATACTGCTTAGTTTTTAAGGTGCTTCAATTTTATATTAATGGAATCAGACTATGATTTCTGAGATTCGCTTTTTTGATTTTATGTTGAATGCTTGACACTCACCCATGTTGTCATATGAAGCAGTAGTTTGTTAATTTTCACAGTATTTATGCATAAGTCATAATTTATTTATGCATTCTTATGTTAATGGGCATTTGGGCTTTTTCCAATTTCTTACTATTAAAAACATTGCTCCTATGATTACTCACCAGCAAATCTCCTAGTTCTAACATATATACCTAGGAATGGGATTGCTGGGTAATGGAATGAGTGCATCTTCAACTTTACTGGAAAATACCAAATTGTTTCTCAAACTGGTTATACCAACTTATACTTCTATTGCCACTGTAGAAGAGTTCCAATTGTTTCCCATCTTTGCCAACACTTAATTTCATTATCACTTGAGTTATTGTTAATTAGAGGTATGTGAAGTGATACCATACTATGGTTTTAAAATGCATTTCTCTGATTATTTATAAGGTCAAGCAATCTTTTTATGTTTATTGAAAATTTATAACATTTGTATTTCTTTTTCTGTTCAAGTCTTTTTGTCCACTTTTAAAAAATTATGTTGCTTGTCTTTTTTTTTCTTTTATTTCTACAGCCAGGAGTTCTTCATATATTTTGAATACTAATCTTCTTTCTGTTACTTATGTTGCAAATATCTTCTCCCAGTTTGAGGATTTTTGGGTTATTTTAAGCTATCTTGTATTGATCTTAATTTTTTTCTTTTCTTTTTTTTTTTTTTTTGAGACGGAGTCTTGCTCTGTTGCCCAGGCTGGAGTGTAGTGGTATGATCTCGGCTCACTGCAACCTCCAGCTCCCAAGTTCAAGTGATTCTCCTGCCTCAGCCTCCCGAGTAGCTGGGATTACAGGTGCCTGCCACCACACCTGGTTAATTTTTGTATTTTTAGTAGAGACAGGGTTTCACCACTTTGGCCAGGCTGGTCTCGAACTCGTGACCTCATGATCCGCCCGCCTCAGCCTCCCAAAGTGCTGGGATTACAGGTGTGAGCCATCGTTCCTGGCTGAAGAGGATCCTAATATTAATGTAGTTTGGGTCTTATTTAAGGAATCACCACTCTAGGCTGGGCGTGGTGGCTTGCACCTGTAATCCCAGCACTTTGGGAAGCCAAAGTGGGAGGATCGCTTGAGGCCAGGAGTTCAAAATCAGCCTGGGTAATATAGTGAGACCCTGCTTGTAAAAAAAAAAAAAAAAAAAAAAAAAAAAAAAAAAAAAAATTAGCTGGGCATGGTAGGCATGCACCTGTAGTCCCAGCTATTACAGAGGCTGAGGCAGGAGGATCACTTGAGCCCAGGAGATTGAGGTTGCAGTGAGCCATGCATTCTAGCCTGTATGATAGAGTTAGATCCTGTCTCAAAACAAAACAAACAAACAAAAACAAAGAAATCTCACTCATTCTGAAGTCATACAGATATTTAGATATCTTCCATATTATCTCCTAAATGTTTTTGGGTATTGCCGTTTGCATTCAAGTTCTTTAATCTATCCAGAATTTATTCAAATTTTCCCATATATAAAACCATCTAGACCTGGTGTGTTTTCTTTGTGGGAAAATTTATCAGATTTAAATTGATCTAATTAAACTGATTTAATGGTTAGAAGGTTATCAGCTTTTCCATTTCTTCTTGAATCAGGTTTGGTAAATTACATATTTCTAGGATTTTGTTCTTTTCACCTGTATTTCAAAATGTACTACCTTAAAGTAATATATAATATCCTTATGTTATCTTTTTTTTTTTTTTTTTTTTTTTTGAGATGGAGTCTTGCTCCATCGCCCAGGCTGGAGTGCAGTGATGCAATCTCGGCTCACTGCAATGCCCACCTCCTGGGTTCAAGTGATTCTCCTGCCTCAGTCTCCTGAGCAGCTGGGATTACAGGCGCCCACCACAACACCTGGCTAATTTTTGTATTTTTAGTAGAGACGGGGTTTCACCATGTTGGCCAGGCTGGCCCTTGTATTACCTTTTAAAACCCCATAGCATCTATGGCTACATTCTTTTTTAAAATTTTATATATATATTTTTTATTTTAACATAAGTTATTGGGGTACAGGTGGTATTTGGTTACATAAGTTCTTTAGTGGTGATTTGTAAGATTTTGGTGTACCCATCACCCATGTATACACTGCACCATATTTGTAGTCTTTTATCCCTCGCCCACCTCCCACTCTTCCCCCCAAGTCCCCAAAGTCCATTGCATCATTCTTATGCCTTTGTGTCCTCATAGCTTAGCTCCCACATATCAGTGAGAACATATGATGTTTGGTTTTCCATTCCTGAGTTACATCACTTAGAATAATAGTCTCCAATCTCATCCAGGTCACTGCAAATGCTGTTAATTAATTCCTTTTTATGGCTGCATAGTATTCCATTGTATATATATATCACAGTTTCTTTATCCACTCATTGATGGGCATTTGGGTTGGTTCCACGATTTTGCAATTGTGAATTTTGCTGCTATAAATATGTGTGTGCAAGTATCTTTTTTTGAATAATGACTTCTTTTCCTGTGGGTAGATACTCAGTAGTGGGATTGCTGGATCAAATGGTAGTTTTACTTTTAGTTCTTTAAGGAAACTTCACAGTTTTTCATAGTGGCTGTACTAGTTTATATTTCCACCAGCCGTGTAGAAGTGTTCCCTGTTCACCACATCCACGCCAACATCTACTGTTTTTTTTTATTTTTTGATTATGGCCATTCTTGCAGGAGTAAGGTGATATTGCATTGTGGTTTTGATTTGCATTTCCCTGATCATTAGCAATGTTGAGCATTTTTTCATATGTTTGTGGCCCATTTGTATATCTTCTTTTGAAAATTGTCTATTCATGTCCTTAGTCCACTTTCTGATGGGGTCGTTTGTTTTTTTCTTACTGATTTGTTTGAGTTCATTGTAGATTCTGGATATTTGTCCTTTGTCAGATGTATAGATTGTAAAGATTTTCTCCCACTCTGTGGGTTTTCTGTTTACTCTGCTGACTGTTCCTTTTGCCATGCAAAGGCTCTTTAGTTTAATTAGGCCCCAGATATTTATCTTTGTTTTTATTGCATTGGCTTTTGGATTCTTGGTCATGAAATCCTTGCCTAAGCCAATGTCTAGAAGGGTTTTTCCAATGTTATCTTCTAGAATTTTTATAGTTTCAGGTCTTAGGTTTAAGTCCTTAATCCATCTTGAGTTGATTTTTGTACAAGGTGAGAGATGAGGATCCAGTTTCATTCTCCTACATGTGGCTAGCCAATAGCCCCAGCACCAAAAGGGTGTCCTTTCCCCACGTTTTGTTTGTGTTTTCCCCACTTTATGTTTTGTTTGCTTTGTCAAAGATCAGTTGGCTGTAAGTACTTGGGTTTATTTCTGGGTTCTCTATTCTGTTCCATTGGTCTATGTACCTATTTCTATACCAGCACCATGCTGTTTTGGTGACAATGGCCTTATAGTATAGTTTGAAATCGGGTAGTGTGATGCCTCCAGATTTGTTCTTTTTGCTATGCGGGCTCTTTTTAGGTTCCATATGAATTATAGAATTGCTTTTTGTAATTCTGTGAAGAATGATGGTGGTATTCTGATGGAAATTGTGTTGAATTTGTAGATTGCTTTTGGCAGTATGGTCATTTTCACAATATTGATTCTACCCATCCATAAGCATGGGAGGGCGAGACAAGACCGCTTGAAAATTTGCCCAAGGCTATCTGCCTCCCAGCTTTGAGAGAAAAGGGCTTTAATTCTTCCCCCACCTGTGAAGTCTGCACTCTGGATTTGTGTCCTCCCCCAAGTTCTGGCCAGGAGGCTTCTCACCCCATTTAAATTGTTACAAAGTTCAGCTGGAGAATTCCTTCTCCCTGTGGAGTTTAACCACCTGCTCCTCTGGCCACCCTCCCAATGGATTCCTGTGGTACCAGGCAGGAATGGGCTGCCTGGGGACCCAGCGAGCTCCCAGGGCTATTCTGCTGCTTCCTCTACCCTTGTATTTCGCTCCGCTCTCTAACTTGACTCAGCCCCAGGTAAAGTAGGAAACTTCTCCCACAAACAGACCTTCTGCTTCTCCAGTGCGGGGGTGTGTTCGGCAGAGGAGGGTCTCCCTTTCCCACTTCCGCAGTTGGGGCACTCATAGTTTTGGGGGGTCTCCCGGGTCCTGCAGGAGCAGTTCACTTCATTCAAAGGGTCTGTGGGTCCTCCGGGGACCCACAGAACTGCTGCTTCGTTCTTGCAGTCAATCTGGAGCTAAAATTCACAGTGCAAGCCTCCACACGCTGCTCTATCTGGAGCTGCAATCTAGTCCTGCCTCCCATCCACCATGATCCCCTGAATCAGTTGTTTATATTTTTAACTACTGATCTATGGTTACATTCTTAATATGGTTCATTCTTGTCACTTTTCTTTCTTTGAATTAATCTTGTTATATGTTTGCCTATTTTGGATTTTTTAAGAACTAAATTTTGGCTTTGTCAACATTCCTTTGTCAACAGAAAAACATTCTGTTTTTCATTTCCTTATTTTGGTTATTATATTTATAATTTCTTCCTTTTACCTTCTTCGGGTTATCCTGTTCTTTTCTCACTACTGAAGTTGGATACTTAGCTCCTTATTTTACAAATGAATTCTACTAAATAATAAAGGAACTAACAATTCTAATCACATACAAAGTATTCTAGATTATAGAAATAGAGGGAACACTTGCCAACTCATTTTGAGGTTAGCATAACCTCGATACTAAAACTTGACAGAGAGGATATGAGAGAACATGGCAAAGGAAAATTACAAGCCTAGTTTTCTCAGAAATATGTAGATGCAAAAATCCTAGACAAAATCTAGCAATATACAAAAATGACAAAAATGACCACGATGACTTTTCCTCAGCAGTTTAGGGTTTAATTGATTAGAAAATCAATTAATACAATTCTTCATAGTACCAAAATAAATAAGAAAGGGCACATGGTAATTTCTATAGATGCAGAAAAACATTTTTTGAGGACATTATCCATTAATTATAAAAATTCTTAGCAAGTTAAGAAGGAAATTTCCTTTGCTGGATATAGAGTATCTACAAAACTATACAGCAAATATCATAATTAATATTGAAACATTAAATGTATTCCCCCCTTAAAATCAGGAACAACAAAAAGTGGCAGCTATAACCACTTCTTTTCTTTTTTGTTTTGAGACAGGGTCTCACTCTGTGGCCCAGGCTCGAGTGCAGTGGTGCAATCACAGCTCACTGCAGCCTTGGCCTTCCGGCTCAAGTGATCCTCTCACCTCAGCCTCCCGAGTGGCTGGGACTGCAGGTGTGTGCCGCCACTTGGCTAATTTTTAAATTTTGTGTAGAGATGGGGTCTTGCTATATTGTCCAGGCTGAGCCACTTCTTTTCAACACAGGACTGCATATTCTAACCAGTACAGTAAGAAAAGAGAGAGAAACAAAAGGTATAAGGATTAAAAAGAAACAAAAATGTATTGGTCACAGACGACATTATGGTATGCATAGAAAGCTAAAAAAAAAAAACTAGAATTAATAAGAGAATTTAGTAGTTTTGCTGTAGCAAAAAAAAAATCAACCTACAAAAAGCAATTGCATTTATTTATTTATTCATTCATTTATTGAGATGGAGTCTCACTCTGGCACCCAGGTGGAGTGCAGTGGCGTGATCTCGGCCCACTGAAACCTTCACCTCCTGGGTTCAGGCAGTTCTCCTGCCTCAGCCTCCCAAGTAGCTGGGACTACAGGCATGTGCCATCACGCCCCACTAATTTTTTTTTTTTGTATTTTTAGTAAGACGGGGTTTCACCATGTTGGCCAGGCTGGTTTTGAACTCCTGATCTCAAGTGATCTGCCTGCCTCTGCCTCCCAAAGTGCTGGGATTACAGGTGTGAGCCACTGTGCCTGGCCAGCAATTGCATTTATATACAATAACAATCAACAGAGAACGTAAAACAATTATAGCTTCTAAAAGTATAGCATACCATAAAATAAACATGACAAAAGATATGTCAGAATTTTGATGAGAAAGTAAAAAATTCTGCATTGTAAATAAGCATGGAAAGTCTAAATAATTGAGAAGAAATAGCATGTTTATGAAAGAGTAAATTCAATACTATGAACATGTTGATATATAGTTTGATACAGTTCCAACGAAAACCTCAAAAGGTATTTTTTGTAAAACTTGAAAAGCTGACTAAAATATTTGTTGAGGATTAGAGAAGCAGGAATAGTCAAGATACACCTAATAAAAGAAAACTAAGAGGAGGAACTCATTTTCCCATTATCAATAACTATTTGAAACCTATAGTAATGAAGACAGTGTGATATACAGCAATGGAAAAAGAAATCTCTGTGGAGAAACAAATCTCCCAGAAAACAAATTTATGTGGAGGAAGAACCACTCCAAAGACCTTTTCACCTGCCCAGTACTGTCACAGGAGTAAGAAATACATTTCCATTGTGTTTCCGCCATTTTATATTTTTGAATCTCTTTTTTAAAGCATTAGCCTCTTCTAGTACAACTTCTATTGCTTTAGCAGTCATCCTATAAATTTTGATATGCAAATAGTAACATCAATATTTAAATTAAGACCTCTACCTGTTAAAAACACAAGAACTTTAGAGAATTTCAACTTTAATCACCATCTGCCTGACTTACTTACTACTGCTATTGGATGTCATTGTTCTATTTTTTTAACCCTAAGATCTTTTTGCTTTTGAACTCAATGTTTTAGATTACGCACATATTTACTACTTTATTTGCTCATTTTCTCTTTTTACATCTTGAACCTTCCATCTGAGATCACACCTTTTCTGTCCACAGTACATTCTGTACAAGTTCTTTTATGAGGAAGTCTGTTGGTGCCAAATTCTCAGTATAGTAAGTCCTCACTTAATGTCATTGGGAGGTTCTTGGAAACAGAGACTTTAATCAAAATGACATACAGCAGGTCCTTGAATAATGTTGTTTTGTTCAATGTCATTTTGTTATAACATTGATGATTGATGAGAAAAGAAAATTGGTTTCATTACATGTCATTTCACTTAAAGTTGCAGTTTTTTTGTTGTTGTTGTTGTTTTGCTTTTGTTTTTTGAGACAGAGTCTCGCTCTGTCACCCAGGCTGGAGTGCAGTGGGGCGATCTCGGCTCACTGCAAACTCCACCTCCCAGGTTCAAGCAATTCTTCTGCCTCAGCCTCCCGAGTAGCTGGGACTACAGGTGTGCATCACCATACCTGGCTAATTTTTGTATTTTTAGTAGAGACGGGGTTTCATTATATTGGCCAGGCTTGTCTCGAACTCCTGACCTCATGATCCACCCGTCTCGGCCTCCCAAAGTGCTGGGATTACAGGCGTGAGCCACTGTGCCCGGCCTAAAGTTGCAGTTTCTAAGAACCTATTGACAGTGTGAAGTGAGGACTTGCTGTATTTGGAAATATCTTTATTTTGCCTGCAGCCCTGTTTTAGGGGGTGCGGGAGAGTTCAAGTGGCCACAGTTTTAAAAATTCACAGGAAATCAAATGCAACAAAATTAGGATAGTGAGACCTTGATGAATACATCCTCCCGGAACAAAGTCCCCACAAGCAAAGAGTGAAGTGGAGGCTTGACAGAGAGTTATTGTCCTTCACCTCTGCACAAGGCATGCATCAGGCGGGGAGGGGACACGACATTACCCCTCAGATCCCTCCACAACGAGCCGGGGGCCTAATGTAGCTGAGAGCAAGATTGCACTGCGCTGAATCAGGGGACTGGCTCATCCGGGAGTGGCCAAGAACTGTGGATGCCGTGGGTGTGGGCAGACCCCACCGTGCTTCACCTGGAAGTGAAGTGGAGTTTCCTACCAAGCCCTCCATGTAAGGCTCCAGCGTTGCATGACTTCTGCTTCTCGAATTCACCTGCTCAGGGGCCAGACTTCCATGCGCTTACTCAGTGCAGACAAGAGCAAAGTGGGTGAAGTCTGGGGATGTGAGACATTCTTTTCTATCTCCTGAAACTGGCTTCTTGCCTTGTCATCTTATGCTGCTGCTGCCACCTAGCTTTAACCAGATATCACCCAAAGACAATGTCTTGTTGGCTTGAAAGCTGCTACAGTGGCGAGAGGCGGCAGGAACACCAAGACCACAGACGACAGTACAAAGCCTACTTTCTCGAACCCTTTCAGCCTGACTCCCTCCATTTTAAAGAAATATGTATAATCATTCCCATGCCAGGACCAAGTCACTGGCAGGGTTCTTAACAGCAAAGTGGAGAAAAGGGAGGCCTAAGCAGATTGAACCTATTCCAAAAGAATGTCTTCATCCATCTGAGGCCTATGAGTTCTCAATGAAGGTTGTGAGGTTTACCAAAAGCTGTGAGATTTGTTTTGCTTCATTAAAAGATTGTTTTCCAGGTGGAGGTGAGCTCAAGTATCACCTGGGACAAGTGTCAAATTATAGATTCTGTCAACTTTAGCATAAATACTGAATTCTTACGTCTGGGGCAGCGTTAGCCAATAGAAATATCATACAAGCCACATATGTGATTTTAAATGTTCTAGTCATCACGTTTATAAAAAAGAGAAATAGGTGATATTCATTTTAATATTCGATATTATTTAAATAACATATTTATTTAATTTTAATTGTGTATATATATATATATATATATATATTTTTTTTTTTGAGGCAGGGGCTTGCTCTGTCACCCAAGCTGGAGGGCAGTAGTGTGATCACGGCTCACTGCAGCCTTGACCTCCTGGGCTCAAGCGATCCTCCCAGCTCAGCCTCCCAAGTAGCTGGGACTACAGGCGTGCGCCACCACATCAGGCTAATTTTTTAAATTTTTGTAAAGACGAGGTCTCACTATGTTGCCCAGGCTGGTCTCAAACTCCTGGGCTCAAGCAGTCTTCTTGCCTTGGCTTCCAAAGTGCCGAGACTACAGGCATGAGCCACTGTGCCCAGCCTTAATATTAGATTTTATTTAAATAGATTCCAATAGATTTGATTTTAATTGATTGTGTTAATCTTAATGATATATTTATTATTTACAATTAAGATAATATATTTTCTTTGTATATCCAAAACATTATCATTCCAACACATGAGCAATACAAAACTTTTATTAATGAGATGTCTTTAAATTATTTGTGTATTTATACTTATGGCACATCTCAGTTTGAACTAGCCACACTTGCAGTACTTACTGGGCACGTATGGCTGTGGTTGCTTTTTGGATAGTGCCACTCTAGGGAAAGACCCTAGAAACCTGTAAGTGTAAAAGCATCCCAGGTGATTCTTATCAAGTAAGTCTGGCAAGTGCTTTAAGGAATGGACTCTAAACAATGAGCTTTTGTGCCATTTTGATGGCCTCACGGATACGTATGTAACACTGGAGTGAAAGGGGCCTGACAGGTCACAGTTCCTCCCTTTTACAGATGAGAAAACAGAAGGAACTGATTTGCCAAGGTTACGTGTCTGCTGGAACTAGAATCCAAGTCGACAGGTGCTTCATTTTTTATTTTTTCCACTGCATTTGTATGTGTTCTTCAGACTGTCTGAATAATGGGAAAAAGCTATCAGAGTGACATTTTCCCAATCTGGTGAACCTACCCCCGTCTCAATCCACGCTTGATTTTGAGGTAATAAAATAGTGAAAACTAAAAACTGCTACTGACTGGGTGCCTGCTGTGTTCCAGGCACTGTACTGTGTGCTACTTACATACTATATGCGAACTTTCACAATGAACCTGTAAATATTATGCCCATTTTGAGGATGAGAAGAGTAAGGACATGTTCAAGTTTGCAAATGGGTCAGTGGCAGGGAGAGAGTTTGAACCGGGGTCTAGTGCCTAGACCACATCCTTCTGCCTATGCGTGCTGCTAAGGCATGGGCTGGAGATTCTGAGATGGCACCAAAGGTGGTATAAAGCTCATCCCCTGGCATATGGCCCAGTCACCACTGCCATGGCCCTTCCCGAGGCTTGGGAGCATTTCTCTAGCACAGCCCACCTCTTTGGAAGGGTTGCTGGTCCCCTTCAACCCTCTGCTATGGGGCATGCCCTTTCAGTTCTCCGAGCCATCATAGCAAGGATGGAAAAAGTCCTCTACCCTAACCACATCTCCATCCTTAGCTCTAGGGCCTGAAGCTCTGGCAGTGGAATTCTCAGGCTCTCAGTTCAAATCGCAGCAGGGGAATCTTCCTCACACACAAATCTGCCATTAATTGGATCTGGAAAGTGCCACAGATGGGGGAAAATGATGAGGTAGCCACGCCTTTGTATTTGGTTTGGCAAACATCTAGGAGACCAAGTGTTCGGGGTTGGTATATTTTAGAACCTAGTCCATCAGTTTGGAATCGAGCTTACACCATCTACACAGAACATAAAGAAATGTGTGTGCGTTGGGGTGGGGGTGGTTGGAGAAAGTCTTAAAATTGACACACTGTGTTCAGAATAAGCAAAGTTCTTCTTTCACTCCAAAGAAGGACAGGGAGCTTAGAACAAAAGCAAGTTTTCTCTGGTCTACTCAGACCCCAGTATTTTCTAATTAAATCAAGCCAGGTGAAAATCTGCAACAAGCGATGGTTAAGTTAGCCTTACAGGAGAAAGGAAGTAAGAACAGCCGGCAGAGAGGTGGGTACCAAAAGTGGGAGCAACCAAAGCTTTGCCTTTGGGACCCTGTGAAGGGGCCACAGGGATAGCTTCAAGGACAGACCAGTGGGAGCGGCATCACTCCACTTGTTAGACATGCAGATTCTTGGACCACACCCCAGACCTAGCGATTCAGAAACTTAGGTTGCGGTCTCGCAATATGTGGTTTAAACAGAACTTCCAGGTGATTGTGATGCGTGCTCAGGTGCCAGACTCATTGCTTTTGGACGATACAGTAGTTCTCAAAGAGTGGTATATTAGGCTCGCACAGTGGGGGCTTTTTTGGAAAAAAAAAAAAAAAAAAGTCTGCCTGGGCCCATCTTGGAGACATTGTGATTTAATTGGTCTAGAGCAGGGCCTGGACACGTGAACATTTGAAAAGCTCCCCAGGAGATTCTAATGTGCAGCCAGAGTTGAGAACCACTGCTTTAGGGAATGGGGTCCCGGATCCTGGGCCCGGCCCTACCCTCACCGGCGGAGTGACCTTGGACCCTTCACAGGTCTGCCTCCAGTTCTTTTCTCTCTCAAAAGGCATTGGGAAGTGAGTTGTTGTCAACGACCTCCAGGGCATCTCCCAGCTTTAGCAGGCTTGGGGGCACCAGCCAGTGGTGACTCTAAAGCTTCCTCCTAAGCCCCTGGCTATTGCTTGTAACTGGGGACTAGTGCCCGTAAAGGGTGGGGTTCGAGACAACCCCCTACTCAGCATCTGGGAATAAAAGGGCTGACTGCTGAAAACTGACATCCCCAAGGAGTTGATGTGATCCATTGAGCTTGCAGAGATGACCTTCTGGAAAGCCCTTGGTATGTTATCATCCCGAATAATGAATTAGCAGGAAAAATTTCTCCTTATTCTCGTAAAGCTGTTGACAGGCCACTTACGAAACGTTTCCAAAAAAGAAAAAAAAAAAAGTCTTACTATTGCAGAGGAAGGCTTGCCTTGCTGCTCAGACTGTGGTTCATGGATGGGCAGTGTCAGCATTACCCGGCTTGCTAGCAATGCAGAATCTCAGGCTCCATCCTTGATCTATGAATCAACATCTGCATTTTTTTTAAATTATACTTTAAGTTCTGGGATACATGTGCAGAATGTGCAGGTTTGTTACATACGTATATACATGCCATGGTGGTTTGCTGCACCCATCAACCCGTCATCTACATTGGGTATTTCTCCTAATGCTATCCCTCCCCTAGCCCCCAGCGCCCCTCCCCATCGACAGGCCCCAGTGTGTGATGTGTCCATGTGTTCTCATTGTTTGACTCCCACTTATGCGTGAGAACATGGGGTGTTTGGTTTTCTGTTCCTGTGTTAGTTTGCTGAGAACGATGGTTTCCAGCTTCATCCATATCCCTGCAAAGAACATGAACTCATCCTTTTTTATGGCTGCATAGTATTCCATGGTGTATATGTGCCACATTTTCTTTATCCAGTGTATCATTGATGGGCATTTGGGTTGGTTCCAAGCTTTGCTATTGTGAATAGTGCTTCAATAAACATACATGTGCCTGTGTCTTTATAGTAGAATGATTTATAATCCTTTGGGTATATACCTAGTAATGGGATTGCTGGGTCAAATGGTATTTCTAGTTCTAGATCCTTGAGGAATTGCCACACTGTCTTCCACAATGATTGAACTAATTCACACTCCCACCAATAGTGTAGAAGCATTTCTGTTTCTCCACATCCTCTCCAGCACCTGTTGTTTCCTGACTTTTTAATGATTGCCATTCTAACTGGTGTGAGATGGCATCTCATTGTGGTTTTGATTTGCATTTCTCTAATGACCAGTGATGATGAGCTTTTTTTCATATGTTTATTGGCCGCATAAATGTCCTCTTTTGAGAAGTATCTGTTCATATCCTTTGCCCACTTTTTGATGGGGTTGTTTTTTTTCTTGTAAATTTAAGTTCCTTGTAGATTCTGAATATTAGCCCTTTGTCAGATGGATAGATTGGAAAAATTTTCTCCTATTCTGTAGGTTGCCTGTTCACTCTGATGATAGTTTCTTTTGCTATGCAGAAGCTCTTTAGTTTAATTAGATCCCATTTGTCTGTTTTGGCTTTCGTTGCCATTGCTTTTGGTGTTTTAGACATGAAGTCTTTGTCCATGCCTATGTCCTGAATGGTATTGCCTAGGTTTTCTCCTAGGGTTTTTATGGTTTTAGGTATTACATGTAAGTCTTTGATCCATCTTGAGTTAATTTTTGTATAAGGTGTAAGGAAGGGGTCCAGTTTCAGCTTTCTACATATGGCTAGGCAGTTTTCCCAGCACCATTTATTAAATAGGGAATCCTTTCCCCATTGCTTGTTTTTGTCAGGTTTATCAAAGATCAGATGGTTGTAGATGTGTGGCGTTATTTCTGAGGCCTCTGTTCTGTTCCATTGGTCTATATATCTGTTTTGGTGCCAATACCATGCTGTTTTGGTTACTGTAGCCTTGTAGCATAGTTTGAAGTCAGGTAGCGTGATGCCTCCAGCTTTGTTCTCTCAATAAACTAGGCATTGATGGAACATATCTCAAAATAATAAGAGCTATTTATGACAAACCCACAGCCAATATCATACTGAATGGCCAAAAACTGGAAGCATTCCCTTTGAAAACCACCAAAAGACAAGGATGCCCTCTCTCACCACTCCTGTTCAACATAGTATTGGAAGTTCTGGCTAGGGCAACTAGGCAAGAGAAAGAAATAAAGGGTATTCAAATAGGAAGAGAGGAAGTCAAATTGTCTCTGTTTGCAGATGACGTGATTGTATATTTAGAAAACCCCATCATCTCAGCCCAAAATCTCCTTAAGCTGATAAGCAACTTCAGCAAAGTCTCAGGATACAAAATCAATGTGCAAAAATCACAAGCATTCCTATACACCAATAATAGACAAACAGAGAGCCAAATCATGAGTGAACTCCCATTCACAATTGCTACAAAGAGAATAAAATACCTAGGAATACAACTTACAAGGGATGTGAAGAACCTCTTCAAGGAGAACTACAAACCACTGCTCAAGGAAATAAGAGAGGACACAAACAAATGGAAAAACATTCCATGCCCATGGATAGGAAGAATGAATATCATGAAAATGGCCATACTGCCCAAAGTGATTTGTAGATTCAATGCTATCCCCATCCAGCTACCATTGACTTTCTTCACAGTATTAGAAAAAACTACTTTAAATTTCATGTGGAACCAAAAAAGAGTCCGTATAGCCAAGACAATCCTAAGCAAAAACATCTGCATTTTATCAGGCCCCCTGGGCAATCATATGTACATTACAGTTTGAGAAGTGCTACTTCGAGCATGTAGCTATGAGACTTTTTAGATGGGGGCCTGTTATGGACTGAATTATGTCCCACACTAAAATTGATATGTTGAAGCCTTAACCTCCAATACCTCAGAATGTGACTGTACTTGCAGACCGGGCCTTTACAGAGGTGAGTAAGGCTAAATGAGGTCTTTAGGGTGGGCCCTAATCCAATTTGACTGGGATCCTAATAAGAAGAAGAGGCAATGGGCATGTGCCTTGTGAGGGCACGGTGAGAAGACGGGCCTCTGCAAGCCCAGGAGAGAGGCCTCAGGAGAAACCAGCCCTGTGACATCTTGATCTTGGACGTCCAGTCTCCAGAACTGTGAGAAAATAAGCTTCTGCTGTTTAAGCCACCCAGTCTGTGGTATTTTGCTATGGCAGCCCTAGCAGACTAATATAGGGCCTCTGCTAGGATTTAAGCTCCATGAGATTTTATTCACTGATGTATATCCCCAGTATCTGGTACATAGTAGGCACGTGATGAATATTTGTTGAGTAAAAAAAAATGTTGATCCCCACTTATTTGGTATCATTAATCCAGGGGCACGTTCATAGGCTACATTTTTGAGAGGGGGCAGTTACAGGGTGTTCTGCTCATCCTTTTTAAAAAATGGTGTGAAATGCCAAGGCATATTCCTTTTTCAAGTAAGGCCTCTAAGAGTTCTGGAAAAACTACATAACATTTCCAGTACTTTTTCTCTTTCCTAACTTCTGTAGCACATTTTGCCATGTGACTGGTGTTCCCTTTAATCTCAGAGAAGACTCTGCATTCCCAAAAAATGTTCTTATAGGTGGGGTTAATGCCTCCCAGAGAGAAAGGGAGGAATTAGAACTACACGCTCACCAGATGCCAGGTTATCTGGAAATACACAGAAAACATCACAGTATATGGAAGCAAATTAAAACCGTTTACCTGCAGCTGAAGCCCACCCAGCTTAAATGTTCTCTTGGTGAAAGGCTGTAAAAGGAAGGGAACCCCACCCCCAACCCAAGTGTAACACTTGTTAAAGAAATTACATCGCATTCAAAGAACAGAATACTACACAGCTGTGAAAAAGAATGAGGCCACTCTATTTCTTAGATGCAACAACTTACTAGACATAGGAGGGGAAAAAGCAAGCTGGCTTTTTTGTTTTTGTTTTTGTTCTGAGACAGGGACTTGCTCTATCACCCAAGCTGGAGTGCAGTGGTGTGATCTCAGCTCACTGCAACCTCAACCTCCTGGACTCAAGCGATCCTCCCACCTCAGCTTCCCAAGTAGCTGGGACTACAGGAGTGTGCCATCATGCCCAGCTAAGTGTTTTTTTGTTTTTTTGTTTGTGTGTTTGTTTTTGTAGAGATGGGGTCTCACCGTATTGCTAGGGCTGGCAAGGTGATTTTTGTGTATAAATGGGGCTATGTGAATTTACATATGCTTGTATACGTATAGAATATTTCTGGAAAGATAAACAAGAGTGGTAACCTCTCAGGAGAGTTTTAGGGATCTAAGAAGGAAGACTTACTTTTCATTATATACTCTTGTGATCTGCTTGCACATGTTACTATGTATATGTATTACATTTTTAATCTAAAATTTGCTTATGTGAAAATAAATAAAAACTTGTTAGTCCAGAGCTTGAAGCAAAACACAGTGCCCAAGCTCTCTAACTCTCTCTGGAACAAAAAGAATTTTTTTTTCTTATCTCCCAGCTTATTCTCTGTGGCACCTTCCCTGCCCTATGTCACTCAGACCCCACAGTCATAATTGGTGCTACAGTGGCACCTGGCCACTGCAGCAGCAATTTTCTCCTTTCCGTTCAATCGACCTTTGGCCAATATATTTTTTAATGCCCATAGAAATTGGGGCCCCATGATTGGAATCATTAAAAAGAAATCTAAAACTAATCCTTCACCCAGTAGTCCTTTCATCCCCACCCTGAGAAACTATTTTATTTCGTTTTCCCTCGCCATGAAAACAGCATGTTTAAGCATTTCCTTTTCCAAAGAGATGTCAAAAGTCCCCATGAGGCTTCAGAGGGCAGACCCTCAGCAGCCACAACCCTCTATAACACAGAGTCCTAAACTTGGAAATAAGCAACAACTAAAAAAACTCTTTAAATCCCTAAAATAGTGGTTGTCGCTGAGTCAGGAGAATAGGGTCTGGAGGCAGGGAACCTAAGGCCGATTCACACTGACTTCTTAGAAATAAATTAAAAGAAAAACCCCAAATTCCCATGCCCAAGTAACAAAAGGACCAGAAGCTACTCCCTTTGCAACCCCCCTCTTTTCTGTGTGGCAGATGAAAAATTGAAAGTACCCCTGATTGATCCCCTCCGGAAACCAATCAGGCTGGTCGTGGGCCAAGTCTTCATTTGCATAGGAGTATAACTTTGTAACTTCAGTCTCTGATTGGTCACTTTCTGCAACCAATCAGATGTTTGCATAGAGTGTAACTAACTTCACTTCAGCCTCAGACTGATCACAAGCCACTACTTCATTTAGATAGGGTGTACACCAAGTAACCAATGGGAAACCTCTAGAGAGTATTTAAACCCCAGAAAATTCTGTAACCCAGGCTTTGAGCCGTTTTCTTGGCATGCTCCCACCCTGTGGAGTGTGATTTTGTTTTCAATAAATCTCCGCTTTTGTTGCTTCATTCTTCCCTTGTTTTGTTTGTGTGTTTTGTCCAATTATTTGTTCAAAGCACCAAGAACCTGATCATCCTCCACTGGTAATATCACCAAGCCCTATGTTAATGCTCTGGACTTTGTTTCCTAAATCAGTGGTCCTCAAATGAGCATGAATCAGAATCCCTGGGAGGACTTAAGTCACAGATTACTGGGTCCCACCCCTAGAGTGTCTGATTCAGTAGGTCTGGAGCAGGGCCCAAGAATTTTTATTTCTACCAGGTTCTCAAGCGAGTCTGCTGGTCCTGGTCCGGGGACCACACTTAGAATCCAGGACTTCTAAAGAATTACCCTAAGGCAGTGACTGTCACTAAAAGCTTGACTAACTCTTTTAAAAGTGTACATTCTTAACATTTTTATCATAAAAACTGTGTGTATTCATTGAAGGAAATTTTGTTTAAAAATGAAAAGCAGAAAGAAAAATGTATCAGCCATAGTGCCAATATCCAGACCCAATCACTCTTTAAAAATTTTTTTTTAATTTTTTATTTCAATAGTTTTTGGGGTATAGGTGGTTTTTTTGTTACATGGATAAGTTCTTTAGTGGTGATTTCTGGAATTGGTGCACCCATCACCCAAGCAGTGTACACTGTACCCAATATGTAGTCTTGTATCCCTTACCCCCTCACCCTTCTCCCACAAGTCCCCAAAGTCCATGATATCATTCTTATGCCTTTGCATACCCATAGCTTAGCTCCCACTTCTAAGAACATACAATATTTGGTTTTCCATTTCTGAGTTACTTAGAGTAATGGCCTCCAGCTCCATCGAAGTTGCTGCAAAAGACATTTCGTTCCTTTTTATGGCTGAGTAGTATTCCATGGGTTATCTATACCACATTTTCTTTATCCACTCGTTGGTTGATGGGCACTTAGGTTGGTTCCATATCTTTGCAATTGCAAATCGTGCTGCTATAAATATGCATGAGCTGTATCTTTTTCATATAATGACTTCTTTTCCTTTGGGTAGATACCCAGTAGTGGGATTGCTGGATCGAATGGTAGTTCTACTTTTAGTTCTTTAAGTGGAACAACCACTGTTTTCCATAGTGGTTCTACTAGTTTGCATTCCCACCAGCTGGGTAAAAGTGTTCCCTTTTCAACACATCCATGCCAACAGTTATTTTTTTTTTACGTTTTAATTCTGGTCATTCTTGCAGGAGTAAGGTGGTATCTCATTGTGGTTTTAAATTGCATTTTCCTGATTAGTGATGTTGGTCATTTTTTTCATATGTTTGTTGGCTTTTTGTATATCCTTTTTTTGAGAATTGCCTATTTATGTCATTTGCCCAGTTTTTGATGGGATTATTTTTTCTTCTTGCCAATCTGTTTGAGTTCCTTGTAGATTCTAGATATTAGTCCTTTGTCATACGCATAGTTTGCAAATATTTTCTCCCACTCTGTGGGTTGAGACAGGATCTCACTCTGTTGCCCAGGCTGGAGTGCAGTGGTGTGATCACAGCTCACGGCAGCCTTGACCTCTGAGGCTCAAGTGATCCTGCTACCTCAGCCTCCTGAGTAGCTGGGACCATAAGCTCGCACCAACCACTTCTGGCAATTTTTTTTTTTTAACTTTTTGTAGAGATGGGGTTACACTGTGTTGCCCAGGCTGGTCTCAAACTTCTAGACTCAAGGTACCTGCCCACATTGGCCTCCCAAAGTGCTGGGATTACAGATGTGAGCCCCCATGCCCAGTCTGGACCCAACCACACTTGACATTTTACTGGCTCTATACTTCTGAATAAGCCTGCTTATCCAAGTCCCCAGGCCACTGCAGATTAAAAGCTGATATCCAGGGCTGGGTGCGGTGGCTCACGCCTGTAATCCCAGCACTTTGGGAGGCCGAGGCGGGCGGATCACGACGTCAGGAGATCGAGATCATCCTGGCCAACATGGTGAAACTCCGTCTCTACTAAAACAACAAAAAAATTAGCCAAGCATGATGGCATGCGCCTGCAGTCCCAGCTGCTCAGGAGGCTGAGGCAGGAGGATTGCTTGAACCTGGGAGGCGGAAGCTGCAGTAAGCCGAGATTGTGCCACTGCACTCCAGCCTGGGTGACGCCTGGGCGACAGAGCGAGACTCTGTCTCAAAAAAAAAAAAAAAAAAAAAAAAAAAAAAAAAAAAAAAAAAAAAAAAAAAAAAAAGCTGCTATCCAGAATGTCATGGGAGTTAAGAGGGCAATTAAAAATGTCCCGAAAGATGGACTTGCTAAGTGGCAGCTGAGAGTGAAAGCAAGGAGAGGAAAATGTGAAAATGTGAGTGGATGCTGAACTACTTCACCATGTGACAGAATTGAGCCTGTTCTTCACCTTGACCTCATCATATACACATGGCATGATGGCACCTCTAAGGAGAGGCATCTGTCTCAGAGAATGAGAATGGCAGAGAAAAACGAGGACTTACTAAAAGAAGGAGCTGAGCCTTAGCTGCTTCCCAAAGGGAAACTTGGAGTTGAGCAGGCGAAGAGTAGGGGAAAAGGCACTCCAGGTCCAGGGGACAGCATTAGCTGAGGCCCAGATCCTTCCTGCACAGGCACCTAAGAAGAGCCGTACTTCCATCAGAGCACCACTAGAAGGGTAGAGAAGACTAGAGGGAAAGCCAGAGAGTTGGAGGCTGTGTCACAGAAGGTGCCCTATTCTCTCTTCCCAAGCTTGGACTTTATCCTACAAATAATGGGAAGCCGTTGAACCATTTTCAAACCCCAGTATGATGTGAGCAGGTGTAAACAGCCCATCGGTGAGTGTGAAGAGGGAGATGTAGCTTTTCCAGTAGTCCAGGCAGAGGTGGTGGTGAGCTCCAAGCATGAGGCAGAGGGACATAGGGGAGGATTGAGGAAATACTCAGAAGGCAAAATCAGTAGGGTTTGGGGACTGACTGGGGTGGGCATGAGAGAGGCAGAGCCCTGGAGACTGGCTCGTCAAAGGGCTGTGTCATTGGTCTCACCTCCACTCGAGGCAGATGGAGTTTGTTCCTCAGGGAGAAAGATGTGCTCAAGCTGGGCCATGGTGGGTTGGAGGTTTGAGATATTATCCTATTGGATAAGATCATCTTCCATATTCTCTATTAAAGAAAACAGATTGTATATATCACACTTCAGAATGATTTCACCTTTTAAAATGTAAGGGTTAAAATGAAAGATTTGGGCCCCCAAAGGAACTAGTTTCAATTTTCCAGAAAATTATGAATGCAAATTTCCTCATTCCCTAAGTCAGGAATTGCTGTGATGCAAATATGCCTTCACGTGATGTGAACTACGTTCATCAGGCAGCTTGTCCATCAACAGTTTCTAAGAGTCTTTGGGACTCAGAAGTTGCTTATTTCATGCATCTGAATCTCTACAAAACTGTTTTGGAAAAGCTTTGGCCTTAGCTCAGCTTTCCAATGACTTGTCAGGGCAGAGGTGAATGTAATCATCTTCTTAGAACACAAGTAGATTTCCTAGAAAAAGAGCAGCAAGGAACACCATGAACAGAATTGCCTCATGCTCTTGAGACATCTGTTCACCACCCAGGCCACTTGAGAAAAGAAATGAAAATGCACATCCAGAAAGCGAAGACTGAAGAAAAGGCACAATTACCAGGGCCTGAAAGTGCTGTCTTTGGTGGGGGCCACTTTAAAGTTCACCACAAACCGTGGTGAAAAAGAAAGGGGGCTTCCCTCGTTATCATTGCAGTGTTACGGGATGTAGGAAGTCTACGTCAACTTCTTTGCATCCTTATCAGTGCTTTCTACATTTGATAACCTTCAGTGAGGTGTCTGAAGAGCCAATCTGCCTGGGAAAGGATTCTTTTAAAGTGGACCTTACCCCTGGATACACGTTGGAATCACTTTGGCACACTATAAAAAGGTCAGATGCCTGGGTTTCATCCCCAGAAAGTCTGCTGTTATTGGTCTGGGGTATAACCTGGGCATCAGGCTTTTTAAAAAGTCTCCTCAGGCGATTTTAACATGTATCCAGGGGTGAGAAGCCATGCATTCAAGCCATACTGCTGACACTGAAAAAAACTTTTCCACAGTAGAAAGTTTTAATGTCCATACAGAAAGTACATAACTGAATTTGCAAGATCTGAAAACATTTGAGTTAAGGCAAAAGCAAGAAAAAGAAAACCTCCCCCCATTTGCTGAAATATTCACAGCTATGCCGAGCCCACTAGCCAATCAGACAGCTGGGCCACTAATGACCATCATGAACCTCGAAGTCCACATTAAAAAATGTGTACCAAGCGTGTGTAAGCTTAGCTGTTTGTCCATTTCTGTTGGTAGAGCTGAAATTGAACTCAGTTTCAAAAAGTAAGATTCCATATAGTTGTCACTTGCACATATGGAGAATTTACTAAGTGTTTGGCACTATTCTAAATGCTTAACATTTGCTAATTTATTTAATCTCCCCACCATACACACAGACAACCCCACATCACAGATGAGGGCATGGAGGCACAGAGAGGGTCAATAAGTTGCCCCAGGTCACAGCCAAGAAGTAGAAGAGTTGAGATTCAAACCCAGGACCCTGGAGCTTACACTTTTAACCCCCACACCATACAGCCGCTACCTTCACAGGAGAACCCCTAAATGAGAATGGGGATGGGGAGAGAGAATGCCATCTGCACCGTATGGGCATGGTGGGCGATGCAGGGAGGAGCCAGACATCTGCCTCCAGAGCTCACCAGCTTGTAAGAAAGGCCAGGGCAAAGACATAAGACACCACCAAAAGTAGAGCAAAAGAAGTGTACAAATGAATGTGAATGAGGGCTCAAAGGAAGACAGCTTGCTTTTTTTTTTTTTTTTTTTTTTTTTTTGAGATGCAGTTTCACTCTTGTTGCCCAGGCTGGAGTGCAATGGCGCAATCTCGGCTCACTACAACCTCTGCCTCCCGGGTTCAAGTGATTCTCCTGCCTCAGCCTCCCCAGTAGCTGGGATTACAGGTGCCCGCCACCACACCCAGCTAATTTTTTGTATTTTTGGTAGAGACAGTGTTTCACCATGTTGGCCAGGCTGGTCTCGAACTCCTGACCTCAGGTGATCTGCGTGACTCAGCCTCCCAAAGTGCTGGGATTATAGACGTGAGCCACCGCACCGGGCGAGAGGTTGCTTTTTTAATCAGTAAAAGCTCCCTGGAGGAGGCGGTGTTCGAGAATAATTCCTTCTGGCTATAGCACAGGTGAGAGGTATGAAAGTAACAGGAAGAGAGGTGGAAGGAGACTGGGGCTTTGTTTTAGGGGCAGTTGAGTCGCCAGGTGGGGCCCCCCTCCCCTCACTATAATAGAACCCAGCATGATCTTGCACACACGGCGAGCCAAGTTGAGCTCTCTGAAGGGAGAATTTCCAGGTGAAAGTCAGTGAACCCAGTCTCCCAGCCCTGAATTTTGCCTCTCCTTTGCGGTTTTGTCCCATTGATACCTGTTGCTGCCCCATCTGTGCCCCTACCTTCCTCATCCTCCAAAACTCCAGCCAAACATAGAGAAATGCCTCTTTCTTGGCTGCTTTTGGCAAGTTGGGGCATGCCGTCACTTCAAAGAACTTTGATAAATCTTAAGGCGGACTAAAAGGAAAGCAGTGTATTTAAATAATAATATGTGAGGATGGCGATAGTCAAATTTCCAAATACCAGGTTTCTGACTCTATAGCCCAATACAAAGAGCTATATGGCCCACAAAGTGTCTTTATGCTTGGATAATAACCCACTCTAGACCAAAGGGCTAGTACAATCTTGTCTGTACCATCTCTAGCTTCTTTCTCTTATGGTTCCCCTGCTTGAGTTGCAACAGCAAGGGTTAACTGACTATGAACCCTTCCTTCCTTCCATTACCTACCCACCCATCCTTCCAACATAAATTTATTGAACATCTACCATGTGACACCCATGGTGCTAAAAGTTAAATGGTCAATATTTTTCTGTGCCCCTCACCACCAGGAAAAATTCTGATTCTACCCCAATGTGTTAGAGTGGATGATTGTTATCAACTCTTCACTCTTTTTTTCTGCCAGTGACCTTACAGTGCCTCCCACTAGAACAGAAACAGTATACTTTCCTGTCACCATTGACTTTGGCTTGGCCATGTGACTTGCTTTGGCCAATGAAATGTTAGCATATGTGACATAAGCAAAGGCTTCCAATGTTCTAGATGTTTGGCTTGTGCCCTTGTACTTCTGTGGCCCTTCATGAGAACATACCCCCGGTAGCTGCTGCTCCCAGAATGAGAAGATTTGGGAGTAGGGGTGACTCAGTCTACAATCCAAAGGCAGGTTCTGCTGATTCAAGCCAAGCCCAGCGAAACCATAGCCAACCAGTAGACCTCTGAACAAGAAAAATCAATGTTTTCATAGTAAAATATTGAGAATCAGGAGTTGCTTGTTACGTAGCATTCTTTTTGGCAATAGCTGACTGATACACCTAGATAAGGACTAGACCGACCAAACAAAACCCCTCCATATACCCCCATGCTGTTTTTTTTTTTCCTTTTTAACTACAAAAATTCTCAACTTTTTGGTGTGGGTATCCCAATCCCAGGGTCCTCCTCTCTGTTCCACTTTTAAGTTACAGAGCTACAGCCAACTGGAAGAGCTCTGGCAGTCAATACCACCAATAGAGGGCCAATTCTTTCAGGCCTCAGCGTCCGCTGACTGCCAGGAGCATCTCTCTCTATCCTATGGAGGGGAAATTACCTTACCAAAGTTCATTCAACACTAAGGCTAAAATACACATGAAATCAGTAGAAGTCATGCTGAATGCAACCAGTAAGGCCTTTTGCTTGTGCAAAATAAAAAATATATACTTAATTTGTCATAAGATTGGGAAACTTTGAAGGGGTTTGAATAGAACAGGGATATGATGGAGTGGTGACATGTGGCTGAGGTACTTGGCAGAAGAATTCAGAAAATGGGCTTTGGAGTCAGAGGGACCTGGATACCTGCCTGATATCTGTCATTTACCAGTTGGGTGACTTGGGGAAGGCTACTAAATGCCCCTGAGTTTGTTTCAGGTGTAAACTAGGGATAACATGCAAGGACTGAATGAGTATTGTGTATAAAGTACCTAGTACAGTGTCTGGCTTATAGGAGATTCTTAATACATAGTAGTGGTTATGCAGATGATTTAGGAAGGTAATTCTATGGTACCATAGGGGAACGGCCAAAATCACACATTTATGGAAAACTTACTGTGTGCCAGGCACTATTTGGAGGACTTTACATTTATTGATTGATTGAGATGAAGTTTCACTCTTGTTGCCGGGGCTGGAGTGCAGTGGTGTGATCTCGGCTCACTGCAACCTCCACCTCCTGGGTTCAAGCGATTCTTCTGCCCTCAGTCCCCCGAGTTGCTGGGAATACAGGCACCCACCACCGAGCCTGGCTAGTTTTTTGTATTTTTAGTAGAGACGGGGTTTCACCATGTTGGCCAGGCTGGTTTCGAACCCCTGACTTTAGGTGATCCACCCTTCTCAGCCTCCCAAAGTGCTGGGATTACAGGCGTGAGCCAACATGCCCAGCCTGCTTTTACATTTATTAACAAATCTCACAACAACCATGCAAGGTAGGTACTAATATCCTCATTATATAGGTGAGGAAACTGAAGCGCAGAAAGATTCAGTAACTTGTTTGAGGTCATACAGCTAGTAAGCTGTGAAAGAATTTGAACACAGGCAGTCTGGCTCCAGAGCCCTTGCTCTTAATCTCCATGTGTACTGCCTCTAAGCAGGCAGGCCTTTTAGAAGGATGGATGGGGAGTTCATATGAGCCAAGAGGCAGACCTGGATTAATCTAGCGGCCAAGGGCATGCAAAGGAGGAAACTAATAAAAGCGTCAATGCAGAGGTATAATTGAGCAAGCTAACTTAGTAACCAATTGCAAGTAGTGGGTATTGGAGGAAGAGGCAGAGCTCACCCTGCTGTGTGTGAGTTTTGCAAATCATGAAAAGATAAAGATTCTCAATCGGTTGTATGTTCTAAGAAATTACATCATGTCCCAGTAAGTTATCATGAGATATTTGAGAAACTTGAAGCATCTTTACAGTGGGTGGAGAATCAACCCAATCTTGGACTACCATTATTGAACTATGAGAGGACAAGTGAACTTCCACTTGGCCTTTTTTCCGGCCCAGAGATTCCACTTCTTCTATGTTATGCCAAAGCCATCCACATCAGAAGGGCTCTTGTGTCCAAGGCTCAAGCAAATGAAAACTATCAATATGCACATCCAATTCTGATATTGAATGTCTGCCTGAAAGTCAATCATAACTCTCCTTACCTTCCAAAGAATGACTCCCTCACACATACTGCCACCCCGCTCCAACACCCACCACTAACTCTATTCCTTTGGCGAGTTCAATAAACCTCCCTTATATTAAGGATTCAAGCATATTTACTTTAAGATTGTTTATTACATAGAGAAACATGTTTTCACTGTTCAATTGATATATTTTTCTAGATGCAAAAATTGTTTCCGGGCCGGGCGCGGTGGCTCACGCCTGTAATCCCAGCACTTTGGGAGGCCGAGGCGGGCGGATCACGAGGTCAGGAGATCGAGACCATCCCGGCTAAAACGGTGAAACCTCGTCTCTACTAAAAATACAAAAAATTAGCCGGGCGTAGTGGCGGGCGCCTGTAGTCCCAGCTACTTGGGAGGCTGAGGCAGGAGAATGGCGTGAACCCGGGAGGCGGAGCTTGCAGTGAGCCGAGATCCCGCCACTGCACTCCAGCCTGGGCGACAGAGCGAGACTCCGTCTCAAAAAAAAAAAAAAAAAAAAAAATTGTTTCCGTATTGGGTTGGGATGGGATACATCATGATTCTCTCCATTGAAATTAATGGAAACATTTTTTAAAAAATTACTTTTCACTTAGCAGCAGGGCTTTTAGAACAAAAGGAAATATGGGCTATTTTGGCCATGTGGTAGGAATTCAGTACGTGTTTGAATGAATAGGATTGCCTGCATTGATGAAAGTCACAGGAGGAGGGAGTTTCAGGATGGAGAAAGAGGGCTGGCGTTACTCCCTATGGCGAGAATACATAAATTATACATTCTTTTCTTTCTACTCACACATTTTAGTCTCTTAGTAGCTGCTTGGGATGCATTTTCTCATTTGGTTCTTTTAAATCTGAGATAGAGATCGATAGTTTCTTACTTTGGTAGTTTCCTTTTGAAATATTAAAATGACCAATCACTTGCAAGTTCTATGAGGTTACCCTCTCCCATAAACCAGGCCAGCCCCCAAGACTGGATTATGGGGTGAAAGGCCTGTGTTAAAATGTGGACTTTGCTTTGGAAAGGTAGAAAATGAATCCACTGGAAGCCATTATCAGGTTGACACGAATTAGTGTCCTGAGGGGTGGGCACTCCCCTGTCACACTGTCCAGAGGTTGAAGCTCAGCCTGGAGAAGTGTACATGGTTGAAAAGGGACACCTGGCAAGATAGGAGAGGCCATATATAGGTACTGGATACCTGGGCCTGGGGAATGGGTTGATGGGAGGCCACCCAAACAGACAAATGTACCAAACATAAACAATTGACTTCATTAGTTTTGCTAGAATTGGCCCTTACTGTTGCATTGAATGTTGTTTAGAATGTTTTATCTGTTGGCTATAAATTAGACATGAAGTTATAGAGAATTTTTCATTGCAGCAACATGTATTGTAGTGAAATTTGAATCCTTTTTTAAAAACCAAGCACTGCCCATATAAATTAGAAGTCCAGTGCTGGACATTGCCTGTGGCAGACACTGTTGGCTGCCTATCTAACAGCCCTGTCATCCCCTTTAACAAATAGAACCTTGGTTTTTATTCAATTATCAGATAGCTATGTGTTTCAAAGAAGTCCAGGACACTCCCCAGCCCAATAGATTAATTCTTGAGTAGTCAAAGGCAATCGGAGTAACTCTTCTTGGTGGTGATTGGTTTGAGAAAGAACTTGTGACACACAATTCTGGCCAGTGGAACACGAAGGGGACATCTTCTGGGAAAGGGTTTTCTTTAGTCAAAGAGAGACATACGGAAAAGCTGGCCTTTATGCCTCTGTCTATGGCTGAGAGAAGAAGTGATAGTAGGACCTGCTGCAGTCATTTGCAGCCATGAGGGAACGAGCATGAGGACCAATGCCTACAGGCTGAGGATGGCAGAGCAGAAAGAAAGATAAACTGGGTTCTTGATATCATTAAACTGTTGAAGGAATTAACTCTAGATCTTGCTTCCTTTGGACTTGTTATATGAGGTGATAAAGGGTCTGATATGGTTTGGCTCTTTCCCCACCCAAATCTCATCTTGAACTGTGGTCCCACAATTCCCACGTATCATGGGAGGGACCCAGTGGGAGGTAATTGAATCATGGGGGATGGGTCTTTCTCATGCTTTTCTCATGATAGTGAATAAGTCTCACGAGATCTGATGGTTTTATAAAGGGGAGCTTCCCTGCACAAGCTCTCTCTCCTCTTGTCTGCCACCATGTGAGACGTGCCTTTCACCTTCTGCCATGATTGTGATGCCTCCCCAGCCAGGTAGAACCGTGAGTGCATTAAACCTCTTTCTTTTGTAAATTGCCCAGTCTTGGGTATGTCTTTATCAGCAGCGTGAAAACGGACTAATACAGGGTCTTACTGTTTAAGCCCCTGCTACTCAAGGTGCTGCATGATTACCTGTATTGCCAGCCTGCTCGGGAGCTTGTTAAAAATGCAGAATCTCAGCCTGCCCCAGACCTACTGAATCAGAATCTGCAGAGCCCCAGGTGATTCCTAACCACATTAAAGTTTGCGAAGTGCTGGTTGAAGCTGTTTTAATTGGGTTTACTGGTGTTGGGAGCTGGAAAGCATACTGATATCCTGCCTTACAACCTGATGGTAAAGATCTTGTTTTTATATCACCACCAAAAAGAGCTTGCAAGGAAAAGACAATAGTGTTGCTACTCATGCAATTATTCAGGACCTATTAGAGAAGTTCCCTGGCTCTTTAAAACTGCTTTATTTCTGAAATCAAGGGGAAGCAACTCATGATCATACAGTGAATGTACTTTTTTGGCTTCAAAGGTAAAAATAGCTCTTAATGGTTCTTAAGCTCACTAAAAATTCAGGCTGAACATATACCTCTTGAGTCATCTCCTCAAAGACTAAAAGGGGCAAGAAATGGAAAGAGAACAAGGCACCAATAGGAAAAAAGCTCTAAACTGTTTACTTGGTTGAGATCAGATTTCCTTATCTCAGATTTCCTCATAAATTTAGTTACTCAAGAGTAATTGCGGCTCTTCATCCAGATTGCAAATATGTTAATAACACAAAATGGCAACAATTCAGCCTTGTAAGAAAAAAAAACAAGATATGGCATTGTTATTCCTAAAAAGGCTACTCGAGTTTCTTGAGGTTGCCCAAATGAGACGATTTCATAAGTCATTCTGTGTTTACACTGAGTTTAGGCAACAGTTACAATAGAAGAGGCCACTGTGATTACTTAATGGTCTATTGGTGGACTTTTAACCAAACCCAACTTCAACAAACAAAAAATTCAGCATTTTTTTTTTGAGGAATCATCACCGTTCTGTTTTGATTGTCTTTGACAAGCTATTGAGAAATCATTTAGATTGGTGCTTATTATAAAAACACAGTTATTAAAATTACTTTCTAGCCAGCCTGTATTTCTGAAATCCCATTCATTATACTTGAGAAGTAAATAGCTGAGGAAAAATGCTGAGAGTTTAAACCAGTGTATTGTTTAGTGATTATCCTTTTTTATTAAAAATAAGGCCTCAGGATCCCAAATTTCACTGGCATCTTATTCTATAGCAATCTTACAATCTAATTGGGTAATGAAAACTAAGTCACACTAAAGTTCTTGCTTTTTTTCCTTTTACTCTCAAATTTTATAGCTTGGAGAAAGCTTTTGGATTGTTGAGTTTACCTGTCTCCTTCTACAGATAAACTCTTCGGGACTCAATTTTATTGAAAGGCTTACTCAAGGTCTCGTAGATGATAAATGATGGAAATAGCATCTTGGGTTTTTTGGGTTTTAGAGCAGCACTCCCTTTCTGTTCCTCAGTGCGTCTCAGTGAATAATCTTAAAATTCTGTTCTCATGAAGCTTCCAGGATGCCAAAGTCACTTGGCTTTTGTCCTCCCTGACCCAGCTCTTTCTCCACCATCCCTGCTGGTTCTTTTTCAATTCCTCAAACAGTAAATGCTGGCAGGCCCCAGGTCTCCATCATCAGACCACCTCTCCATTTAGTCTCCCTCCACTGGTGATCTCATCTCATCCGATTCATAGCTTGAACTCTCATCCATCTCCCTCCCTCTTCACTCCAGGGCTACAGCTCCATCTGCCTACTCAACATCTCTTTTGGATGGCACCAGAAACTTAACATGCCCCGAAACTAACTTTTGTTTTTCCATATCAAACCTGCTCTGCCCAGAATCTTCTCCAATTCAATAAATGGCAATGCCGTTACTCTAATTTTTCAAGCCCAGAAGCTTGACTGATTCTATTCTCTTACACTCTATGTCTGTTGCATCAGCAACTTCTAATGGCTCTACCCTCAAAATACAGCCACAAAATACAGACCACTTCTCACCACTGCCACTGTTATTATCCTGGACCAAGCTACCATCAATTATCAACTAGATCACTGCAATAGCTTTGTAAGTGGTCTCCCACTTCTACCCTTGATCCCCTAGAGCATATCCTTAACATAGAAGATGGAACAGTCCTATTCAAACAGAAGCTACATTATATCCTTCCTCTAGGCCAGGGACAGTGGCTCATGCCTGTAATCCCAGCACTTTGGAAGGCTGAGCTGGGTGGGCCACTTGAGCCCAGGAATTCAAGACCAACCTGGGCTGTTGCAGGAAGTCAGGAACCCCGAATGGAGGGACCGGCTGAAGCCATGGCAGAAGAACATAAATTGTGAAGATTTCATGGACATTTATTAGTTCCCCAAATTAATACTTTTATAATTTCTTATGCCTGTCTTTACTGCAATCTCTGAACATAAACTGTGAAGATTTCATGGACACTTATCACTTCCCCAATCAATACCCTTGTGATTTCCTATGCGTCGTTACTTTAATCTCTTAATCCCATCATCTTTGTAAGCTGAGGAGGATGTATGTCGCCTCAGGACCCTGTGATGATTGCGTTAACTGCACAAATTGTTGGTAGAGCATGTGTGTTTGAATAATATGAAATCTGGGCACCGTGAAAAAAGAACAGGATAACAGCAATGTTCAGGGAACAGGAGAGATAACCTTAAACTCTGACCGCCAGTGAGCTGGGCGGAACAGAGCCATATTTCTCTTCTTTCAAAAGCAAATGGGAGAAATATCGCTGAATTCTTTTTCTCAGCAAGGAACATCCCTGAGAAAGAGAATGCGTTCCTGAGGGTAGGCCTCTAAAATGGCCCCTTCGGGGGGTGGCCATCTTTTACGGTCGAAGCGGTAGGGAGGAAATAAGCCCCAGTCTCCCGTAACGCTCCCAGGCTTATTAGGACGAGGAAATTCCCACCTAATAAATTTTGGTCAGACCGGTTGTCTGCTCTCAGATCCTGTCTCCTGATAAGATGTTATCAATGACAATGCGTGCCCGAAACTTCATTAGCAATTTTAATTTTGCCCCGGTCCTGTGGTCCTATGATCTCACCCTGCCTCCATTTGCCTTGTGATATTCTATTACCTTGTGAAGCACGTGATCTCTGTGACCCACACCCTATTTGTACACTCCCTCCCCTTTTGAAAATCACTAATAAAAACTTGCTGGTTTTGCGGCTCAGGGGTCATCACGGAACCTGCCGACATGTGGTGTCTCCCCCGGACACCCAGCTTTAAAATTTCTCTCTTTTATACTCTGTCCCTTTATTTCTCAGACCGGCTGACACTTAGGGACTACAGAAAAGAACCTATGTGAAATATCGGGGGTGAATTTCACCTGATATCTGGCTGAATTTCCCCTGATACTGTGCAACATGGCAAGACCCCGTCTCTACAAAAAATGCAAAAATTAGCTGAGTGCGGTGGCACATGCCTGTGTTCCCAGCTACTTGGGAGGCTGAGGTGGGAGGATCACCTGAGCCTAGGGAGGTGGGGGCTGCAGTGAACCGTGTGCCACTGCACTCCAGCCTGGGCAACAGAGCAAGGCCCTGTCTCAAAAAATAATTATCCCTCCTCTGGCTCAGAGCCCTCCAGTGGCTTTTCTTCCCACTTAGATTAAAAGCCCACAAGGGCCCACCAAAAGCCATATACCCTACTTCCGTGCCTTCACCTTCCTCCCATCACCACCTCTGACTTCATCTCCTACTAGTCTCTCTTTGCTCACTCTGCTCCAACACACTGCTCTCCTTGCTATTCCTGAAATATGCCAGGCATTCTTCTACCTCAGGGCCTTTGTACTTGTCATTTCTTCTGCTGGGCACACTCTCCCCCCAGATAGCTGTTCTGCTCCATTCCCTTATCTCCTTCACACCTTTTCTCAAAAGTTGCCATCTCAACGAGACCTTCTATGACTTCCATATTTAAAACTGCAAGCACTCCTCCGCCATCTTGGCACTCTCTATTCTCTTACACTTTTATTTTTCTCAATCATATTTATCCCATCTGACATGTTTTGCACACTTGTTTATCATATTATGCAGGGTATTGCCAAATGACTATTAAAAACCCTGGAATACTGTGGCTTGAAGAAATTACACGCGAACAGTCTAGGCGAGTGGGGTGTCTCTGCTCCAGTCATTCAGAGATCTTGGGTTTTTCCCATGATGTTCCTCTGCCACATCCTAGGACATTGTTCCCATCTGCACAGTTGAAGTTGGGGTACCACCAGCTCCAGATTCCTGCTGGCAGAAAAGGGGATATGAATATGGAAGAAGCACAACCAGCGTCTGAAAGCCCAATCTAGGAAGTAGTGCAGGTCACTTCTTGCATTTCAGTAACAAGAGCTTAATCACATGATCACACCTAACTAAGGGTGGTGAGAAATATAGTTTAGCCAAACATCTACTTTCTAAGGAAAAGATGGAAAATGGATTTGTAGTGGACATCTATCAACATTTATTATCTGTATCCCTTCTCCCCATTAGAATAGGTGCTCCACAAAGGCAGGGATTTTTGTCAGTCGTACTCATTTCTGTATTTTGAGCACCCAGGATAGTACCTGGCACGTTAAAAGAGCTCAATACATATTTGTTGACTAAAGGAAGGAACTGAGGCTGTGAAGTTAACCCCTCAGGGGGTTGACATTAGCAGACATATCTCTCCCAGGATACCCTGGCATTGATTTTTTGACCAGATTACCTGAGAGCTCATTAGAATCCTTCATCTGGGGAAATGCAGACTGAGTCTTCTCTTTTACTGCATCTCAGTAATGAAACAGTTGCAAATTCTGTCTCTGCTAATGTAATGCAAAAACAGCCTCACCAAGCGTCCCCTATATACAGAAAGATCACCTTGGCCACGGGAAGAAGAACATTCTCCCAGCAAGTGGGGAGTACCTTGGTTCAGTAGGGGTCCTAGAACTATGTCCTACAGGGAATCGGGATGGCAGGAATCAGAAGTAGTTTATTTAATCAATAAAGCACTGTTGGTTGCAATCCTTATCTGTTTCATGTTCCCTAATAAGTTTTTGTTAGGACTTCAGCTCCCTGCCTCCGGTCATTTGCTCTGCTAATTAGCCAAAATTAAAAGCATCCAAAGAGCCTGGACAGTGGCCTGAGAAAGCCTTGAATGGTCCATGAACTTGAGTTGCTGTCTCTTTCCCTCCCTTCCCCTGGCAGACAGAACCCTTCACTCTCTTCCCAGATAGAATATACTCACACCACGATTTTCTCCAAATGTTCAAAATATAGCTTTTTAGAACTTACTGAGTGACCCAAAACTCCCTGTAACAAGCTTATAGGGCCAGTCATATTTTACCAAAAGTTTCCTAGTGCAAACAGGCGCCTCTGATGTAAGGGTTGGCTCTGCTGGGCTCCAACAGTGGAAGAAAGGAAATCACCATGAAGCCCAGGAACAGAAAAAAAAAAAAAAAAAAAAAGTTTCCTTCCTTCGGGAGAAAAAAAAATATCCCAACACCATTTTCAACTTAAACTAAGCAATGGAACACAATGTTCCATTTTGTGTGAATTTTGTGTCTTAACAACAGTCTTTAAATCTAAAGTTCATATTAACATTCTCAATGGGTGATGGTTTCATGATTAATTCAAAACCCAAAGAATTAAGCTCCAAAGCTGGCTAAGGTCACTTGAAACAAATAATAGTGAGGTGTTTGGGGTTTTTATTTTTGTTTGGCTCTTCACACCTCGAAGTGAAAAGATTGAAACTCTAAACCCTCCAAGTGAGTTTTATAAATATAGCCACGATGGAGGTATTGTCCCATTTCCTTTTCAGAGAATATGTTGCTAAGTCACAATATGTTCATGAGGCTTTGGTGCAGAATCCATTTTAGTAAGAAGACCAATTGCGGCAAAGCCACATTTGTTTTTGGAAATTAGAAATTATGCTGAGATACTTACCCTATGCTTCTGAACCTTTTTTTTTTTTCTTTTAGGTCTTTTGGAAAATGGTAAATGCCTCAAAACCTTAAAAGACTTTGACATTTTAATTTGTATGCTTTCCTTGTTGGATATTCTGGGGGTATTGAACAAAAATATTAGGAAAGCAGCAAGGGATAAATGGAAAGAGAGTCAAGACGGGGTTTTTAAAAGAGAAGGGAAATTACGCACATCCTCCACAGCACACCCATTACCTGTGAGTAATGTTAGGTTCTATCCACTTCCAAAGGATTATCTTTTGGCCTGTTTTTTACGTTCAACTTGGTTATCTAATACCATTTTTAATCCATTTCTTAGATTTTGAGAAGACATTCGTGAATGAAAGAATTGTTTCATTAGCCTTCTTATATTCGAATTTCCTGAAAGCTCCTGGGTAACACTCCCCAAATTGGAAGAGCTGAAGGCAGAGCCTGCTAATGTAGACCCAGATCTATGTAAAAGCACTTTACATTGGTTCCTTGTTTAATAAATAGGTTTAATAAGTTAATAAGTTTAAGATTATTCTAAAGAAAAAAATTTAGCCAATTCTATTGAATTTCTGTTATATTTCTCTTCCTTGCTCCAAAACACAATTACCATTTCTGAGTTTCTTTTCACACTGCAGTTTAAATTTTGGGTGGTAAAGGCTGAAGTTAGCCATGAATGGAAAGTTTTAGTCCCGGATTTCCAAAGAGCACCTGAAAGTTGAATCATGGAGGGAAAAATCACCAATCATGAGATGTCTAGAATGGGCAAATCTATAGAAATAAAAGTAGATTCGTGGTTGCCTAGAGCTGGGGGAGAAGGGTGGGGAGTGACTGCCAAAGGGTATGGGGTTTCTTTTGGAGGGATGAAAATGTTATTAAATTGTAGTGATGGTTGCACAACTCTGTGACTATCCTAAAAAATATTAAATTGTGGCTGGGGACAATGGCTCATGGCTGTAATCACAGCACTATGGGAGGCCGAGGCAGGGTGGTCGCTTGAGCCTAGGAGTTTGAGACCAGCCTGGGCAACAACGTGAGACCCTGTCTCTACAACAAATACAAAAATTAGCCAGATGCGGTGGCATGTACCTGTAGTCCCAGACACTCAGGAGGCTGAGATGGCAGGATCAATTGAACCCAGGAGTTTGAGGCTACAATGAGCTATGATTGTGCCACTGCACTCCAGCCTAGGCAACAGAGTGAGACCCTGTCTCAAAACAAACAAAAACACCATTGAATTGTATGTACTTTAAACGGGTGAATTTTAAGTGAATTGTATGTCAAAGCTGTTTTTTAAAAAAAGGATGAATGTGACTAGCTTAAAGCAAAGCTTCAAACAAGTGTCAGAAACACTCCCCTGTGCTAGCTAACTCTCTCTCTCTCTCTCTCTCACACACACACACACACACACACAAACACACACACACACACACACACACACACACACGCGCCTTTCCTGCCCCCCACTCCCCACTATATCAACTCCATCCCCAGCCCTGTAAAAGCAGGACAGACCTAGGCTGGCCTGAATGGAAAGAACAGGCTCTCTTCAGCAAGGGAGACTGAACACACCAGAAAAGGAAAATTGAGTCATTATTGCTTCCATTTGTGAGAAAATCATTGTTTTCCAGATTCACCACGCACATTTTTCAAACGTTGAAAGCAAGTCTGTTACTCCCCTCAGAAACCTGAGCGATAGACCAAGTCTCACCTCATACACCCTTGTTCACACCTTTGCTTGAGCAAGTGACAGTGTGTCATTGATCTTTAGGAAGGAACTATCCAAAATGTTGGAAATATGTTTTTAAGTTTTATGAGAAGCGAATGTGTGAGTGGGAGCAATTCTACCAAGATGCCATAAAACCCAGGAGGGTATGAGATGAGGAAAGTCAAGAAGGAAGTGAAAGGGATCCTCAATATTTGACCTGCATACAAGAAGGTACAATTGCCACATCCCCCCACTCCCACCTTCTTTACCCCCATGGGGCTCCTAATTCCGATGGGTAGTGAGGAAGGTGAGATGGGTGTTTGGGATACAGGAGGATTTGCAAGAAGCAAAGGAAGGTGTGTGAAGGGGAGACTGGCGTGGAGGATGGTGGGAATGTGTGTGACTTTGATATTTACCACTTTCCTTGTGGGACGCCTTGGGGAGAGAATGAACATCATAAACCACTCAAAATATTTGAGGGCAAGTTAACTTAAAAAATGATGGCCAGGTGCGGTGGCTCATGCCTGTAATCCCAGCACTTTGGGAGGCTGAGGCGGGTGGATCACTTGAGGTCAGGAGTTCAAGACCAGCCTGGCCAACATGGTGAAACCCCATCTCTACTAAAAATACAAAAAATTAGCCAGGTATGGTGGTGTGCGCCTCTGATCCCAGATACTTGGGAGGCCGAGGCAGGAGAATTGCTTGAACCCAGGAGATGGAGGTTGCAGTGAGCTGAGATCACGCCCCTGCACTCCAGCCTGGGTGACAGTGAGACCCTGTCTCAAAAAAACAAAAACAAAACAAAAAAGCCAAACAAACCGATTTCCTTGCACACTGACTGACATTTGATAAGGAATTAGTGTTAAGCATTTTAAAGAAGTAATACTGGTATTATGATTATCTACTTAGAAAAGAGTCCTTATCTTTTTAAGATACACATTGGAATAGCTATGGAGGAAACCATGTTACAGTTGAGATTTGCTTCAAAAAAATGTAGGTGAAGATGAAGTAGGTGGGTAGGGAGGGGTGAAACAAGATTGGCTGTGAGTCGTTAATTGTTGAATCGCATGAAAGATCCAAGGGGGTTTGTTATACTATTCTGTCTACTTTGATAAACGTTTGACATTTTTTTGTAATCAAAAGCTTAAACATTTTAAGAAAACAGTTTTAAAAGCATTTACAACAAAAGTTGGAGCCCATGGTCAAAGATGCTAAAAAGGGGCTTAGTAGAAATGAAACACTCTGAAATAATATTCTACAATATTAGTAAGGAGTAGAGAACTGACAAGTGTGGATGGAAATGCCACTCTATAATCAAGTTGAAGTGGACGACACTATTCCAGCAATGTCTACTCCTGTCGCCCATTTCAGAAGGGAGTTGACCCAAATAGGAAGTGGCCCGGCTGAGCCTAATTGGGAGTAGCTGGCTGACGCAGGGCCTCTTGGTCTGCACACGCTGCCAATCTGAGGAGTTCCCCAGCTGAGAGCAGGAATGAGGGACTTGGGAGAAGAATGTAAAAACAACCTTTTTTTTTTTTTTTTTTTTTTTAAGCTGGAAATTACTCTGTCATTAGTTATTTTTTTTTTTTTGAGGGGAGGGATAAGAATTATAACTAACTTGTTACCTGCCCCAACAGCATAAATATCCTCTATCGCACAATTTCTTATTCCTTCACACTCATGCAATTTGGCCTATCTATGGTATGATACACACTGGAATTTCAACTAACTGTCATGAAACTGATCAGAACCTTCTATTAACCAGGATTTTGCTACACTCTCTGTTCAAGAGAAAACTTAGGCTAACAACAAAAAAAAATCAGGAGGATTTGTTTTTTTCAAATTCTATACATTTTTACATTGAATCTGCATCTGTAGAACTGTATTTGTAGCTGAACTCTAGATCAGGGTCAGCAAACTGTTTCTGTAAAAACTAGACCAGAATATTTCAGGCTTTGCAGACCCAATGGTCTCAGCCATTGCTATTCAACTCTGCCATTGTAGCAGCCATGCATAATATATATGAACAAATGGGCACGACTGTGTTCCAATAAAACTTTATTTATGAAAACAGGTGGCAGGCCAGATTTGCAGACCATTGTTTGCTGACCCCTGATAGTAAACTATCAATTAAATGCATTGTATTAGTTTCCTATCACTTTTGTTAACAGATTATGACAAATTACCATTTTAGTGGCTTAAACAAATTTAATTATCTTACAGTTCTGAAGGTCAGAGATTTGAAATGGGTCTCTCTCGGTTAAAATCAAGGTGTTGGGAAGGCTGTGTTTCTTCTGGAGGATCCAGGGAAGAATCCCTTTCCTTGATTTTCCAACTGGTATGGGCTGCCAGCATTCCTTGGCTCATGGCTCCTCCCTCCATCCTCAAAGCTGGCTACAGCCATCTGCATCCTTCTCACATTGCATCATTCTGACCTCTACTGACTCTCTCCATATTTTAGGACCCTTGTGATACCATTGGACCCACCTGGACAATCCAGAATAATCTTCCCATTTTAAAGTCAGCCAATTAGCAACCTTAATTCCCCTTGGCTGTGTAACATAACATATTCACAGATTCCTGAGATGGGAACATGGGCATCTTTGGAGGGACATTATTCTGTCGATCACAGGGCCTACTAGGAAATAACCCACTCAATAATCACACTGGTAGGTTTTGCTCACTTTCAGGAGTTGGCTCATGTCATTGGCAACGATGAGTGTACATCGACAGCGGAAGAATAACACTTCCAGCTTTAAAAGGAGAACAGTTAGTTCATTGTGATACAGAGGACTGTGTATGCATCAGCATATATCACAGCACACTGGGGAGGCGGCATGGGACACAAGAGCATGTACTTAGGGGACTTTGAATCAATTACTTTCTTTGTGGCATCAGTTTCTTGATGTATCAAATGGGAATAACAGCACCTACCTTGCAGGGTATTGCACATATTACATGAGATAATGGGAAGCAACTAACCCAATGCCTAGCCTATCATTAATGCTGTTTCTGCAGAACTGTTAGATTCTACTTAGAGTCAAATCATGTCCCTTTTTACACAATAACCACATGGAGAAAACATGCTATGGCCTCATTTCCCTGTGAGGCAAATTTTGGTTCTACCCCTACTGCAGCATTATAATTGGGTCCTAATTATCAAGTCTAAAGCAACATTTAGATGGCCTTAAAATAGCACTGTATATGAACACCTAGTTAATAAAAACCTTCTGGGGATGATAATACCACAAAATATTTACTCTCAAATTACTCTGGCAGACCATTTTCCGGGGACACTGCTGAGGGCTTGCCAAGAACAGTACTTGTCATATTTTAAAAATAGATGTCAGAAAACCATTCAATAAATGCAGTAGCTTTTATAGTCTTAAGAAATGGTGTTAGACTGCTTTATCCAGTTCAAATATAAAAGCAGAATTATTTTTTCTCATTTTGAGAGTCAATCATCAGATGTTTTCAGTAAGTGAATTTTAAACTATTTGGGGCATTGTACATGTCCTGCCAGTATTCTTTTTTTTTTTTTTTTAAATGGAGTCTCACTTTGTTGCCCAGGCTGGAGTGCAGTGGTATGATATCGGCCCACTGCAACCTCCACCTCCCGAGTTCAAGCTATTCTTCTGCCTCAGCCTCCGAAGTAGCTGGGACTACAGGTGCATGCCACCACACCTGGCTAATTTTTGTATTTTTAGTAGAGATGGGGTTTCGCCATGTTGGCCAGGCTGGTCTTGAACTTGTGAGTTCGTGATCCGCCTACCTCGGCCTCCCAAAGTGCTGGGATACAGGCGTGAGCCCCCACGCCCGGCCAAAGTATTCTTAAATATCTTCTTGGCATTCTTAATTATTTTTGTTTTAGCATTTTACAGAAGTTGGGGAAAAGCAAAAATTAGCTGCCCAAGGCCACCAAGGAAGCTAATGACAAACTAGAAAAAGAAATCCTAATTCCCATCTTAATGCCCCAACCACTAACATACTCATATGCAGTATTAAATGAAAACAAAGCATTCCCTCCTAGAGAACTTCCATAATCTCAGGAGAAATATTGACATATTGCATCTGAGTCATTTTTCTGTGGTCTGTCTGAGTATCAAATTCTGAAGCTCTCCAAGCTGTTCCAAATGCACACCTATTTTGTATCTATCTAGCCAGAGCATCTGGGGTGAAAAGAGCATTCTCAAATGCACGCTGATTTCAACATTCAGATGGTTTTTAGGGCAGTTCACGTAGAAAGGAATTATTTTCTTTGAAGAAAATTATTCCGACGACTAATAGCTTTCTCCTTCCTCATCCCTAGGGCTTCCCATGTTTTTTGAATTCTCCACTTCAGAGTAAATCCTTAAAGTGAAGCTGACTCATGTGCCCCATGATTAACCATAACTTCTTTTCCTTTCCTCTTCCAGATCCTTTCCACAATGTGAATATTTCCTGCGGTGGCTAGCCAAGAGTCTTCCGCCAGTCAAAATGAAGCGCAAGATGACCACGTTTTTTAGTAAGTGAAAGGTCTTTGAAAGTGGATTCCAGGTCTCCAGTGAACTTGGAGACAGGCTGCCATCTAATTGTATTTTTAAAAATCAAATTCTGAGAGCAATAAGATCAGGAAAAGGCACAAAAATGGGTGCAGTCATTGTCAACTTCACCAACCGATTTAGATCTGTATTGATGGAATTTGATGATTCTTATCAAAATAGACCTATAAATATAATCAGAAGTTATTTTGCATCCAAGAAACTTATCTAATTTAACCAGATTCCCAATTTAAGTCCTTGGAAGAACTGGCCACAGGCATAAAAGAATGCAATTGAAATGCCATGAATACTCAAGAATTTGTTTTTTTTTTTTCATATTTATCACTGTTGTTTCATAACAATATATTTCTTTTAGCTGACACATGTGTTTAGAAGTATGCATCTCAGAAAAGAACTCATATTTTTAAAATAATAATATCCGGTGGTAGTAAGAACACAAAATGAGCCCCAGATACTTCTGGTGAGAACTGGAATGGCCTTTCTGCTACTTGGCAATAATGTATCAAAAGCCTTAAAAATATGCATCACCTTTAACCCAGAAATCCCACTTCTTGAAATGTATTCTGATAAAATCATCAGCAAGGCACAGGAAGATATACACTTTCGTGCATCATTCTGTATGATATCATCATAGCATCCTCTATATCAAAAACTAAAAACCCATCTAAAAATAGAGAATCAATTAAACAAATTGTAACATATGTCCATAATATGGGATATATCCAGCTGTTAAAATTATGTTTTAAAAGAATTTGATGAAAAGATTTAAGATATAGTATTGAGTTAAAAATAAATTATATGCATTATGTACAGTGTGATTCCAATATATATGTAACTTTATGTGTAATGTGTAGGTGTATAAAAGAGAAAAAAGAATTCAAGGGTATGTCCCTAATATACCAAATACAGTGATAGTGATCATCTCTGGTGTTTCTGTACTTTCTGTCCTCTCTACAATGAAGATGTTTTACTTCTTAAGATCATAATACATGTTGGTGTTTTTTATTTCAGAAATGGGCTTTTGCAAGAAACAATCTTTGTTTCCAGTCTTGTTTCTTTTGTTAGCCATTTATCACCTTAAGTATTTACAGTGTTTGGTCCTAAGTAGTTGGACTGGCCAGATGCCAGGTCCCTAATGGTGTTTGAGTATGCTGGTGTATCAGGAGACAGGCGCAGCAGCAGCCAAGGGAGGGAATAAAGGGGCAGGGGAGACAGGGGTGAGGAGTAAAAGAGAAGCAACAGTTTTGATGCAAAGATGGATGGTGTCTTTTCTCTGGACACAGTCACGCATGGCTCAGGGGATGCCTGAAGGCAGGACACGGGAGCTGGTCCAGGGTATCAGGCCAAGCCTGGCTACTGTGTTGTGTCGGGCATTGCCAGGTCAGCCCCAGCTTCAGGGATGGCCTTCTGGTAATGTGGTCAGGAGGCTTAGCCTAGAGTGACAGAGGAATCTAAGTGGCAGGCATCTGGCTGGGAGGGGACCCACTCACTGGGCTGGAGTCAGTCACAGGCCTGGAGGTAGGCTCGTATCTTAGAATGACTGAGATATTATACAAGATGAGCATGTGGAGGCTGAGGATCCAGCCTCCACAACTACCGGGAATGCGCAGGGCTGGAGCACGTTTGGATGCAGGCAAAAGCCCAATTACCAGGACACAAAGTTGAGGCTAAACTTGCAGCAATGGTTACTTGATGTTAAGTCTCAGAGAGCTAGGCTACACTTGCTAGAATCTCTCCTGCCAATATGAGAATTGACAGGGACAACAAGCTGGTCTATTAAAGAAGGGTCTGCCGGACGCAGTGGCACACAGCTGTAATCCCAGCACTTATAAGACCAGCCTGGGCAACATGGCAAAACCCCGTCTCTACTAAAAATACAAAAATTAGGCCAGGCACGGTAGCTCACACCTGTAATCCCAGCACTTTGGGAGGCCGAGGCGGTCAGATCACTTGAGGTCAGGAGTTCGAGACCAGCCTGGCCAACATGGTGAAACCCCGTCTCTATTAAAAATACAAAAATTAGCTGGAGGTGGTGTCAGGCATCTATAATCCCAGCTACTTGGGAGGCTGAGGCAGGAGAACTGCTTGAACATGGGAGTTGGAGGTTGCAGTGAACTGAGATCATGCCACTGCACTCCAGCCTGGGTGACAGAGCGAAACGCTGTCTTAAAATAAATTAATTAATTAAATACAGTCACAAAAGTTAGCCAGGTGTGGTGGCATGTGCCTGTAGTCACAGCCACTCAGTAGGCTGAGTTGGAAGGATTGCTTGAGCCCGGGAGGTCGAGGCCCCATTGAGCTGTAATTGTGCCACTGCGCTCCAGCCTGGGTGACAGAGTAAGATCTCTTATGGAAAAAAAAAAAAAAAAGAAGAAGAAGAAAGAAGGGGCAATTAATTGACCCTAGTTGTGGGAAAAATAGGCAGGACATAGCATGTGAACAATTGAAGTGGAGTCAGAGAATTCTGTCAGAATCTCCCTGATGCAGTTTAGTTTACAATCAACAAGACAAGTGAATAGACATCCTCTATGTAGCAAAAACAGGAGGCCCTTAACAATGTGAACCTTAGCCATTCCTGCTCAAATCCCTTTATGATGTCCCTAATAAAGATACGGGCACACATCAGTTCAGATTGGTAATGTCAAGAATGTGTCAAAAATAAAAGGTTGGTCTACATGCATTGTAGCTTTGTTTTGCCAGATAAAGGAGAAATTTGTATAGGAGGGACATTTTAGTATCGCTACACCAATGCCTCTACTAAAAACTCATAAGCAGAATTTCTAACTCCATAGTTTCAATGAAAATGCCACACTATACAAAATATTCTAGCTCATCTGTTGTTTTTATAAAGAGTATTTGGTATTTAAATATTTGGCTGGAATACAAGGTTGAATTTTGCAGTATTTCTTTCCTTCAGATCCAAAAGTTGAAGATATTACTATAACCTTTACTGGAAACAAATGTCTCTTGATGATAGCCCACATTTGATTGGCTTTCCCAAAAGTACAGTTTCTACTCTATAGACCCTTATTTCGGTGGCTTATAGCTAAAGCAGCGATTCTCAATCTTGGTGTCTTATTAGAGTTGCTTGGGAGCTTTTATGATTCCCAGAGCCAATGCAGCAGACAAATGAATCAGAATCTCTGGAGGTAAAACCCAGGCATCAGGATTTTGTAAAGGTCCCCAGATAATTTAAATATGTGGTCAAAGTGGAGATCACTGGATGAGAGTGATCATATTAATTTATTATCCAAACTAGGACACCTTTAAGAGTGAAAGGTGACACTATTACTGATCACTTTGGGCCAGTTAAGTCCTAGCTATGCCAGGGTATATGGTCACTCTAGTTTTGGCCATCAGCTAATGTCACTCTTGTCCCTTAAAATTTACAAAAGCTCACATGAAAGCTCTACACCCCTTGGGAAATCCCAGTGTTTCTGGAATCTCTTGAAAATCCTTTTAATTTCCTTTAATTCTGATTTCCACCTTTGGTTGAATTCTCTGCTTAGTCTCTTAGAGCTTTTTTTTCCTCATCTTTACTTTGAGAATGGCCTAAACAGGGGACCCAGGCCCTTCTCCTGGTTCTCCATCCCACGCCCCAGAACAAATATCCTGAGGCACCTGGCTAGATCTAGCTAAAGGCAATCATATTGAATCACCATATAGGAGATCATTTTAAATGTAATAAATTTCCTGGTGCCTAAAAAGTTCCCTCGGCCATTTCTACTGCCCAGGACTCCAGTCTCTATCATATTTCCTGACTCTTCCTCTTTTTTTCTCTTCCATGTCGTCATTACATTCCTGCTTGTCCCTTTCTTATGCAAGGTGATCTACCACCTCTTTTTTTTTTTTTTTCTTCTGAGGCGGAGTCTTGCTCCGTCGCCAGGCTGGAGTGCAGTGGCGTGATCTCGGCTCATTGCAACTTCCACCTCCCAGGTTCAAGCAATTCCCCTGCCTCAGCCTCCAGAGTAGCTGAGACTACAGGCGCCTGCCACCACGCCCGGCTAATTTTTTGTATTTTAGTAGAAACAGGGTTTCACTATGTTGGCCAGGATGGTCTCTCTCTCCTGACCATGTGATCCGCCCGCCTCAGCCTACCAAAGTGCTGGGATTACAGGCATGAGCCACCGCCCCTGGCCTGATTTACCATCTCTTTAGTGCTTCGTTCCAACCTATGGTATAAGGGCTTCCCTGTCTATTCAGGGAGTATAGACAGGCTTCCAGGCTTCCCTGTCTATATTTATATATTATTTGAAGGGTTTAAATTGGGATTGAAATTCTAAATTTACTTGTGACAATAGGTGTTCCACCAAACAAAGCAGCATAAAGCAGCTTATCAAAGGCCTTTCTCAAAAACAGTTCCCTCTTTTAGAGAAACTCAAATGCCAGCTGGAAAACATGTTTTTGCTTACTCTACTGCACATTGACTTAGATATCCTTGGTGTCAAAACTTGCTAGGAACCCACTAGAATGGCTAAAATCAAAACAAGTGACAATGCTGAGTGTTGGCAAGCCCATATAGAAAGTGGAATTCTCATAGCTGCTAGTGGGGGTGTAGAAAGATACGACCACTTTGGAAAACTGTTTTGCACTTTCAATAAAGTTTAACACATATCTATCTTCTGACCCATCAATTCCACTACAAGGTGTTTACTCAAGAGAAACAAAAATATGTCCCCAGAAAGATTTGTGCAAGAGTGATCATAGCAGCTTTATTCATACTAGCCCAAAGCCGGAAACATCAACTGTCAACAGGAGAATGGATAAACAAATTGACACATCCATACAATTAAATACTACTCTCATCCATAGCATGGATGAATCTTACATTATGCTGAGTAAAAACCAAAAACAAAAAACCTGGACACAAGAATACATATTGTACAATAATATTTATATGAAATCCTAGAACAGACAAAACCATGCTATGCTGATAGAAGTAAGAAAGATGAGAGAAATTTCCTATATCTTTTTTTTTTTTTTCTTTTTTGAGATGGAATTTCACTCTTGTTGCCCAGACTGGAGTGCAGTGGTGCAATCTTGGCTCACTGCAACCTCCGCCTCCTGGGTTGAAGTGATTCTCCTGCCTCAGCCTCCTGAGTAGCTGGGATTACAGGTGCCTGCCACCATGCCCAGCTAATTTTTGTATTTTTTAGTAGAGATGGGGTTTCGCCATGTTGGCCAGGCTGGTCTCGAACTCCTGACCTCAGGTGATTCACTCACCTCGGCCTCCCAAAGTGCCGGGATTACAGGCGTGAGCCACCTTGCCTGGCCAAAATTTTCTATATCTTGTGCTGAGTGGTGAATACAATTGTAAAAAAAAAAAAAAATCATGTAACTGCATAGCTACAAACTGTGCATTTTATTATATGTAAGTTATATCTCATTTTTTTAATCAGAAAACAATTACCCCAAATATGACCTGCTGTGACACATTTGGACCTTAAAATGGGTATTTTACACCCGCAGGGGAAAAGGTGGGAATTAATATTTGGGTCCTGCTGTATAACAGGCTCTGTGTGAGACTTAACATAGAAGAATTAGACTTTTCCATAATACTAGGAAAATATTAGGAAAAAATTACTAGGAAAAAAATACTAGGTAATCCTAGGAACCAAATGTAATTCTGTGACATTTCTTATCAGGCCCTTTCAAGAGCAACCATTTCAGGCATTTTAATGGCAGATGGAACTTTTAAGGAATTTTCATTTCTAGGTGGACTAATAGTTCACCTTGAAAATGACAGTAATGTGCATCCAGTTTAACATGATAAAGCATTTCTATATAAATGTTTGATGAATTTCATGTCAACAAGATTATATTTGCCAGTAGAAGGGCTTAAATCAGGATTGAAATCCTAAATTTACATGTGACAATGATAAGTGTTCCATCAACTTGAAAGCACACCAAACAAAATAATAAATTATCCTTGGAGCCACAGTGAATCTTTTTAATACATTTTTATTTCAAGAATATAACAATCCAGGAAAATCCCAGATGTTCATTTTATAAAGCCAAAATGAAGAATAGAACAAGAATAATCTATAAAACAGAACTTGCTATTTGGGGGAGAAAAATGAAGTGTGCAGGAAAAGAAAAAAATGAATGTAGGTTTTCTATTATTCTTTTGTCCTCTACTTCTCCAGATCTATTTGCTTTATATATTTAGGTGCTCTGATGTTCCATGCATGTATATTTACAACTGCTATATCTTGTTGCTGAATTAACTCCTTCATCATTATATAATGACCTCCTTTGTCTCTTTTTAGTTTTTGACTTAAGATCTATTTTATCTAAGTATAGCTACTCCTGTTCTTTTTTGGTTTCCATTTGCATGAAGTATCTTTTTTTGTCTATGTGTATCCTTACAGGTGAAGTGAGTTTCTTTTAGACAGCATATAATTGGGCCTTTTTTGTTCTGTTTTAATCCATTCAGCTATTTAACCCATTTACATTCAAGGTTATTAGTGCTAGGTAAGGACTTACTATTGCCATTTTGTTTATTTTTTTTTCTAGTTCTTTTGTGGATTCTTTGTTCCTTCCTTCCTTTCTTGCTGTCTTCCTTTGTGATTGTGATTTTTCTCTAGTGATATGTTTTGATTCCTTGCTTTCTGTTTTTCATGTATCTACTATAGGTTTTTGGTTTGTGGTTGTCGTAAGACTTATAAAAAATATAGTTATAACAGGTTATTTTAAGCCAATAACAACTTAGCTTTGATTGCAAAAAAAAAAAAACAACTTTATATTTTTACTCCACTCCCATTCCCCTCACCCACATTTTGAATTTTTGATACCACTATTTACATCTTTCTATGTTGCGTATCACTTAACAAATGATTGTAGTTATCATTTTTAATAGTTTTCCACTTTAACACTCATACTAAAGCTGTAAGTAATTTATACACCACCATTACATTATTAGAATATTCTGAATTTGACTGTGTACTTACATTTACCAGTGAGTTTTATCTTTTTAAATGTTTTTATGTTACTCACTAACATTCTTATCTTTCAGCTTAATGAACTCCATTTAGCATTTTTTCTTTCTTAAATAAGAAGCATAATTTAATAAGGCAATAAAAATATTTAAAATCAATGTGATAACAACACTGAATATTTTCTAATTGTTTAGAGACCATTTATTACCAATAAATTATTATAGCATCACCTGTAACCATGAGAAACCACCCAGAAATACTTATATTCTAGAATGGAAAGATATCTTGTCATACTCTCATGACTGATTCTGATCAATTTTATTAATATTAAGATCCTGAGCAGGGTACATATTTAAGCGAATAACATTTGAAGGGAAACTGCCCTTATACATACTCGTGCCCATTTTGACCTCTTCTTCAAGTGACAAAAGCTCAGTATAATTGGTTTCCCTAACCAAGAGAATCCTCTCCAATAAAATTAATGCCCAGGAGATCACACGAGCCACCTTCCTCACAAATGCCCATTTAGAGGGCCCAGTCTTAAATTGACCTCTCCAAAGTCCTTTGCTTTTTTAAAAAAGATATCTTTTTGTTTCTGGCTGGGCACAGTCGCTCACACCTGTAATCCCAGCACTTTGGGAGGCCAAGATAGGCAGATCACTTGAGGTCAGAAGTTTGAGACCAGCCTGGCCAACATGGCGAAACCCCATCTCTACCAAAAATACAAAAATTAGGCACATGGTGGTGTGTGCCTGTAATTCCAGCTACTCAGGAGGCTGAGGCACGAGAATCATTTGAACCTGGGAGGCAGAGGTTGCAGTGAGACAAGATGTTGCCACTGCACTCCAGTCTGGGTGACAGAGTGAGACTCTGTCTCAAAAAAAAAAAAAAAAAAGAAAAGAAAAGGAAAAAGATATCTTTTTATTTCAATAGCTTTTGGGAGTACAAGTGGTTTTTGGTTACATGGATAAATTGTATAGTGGTGAAGTCTGAGATTTTGTACCCATCGTCTGAGTAGTGTCCATTGTACCCAATATGTAGTTTTTTATCTCTCACCCCCACCCTCCACCTTCTGAGTCTCTGAAGTCCATTATATCACTCTACATGCCTTTGCAAGTCCATTTTATCACTCGACATGCCCTCATCCGTAAAAGAAAGTCTAAACTTTAAGCCTATTATTGGAAGCTTTTTATAATCTGATCCAAAGTTTTATAACCTTTATCTTCTACGACTTTTCTATACTTGCTCTTTGGTCCAGCTAACCCTGTCTACTTAATGACTTCAGAATGACTTTCCAATTCTCACCTCCAAATTTTGTTGATGTTATTATTCCTAGTAGAGTGGCAAAGTGGAAAAAGCATAAATTAAGTTCATTCTCACTCCCCGTTTGGCCACTTATTAGCTATGTGATCCATGTGAGCTTGAGCAGGTCTCTCAATCTTTCTTAATACTGATTTTCCTATCTTTAAAATGAGAATATTAGTACCTACCTCTATTTTGATAGTTTAATACTCTATTTTAAGTACTAAATGAGATGGCTGATATGTCTGACACATCATTCAGGATAAATATTCCTTTCTTATGAGGTTTTATCTTCACTTCTGCCTTGAATTTCCCACCATCTCTAAGCCTTCCTAAATCCTATTCTTCCTTCAGAGTCCCACTCAGGTCCTACATCTTGAAACCTTGTTAAACCACCCACTTCACCACTGAATTGGTCATTAATATCATACTGCTTGATGTTGCTTTTTAACTTTTTACTAGAATATCTTGCCTCCTCAGTGGTCTTGTAAATTCCTGCAGGGGAGGAACTATTTTTGTGTTTATTATACATCAACCACAGTGCAAGTTCATAGTAGATTTTGATAATGTGTTTCTTCATTAGGATGGGGGAACCCAACAAAACTCAATGGCAAGGCCAGCTACATAGCTGTGTGATATGGTTTGGCTCTGTGTCCCCACCCAAATCTCACCTGGAATTGTAATCCCCATAATCCCCATATGTCAAGGGTGGGACCAGGTGGAGGTAATTGGATCATGGGGGCAGTTTCCCCCATGCTGCTCTCCTGATAGTGAGTGAGTTCTCACAAGATCTGATGGTTTTATAAGCATCTGGCATTTCCCCTGCTTGTACTCACTCCATCTGCCACCCCGTGAAAAAAGTGCCTGCTTCTCCTTTGCTTTCCACTATGATTGTAAGTTTCCTGAGGCTTCCTTAGCAATGTGGAACTGTGAATGAATTAAACCTCTTTCCCTTACAAATTACCCAGTCTCAGGTATTTCTTCATAGCAGTGTGAGAATGGACTAATATAGTGTGCAACCTGTGCAGACAACAGGTTCCTATGTTCAGAAGGGCCCCAAGCTTGGTTTAATGCTTGGCTGTTACTGTCTTGGAATTCTTAGTAATTTATGAACAAAGGCCTTGCATTTTATCTCACATTAGGCTTTGTAGTTATGTAGCCAGTCCTATGTGAAGTCTCCCTGATTTGAGGAGACAGAATTCAGAATGCAGAGTAGCCAAGGTAGATAGAATGGAAGTATCATAAAAGAGAAAGCTATACGGAGAGGGGGCTCCAGAGATGTGCAGAGAGTTCCTCTCAAATCTTCGGCTAAGTACTTATGTGTGCATATGTATAAAGGGACTACCCAAGTCTAGAGAAAGAATCACTGGGCCGGGCGCGGTGGCTCATGCCTGTAATCCAGCACTTTGGGAGGCCGAGGCTGGTGGATCACCTGAAGTCAGGAGTTCGAGACCATTCTGGCCAACGTGGTGAAACCCCGTCTCTACTAAAAATACAAAAATTAGCTGGGCGTGGTGGCACGTGCCTGTAGTCCCAGCTACTCGGGAGGCTGAGGCAGGAGAATTGCTTGAACCCAGGAGGCAGGGGTTGCAGTGAGCCAAGATTGCGCCACTGCACTCCAGCCTGGGCGACAGAGCAAGACTTCATCTCAAAAAACAAAACAAAACAAAAAAAGAATCACTGGAAGGGAAAAGAGAGAATAATCACCAAAGTTTCTTTATTAATATCAAAGTTGATTTCAAAGTAAAGACCATTCCCAGATAGAGTTTTTTCATAATGATTAAAGATGACATAATCCTAAATATTTATTTAGCATTATTTATCACGAGGACATAAAAATCCTAGATGTTTATATGCCTGATAACAGAGCTGCAAAATACTTGAGGTAAAACTTATAGAACTGGAAAAATAGAAAATTCTACAATTATGATCAGAGATTTCAACATACCTACCTCAGAAGTTGATAGAACTAGTAGACATATAAAATCAATAAGGATATAGAATTGAACAACACTATCAACCCACTTGACATTATAAAACATTCTACCCAACAACAGCAGAATACACATTATTTTCAAGTACACATGGAAACTTTTAGCAAGATGGAACCTATTCTGGGCCTGTTTTAAAATGTAGGTTTAATTATTATTCAAATATGGTGAGTCCAACAGAACAGGAGACAATTGCCATTGAAAATATAGTTTGTTCTACTCACAGATCCCAAGAGGAGGGGAAATTCATGTCACAGGGGACTACACAGGGAAGTACCAAGGTCAGTCAGAAGGCTCAGGGAGAGGTAGGAACTGTGTGCAAGAGCCTTTATTGTGGGTTTCCTTGAGCGGGAATGGTGAGACAGGGCAAGCAGGCTTGAAACTGGCTAATTTAAATAATTTCAGCCTGCTCTGGCCATAGGAGTTTTCTGTCCCTAGTACCTGGCCCTGGGATGGTTAGGGCAGACGGGTAGAGTGGCCTGGATTGTAAGAGCTCCATAATGGAGGTGGTTGGGTATGGGCTCTGGATTTGTTGGTTTGCATATGAAAAGCACAGTCCCAAGTGAGTTGTTTGCTATCTCTAGGAGCTATCTAGCCCTGGGATTGGCGGCTCCTCTAGGGTCAACAAGGCCCTAAAATGTCAATGCATCAGAAAATACATAATAGGCTGGGCGTGGTGGCTCACGCCTGTAATCCCAGCACTTTGGGAGGCTGCGGCAGGCAGATTGCTTGAGCTCAGGAGTTCAAGACCAGCCTGGTGGGCAACATGGTGAAACCCTATCTCTACCAAAAAATACGAAAAAAAAAATTAGCCCGGCATGGTGGCCTGTGCCTGTAGTCCCAGCTACTCATAGGCTGAGGTGGGAGGAGTGGTTGAGCCAGGGAGGTCGAGGCTGCAGTGAGCCAAGATCCTGCTACTGTACTCCAGCTTGGGTAATGGAGTGAGATCCTGTCTCAGAAAAATAAATAAATAAATAAATAAATATATATAAAATAAAAAGGCATGATTAATACAGGGCCATAAAACAAGTCTCAATAAAATTAAAATTATTCTTATTCAAAGTATGTTCTCTGACTACAATGGAATTAGACATCAATAGCAGATATCCAGAAAATCTCCAAATATTTAGAAATTAAACAATATACTTAAACAATATACTTTTATATAGCTAATGGCTGAGGGGAAAAAACAAAGGAGATTAAAAAGTATTTTGAACTGAATGAAAATGAAAATATAACATATCAAAGTTTATGGCATACAGGTGAAGCAGTTCTTGGAGGAAAATTTATGATTTCGCATTGAAGGCTTATATTAGAAAAGACAGATTTTCCCATAAATGGCTTAAGTTTCTACCTTAAGAAATAATAAAGAGCAGAAACTAATGAGACAGAAAACATAAAACTGAAAAATCAATGGAACTAAAAGCTGTTATTTGAAAACAATAAAACAAATTGATAAATCCATCGTTAGGTCGATCAGGAAAATGGAAAGAAAACTATCAGAACCAGTAATAATAGAGGGAAAATCACTATAGATCCAATAGACGTTAAATAGTTAGTAATGAAATATCAAAAACAACTTTATACCAATAAATTAGACAACTGAGATGTAATGGGCAAATTTCTTTAGTGAGCTTTGATAGTTTGGTCATTAAAGAAGTAGATAGCCCGAGTTTCCCTATATCTATTAAATAAATTAAATTTGTGGTTAAAACCATTCCCACAAAGAAAACTTCAGGCCCAGATACCCTCAATGGGGGAATTCTACACATAATATTCCAGAAAATAAAGAAACACTTTTTTTTTTTTTTTTTTTTTTGAGACAGAGTCTTGCTCTGTCACCCAGGCTATAGTGCAGTGGCGCGATCCTGTCTCACTGCAACCTCCGCCTCCCAGGTTCAAGCAATTCTCCTGCCTCAGCCTCCCGAGTAGCTGGGACTAGAGATGTGTGCCACCACGCCCAGCTAATTTTTGTATTTTTAGTAGAGACGGGGTTTCCCCATGTTAGCCAGGATGGTCTCGATCTCCTGACCTCGTCATCCACCCTCCCTCGCCTCCCAAAGTGCTGGGATTACAGGCGTGAGCCACTGTGCCCAGCCAGAAGAAATGCTTTCTAACTCATTCTATGAGGCCAGCATTACCCTGATACCCAAAGCAGACAAAATCATTACAAAAAACAAACAAACAAAAAAAAACTATAGACCAATATCTCATATGAATATAGATACAAAACTTAAAATTTGAACAAGTTGAATCCAGCAATATGTAAAAAGAATAATACAGCATGACTAAGTGGGATTTATCCCAGGAAAGCAAATGTTGGTTTAACATTTGAAAACCAATCAGTTGTAATTTACTGTATTAACAGATTAAGAAAAACCATATTATCTCAATAGATGCAAAAAAAAATTTTGACAAAATTCAGCATGCATTCATAAAAGCTCTAAGAAAACTAGGAATAGTGTGCAACATACTAAGCCCAATAAAGGACATCTACAAAAGCCTTCAGTCTTTACGGTGAAAGACTGAATGCATTCCCCATAAGATTATAAATAAGGCAAAAATGTCCACTCTTAATACTCCTATTCTACATTGTACTGAGTGTCTTAACCCATACTTTAAATCAATTAAAAGAAATTAAAGGCATACAGATTGGAAAGGAAGAAATAACATTGTCTTTATTAACAGACAATATAATCATCTATATAGGAAACCCTAGGGAATCTACAAAAAAAATCAAACTAGAAATGATTGTCAACTAATTTTATTTCTATATACTAGCCACAAACCATCAAAAACAAATTTAAAAGATGCCACTTGTAATAGCATCAAAAATATGAAGTACTTAGGGATAAATTTGGCAAAATACATGAGTTATACAGTAAAAATTATAAAATATTTCTGAAAGAAGACTTGAATGAATGAGGAGATATATACCGTGTTCGTGGATTAGAAGGCTCAATATCGTTAAGATGTCACCTGTTCCCAAATTCATTTAGAGATTCAGGACAATCTCAATCAAAATCTCAGCAGGCTTTTTTGAAGAAGTTGACAAGCTGATTCTAAAGTGCATATGGAAACACAAATGACCTAGAATACCCAAAACAATTTTGAAAAAAGAACAAAGCTGGAAGACCTACATTACCTGATTTCAAGACTTACTATAAAGCTAAAGTAAGGAAGACAATGTGGTAAGGTAAATATATACTTTTAGATCAATGAAACCAGAATAGAGTCCAGAATAAAGTCACATATAAAACATCAATTGATTTTTTTTTAAAAAAAGGTGCCAAGTCAGCTAATAAGAACATTTCCAACAAATAGTGCTGAATAGTGCTGAAACAATTAGCCATATGCAACAAAAAAACTTGCAACTTTTACCTCATACCAGATGTAGAATTTAAGTAAAAAATATAAGAGCTAAAATTGTAACGCTTCTAGAAGAAAATAGGGAAAATTTTAGGCAAAGACTTTTTGTTAAAAAAGATTTTTTTCTCTTTTTTAAAATTTAAGAGAAGGGATCTTACTATGTTGTGCAGGCTGGACTCAAACTTCTGGGCTCAAGTAATCCTACCACCTCAGCCTCCAGAGTAGCAGAGACTACAGGTACATGCCACCATGCCTGACTCCAAAGACTTCTTAAGGGGATATTAAAAGCACTAAATATTTTGATAAATTGGACTCAATAAAATTGAAAAACTATTCTTTAAAAGTCAGCTATGGCCGGGCGTGGTGGCTCACACCTGTAGTCCCAGCACTCTGGGAGGCTGAGGCGGGAGGATCACCTGGGTTAGGAGTTCGAGACCAGCTTGGCTAACATGGTGAAAACCTGTCACTACTAAAAATACAAAAAATTAGCCGGGCATGGTGGTGCACGCCTGTAATCCCAGCTACTCAAGAGGCTGAGGCAGGAGAATCGCTTGAACCCGGGAAGCAGAGGTTGGAGTGGGCCAGGATTGCGTCACTGCACTCCAGCCTGGGTGACAGAGTGAGACTCCGTCTCAAAAAAAAGTCAGCTACAAAGATAAAAAGGCAAGCCACAGTCTGGGAGAAGATATTTGCAAGACATAGATCTGACAAAGGACTTGAATATAAAACGTGAAGAAACTCTCCTAACTCAATAAGAAGACAAGCAATATAATTTAAAAGCTGGCAAAAAATTTGAACAGGTACTTTATCAGAGAAAACATAAAGATAGCAAATAAGCAATGAAAATATCCTCAATATCAATTATTATGGAAATGTAAATTAAAACTCAATGAGATACTGTATTAATTTGCTAAGGCTACCATAACAAAATACCACAGACTGGGTGGCTTAAACAACAGAAATTTATTTTCTCATAGTTCTGGAGGCTGGAAGTCCAAGATCAAGGTGTCTGCTGGGTTGGTTCCTTCTAAGGGCTGTGAAGAAAGGGTCTGTTCGATGCCTCTCTCCTTGGCTTGCAGATGACCATCTTCTACTTACGTCTCTTCAGATCATCTTCCCTCTATGCATATTTATTTCTGCATCCAAATTCCCCACACTTTTTTTTTTTTTTAAGACAGAGTCTCACTCTGTCACCCATGCTGGAGTGCAGTAGCACGATCAGGGCTCACTGCGGCCTTGACCTCCCAGGCTCAAGTGATCCTCCTGCCTCAGCCCCCCAAGTAGCTGGGATTACAGGTATGCACCACCATTTCCCTCCCTTTTTTTAAGGACACCAGTTGTATTGGATCAGGGCACACCCTAGTGATCTCATTTTAACTTGATTACATTTGACCCTATCTCCAAGTAAGGTCAAATTCTGACATGCTAGAGGTTAGGCCTTCAACATATGGATTTGTGGGGAGGGGGACACAATTCAGCCTATAACATCACTGCATACGTATTAGAATAGTTAAATTTTAAAAGATGTGTTGGCAAGGATGTGGCACACCAGAAACTCTCATGCTGCTGCTGGTGGGAATGGAAAATGGTGCAATGACTTTAGAAAAGCTTGGTGGTTTCTTATAAAGTTAAACACATACCAAGAAAACCACACAGAAATTCCACTCCTAGGTATTTGCCCAAGAGAAATGAAAGCATATGCCTATACAAAGACTTGTACAGTAATATTCATAATAGCTTTATCTGTAATAGCCCTGAACTAGAAACAACTCAAATATCCTACAAGTCAATGGATAGACAAGTTACGGAATATTATTCAGGAACAAAAAGGAATAAACTATTGATACACATAGCAACTTGGATGAATCCCAAAATAATTGGTCAGTGCAATGAAAGAATCCAGACACAAAAGATTTCATTTATATAAAACTAGAAAATGTAAACTATTAAGTAGTGAAAAGAAGCAGATCAGTTACTGTGAATGGACAAAGGGATAGGGGAAGGGAGAAATTACAAAGGATCATGAAGACATACTTGTTATTTCAATTGTGCTGATGGGTTCATATATATATATATATATATATATATATATATATATATCAAATACATCTATGAAACCATCAGCATGTATGTGTATATAAATATATATATACACACAATATGTTAATGCATCAAATTATACTTTTGAAATATGTGCAATTTATGTTTATATCAATTATACTTCAATTAAGCTGAAAATAAAGGGAGGTGATTATATCAACTCTTTTTTTTTTAGAGTGATTGCAAAGTTATACCACTTTCATTTCATTTCACAATCATTTCACATGTGTTGTTATTCCAATTACAATTCTAATGTTACTTTAGATTTTTTTTTTAATTATACTTTAAGTTTCAGGGTACATGTGCACAACGTGCAGGTTTGTTACATATGTATACATGTGCTATGTTGGTGTGGTGCACCCATTGACTCGTCATTTAACATTAGGTGTATCTCCTAATGCTATCCCTCCCCCCTCCCCCCACCCCACAACAATCCCGAGAGTGTGATGTTCCCCTTCCTGTGTCCATGTATTCTCATTGTTCAGTTCCCACCTATGATTGAGAACATGTGGTGTTTGGTTTTTTGTCCTTGCGATAGTTTGCTGAGAATGATGGTTTCCAGCTTCATCCATGTCCCTACAAAGGACATGAACTCATCGTTTCTATGGCTGCATAGTATTCCATGGTGTATATGTGCCACATTTTCTTAATCCACTCTATCACTGTTGGACATTTGGGTTGGTTCCAAGTCTTTGCTATAGTGAATAGTGCCGCGATAAACATACGTGTGCATGTGTCTTTATAGCAGCATGATTTATATTCCTTTGGGTATATACCCAGTAATGGGATGGCTGGGTCAAATGGTGTTTCTAGTTCTAGATCCCTGAGGAATCGCCACACTGACTTCCACAATGGTTGAACTAGTTTACAGTCCCACCAACAGTGTAAAAGTGTTCCTATTTCTCCACATCCTCTCCAGCACCTGTTGTTTCCTGACTTTTTAATGATCACCATTCTAACTGGTGTGAGATGGTATCTCATTGTGGTTTTGATTTGCATTTCTCTGATAGCCAGTGATGATGAGCATTTTTTCACATGTCTTTTGGCTGCATAAATGTCTTCTTTTGAGAAGGGTCTGTTCATATCTTTTGCCCACTTGTTGATGGGGTTGTTTGTTTTTTTCTTGTAAATTTGTTTGAGTTTATTGTAGATTCTGGATATTAGCCCTTTGTCAGATGAGTAGATTGCAAACATTTTCTCCCATTTTGTAGGTTGCCTGTTCACTCTGATGGTAGTTTCTTTTGCTGTGCAGAAGCTCTTTAGTTTAATTAGATCCCATTTGTCAATTTTGTCTTTTGTTGCCATTGCTTTTGGTGTTTTAGACATGAAGTCCTTGCCCATGCTTATGTCCTGAATGGTATTGCCTAGGTTTTCTTCTAGGGTTTTTATGGTTTTTATGTAAGTCTTTAATCCATCTTGAATTAATTTTTGTATAAGGTTTAAGGAAGGGATCCAGTTTCAGCTTTCTACATATGGCTAGCCAGTTTTCCCAGCACCATTTATTAAAGAGGGACTCCTTTCCCCATTGCTTGTTTTTGTCAGGTTTGTCAAAGATCAGATAGTTGTAGATATGCGGCATTATTTCTGAGGGCTCTGTTCTGTTCCATTGGTCTATATCTCTGTTTTGGTACCAGTACCATGCTGTTTTGGTTACTGTAGCCTTGTAGTATAGTTTGAAGTCAGGTAGCGTGATGCCTCCAGCTTTGTTCTTTTGGCTTAGGATTGACTTGGCAATGTGGGCTCTTTTTTGGTTCCATATGAACTTTAAAGTAGTTTTTTCCAATTCCGTGAAGAAAGTCATTGGTAGCTTGATGGGGATGGCATTGAATCTATAAATTACCTTGGGCAGTATGGCCATTTTCATGATATTGATTCTTCCTACCCATGAGCATGAAATGTTCTTCCATTTGTTTGTGTCCTCTTTTATTTCCTTGAGCAGTGGTTTGCAGTTCTCCTTGAAGAGGTCCTTCACATCCCTTGTAGGTTGGATTCCTAGGTATTTTATTCTCTTTGAAGCAATTGTGAATGGGAGTTCACTCATGATTTGACTCTCTGTTTGTCTGTTATTGGTGTATAAGAATGCTTGTGATTTTTGTACATTGATTTTGTATCCTGAGACTTTGCTGAAGTTGCCTATCAGCTTAAGGAGATTTTGGGCTGAGACAATGGGGTTTTCTAGATATACAATCATGTCATCTGCAAACAGGGACAATTTGACTTCCTCTTTTCCTAATTGAATACCCTTTATTTCTTTCTCCTGCCTGATTACCCTGGCCAGAACTTCCAACACTATGTTGAATAGGAGTGGTGAGAGAGGGCATCCCTGTCTTGTGCCAGTTTTCAAAGGGAATGCTTCCAGTTTTTGGCCATTCAGTATGATATTGGCTGTGGGTTTGTCATAGATAGCTCTAATTATTTTGAGATATGTCCCATCAATACCTAATTTACTGAGAGTTTTTAGCAGGAAGCGTTGTTGAATTTTGTCAAAGGCCTTTCCTGCATCTATTGAGATAATCATGTGGTTTTTGTCTTTGGTTCTGTTTATATGCTGGATTACATTTATTGATTTGCGTATGTTGAACCAGCCTTGCATCCCAGGGATGAAGCCCACTTGATCATGGTGGATAAGCTTTTTGATGTGTTGCTGGATTCGGTTTGCCAGTATTTTATTGAGGATTTTTGCATCAATGTTCATCAGGGATATTGGTATAAAATTCTCTTTTTTGGTTGTGTCTCTGCCAGGCTTTGGTATCAGGATGATGCTGGCCTCATAAAATGAGTTAGGGAGGATTCCCTCTTTTTCTATTGATTGGAATAGTTTCAGAAGGAATGGTACCAGCTCCTCCTTGTACCTCTGGTAGAATTCGGCTGTGAATCCATGTGGTCCTGGACTTTTTTTGGTTGGCAAGCTACTAATTATTGCCTCAATTTCAGAGCCCGTTATTGGTCTATTCAGAGATTCAACTTCTTCCTGGTTTAGTCTTTTGGGAGGGTGTATGTGTCAAGGAATTTATCCATTTCTTCTAGATTTTCTAGTTTATTTGCGTAGAGGTGTTTGTAGTATTCTCTGATGGTAGTTTGTATTTCTGTGGGGTCGGTGGTGATATCCCCTTTATCATTTTTTATTGCGTCTATTTGATTCTTCTCTCTTTTCTTTTTTATTAGTCTTGCTAGCAGTCTATCAATTTTGTTGATCTTTTCAAAAAACCAGCTCCTGGATTCATTCATTTTTTTGAAGGGTTTTTGTTTCTCTATTTCCTTCAGTTCTTCTCTGATCTCAGTTATTTCTTGCCTTCTGCTAGCTTTTGAATGTGTTTGCTCTTGCTTCTCTAGTTCTTGTAATTGTGATGTTAGGGTGTCAATTTTAGATCTTTCCCGCTTTCTCTTGTGGGCATGTAGTGCTATAAATTTCCCTCTACACACTGCTTTGAATGTGTCCCAGAGATTCTAGTAGGTTGTGTCTTTGTTCTCGTTGGTTTCAAAGAACATCTTTATTTCTGCCTTCATTTCGTTATGTACCCAGTAGTCATTCAGGAGCAGGTTGTTCAGTTTCCATGTAGTTGAGCAGTTTTGAGTGAGTTTCTTAATCCTGAGTTCTAGTTTGATTGCACTGTGGTCTGAGAGACAGTTTGCTATAATTTCTGTTCTTTTACATTTGCTGAGGAGTGCTTTACTTCCAACTATGTGCTCAATTTTGGAATAGGTGTGGTGTGGTGCTGAAAAGAATGTATATTCTGTTGATTAGGGGTGGAGAGTTCTGTAGATGTCTATTAGGTCTGCTTGGTGCAGAGCTGAGTTCAATTCCTGGGTATCCTTGTTAACTTTCTGTCTCGTTGATCTGTCTAATGTTGACAGTGGGGTGTTAAAGTCTCCCATTATTATTGTGTGGGAGTCTAAGTCTCTTTGTAGGTCTCTAAGGACTTGCTTTATGAATCTGGGTGCTCCTGTATTGGGTGCATATATATTTAGGATAGTTAGCTCTTCTTGTTGAATTGATCCCTTTACCATTATGTAATGGCTTTCTTTGTCTCTTTTGATCTTTGTTGGTTTAAAGTCTGTTTTATCAGACAGTAGGATTGCAACCCCTGCCTTTTTTTGTTTTCCATTTGCTTGGTAGATCTTCCTCCTTCCCTTTATTTTGAGCCTATGTGTGTCTCTGCATGTGAGATGGGTTTCCTGAATACAGCCCACTGATGGGTCTTGACTCTTTATCCAATTTGCCAGTCTGTGTCTTTTAATTGGGGCATTTAGCCCATTTACATTTAAAGTTAATATTGTTATGTGTGAATTTGATCCTGTCATTATGATGTCAGCTGGTGATTTTGCTCGTTAGTTGATGCAGTTTCTTCCTAGCCTCGATGGTCTTTACAATTTGGCATGTTTTTGCAGTGGCTGGTACTGGTTGTTCCTTTCCATGTTTAGTGCTTCCTTCAGGAGCTCTTTTAGGGCAGACCTGGTGGTGAGAAAATCTCTCAGCATTTGCTTGTCTGTAAAGGATTTTATTTCTCCTTCACTTATGAAGCTTAATTTGGCTGGATATGAAATTCTGGGTTGAAAATTCTTTTCTTTAAGAATGTTGAATATTGGCCCCCACTCTCTTCTGGCTTGTAGAGTTTCTGCGGAGAGATCCGCTGTTAGTCTGATGGGCTTCCCTTTGTGGGTAACCTGACCTCTCTCTCTGGCTGCCCTTAACATTTTTTCCTTCATTTCAACTTTGGTGAATCTGACAATTATGTGTCTTGGAGTTGCTCTTCTCGAGGAGTATCTTTGTGGTGTTCTCTGTATTTCCTGAATTTGAATGTTGGCCTGCCTTGCTAGATTGGGGAAGTTCTCCTGGATAATATCCTGCAGAGTGTTTTCCAACTTGGTTCCATTCTCCCCATCACTTTTAGGTACACCAATCAAACATAGATTTGGTCTTTTCACATAGTCTCATATTTCTTGGAGGCTTTGTTCATTTCTTTTTATTCTCTTTTCTCTAAACTTCTCTTCTCACTTCATTTCATTCATTTGATCTTCCATCACTGATACCCTTTCTTCCAGTTGATCGAATCGGCTACTGAGGCTCGTGCATTAGTCACGTAGTTCTCGTGCCGTTGTTTTCAGCTCCATCAGGTCCTTTAAGGACTGCTCTGCATTGGTTATTCTAGTTAGCCATTCGTCTAATCTTTTTTCAAGGTTTTTAACTTCTTTGCCATGGGTTCGAACTTCCTCCTTTAGCTCGGAGTAGTTTGATCGTCTGAAGCCTTCTTCTCTCAACTCGTCAAAGTCATTCTCCATCCAGCTTTGTTCCATTGCTGGTGAGGAGCTGCGTTCCTTTGGAGGAGGAGAGGCACTCTGATTTTTAGAATTTTCAGTTTTTCTGCTCTGTTTTTTCCCCATCTTTGTGGTTTTATCTACCTTTGGTCTTTGATGATGGTGACATACCGATGGGGTTTTGGTGTGGATGTCCTTTCTGTTTGTTGTTTTCCTTCTAACAGTCAGGACCCTCAGCTGCAGGTCTGTTGGATTTTGCTGGAGGTCCACTCCAGACCCTGTTTGCCTGGGTATCAGCAGTGGAGGCTGCAAAACAGTGGATATTGGTGAACCGCAAATGTTGCTGCCTGATCGTTCCTCTGGAAGTTTTGTCTCAGAGGAGTACCCAGCCGTGTGAGGTGTCAGTCTTCCCCTACTGGGGGGTGCCTCCCAGTTAGGCTACTCAGGGGTCAGGGACCCACTTGAGGAGGCAGTCTGTCCGTTCTCAGATCTCCAGCTGCGTGCTGGGAGAACCACTACTCTCTTCAAAGCTGTCAGATAGGGACATTTAAGTCTGCAGAGGATTCTGCTGTCTTTTGTTTGGCTATGCCCTGCCCCCAGAGGTGGAGTCTAGAGAGGCAGGCAGGCCTCCTTGAGCTGCAGTGGGCTCCACCCAGTTGGAGCTTCCCAGCCACTTTGTTTACCTACTCACGCCTCGGCAATGGCAGGTTCCCCTTCCCCAGCCTCACTGCTGCCTTGCAGTTTGATCTCAGACTGCAGTGCTAGCAATGAGTGAGGCTCTGTGGACGTAGGACCCTCCAAGCCAGGCACAGGATACAATATCCTGGTGTGCCGTTTGTTAAGACCATTGGAAAAGTATAGTATTAGGGTGGGAGTGACCCGATTTTCCAGGTGCCGTCTGTCACCCCTTTCCTTGGCTAGGAAAGGGAATTCCCTGACCCCTTGCACTTCCCAGGTGAGGCGATGCCTCTCCCTGCTTTGGCTCACACTCGGTGCGCTGCACCCACTGTCCTGCACCCACTGTCTGACACTCCCCAGTGAGATGAATCCAGTACCTCAGTTGGAAATGCAGAAATCATTCATCTTCTGCATCGCTCATGCTGGGAGCTGTAGACTGGAGCTGTTCCTGTTCGGCCATCTTGGCTCCCTAGATCCCAACTCTCTTTAAAAAGAAATCTGATAATTCTAATGCTATTCAAATTGCTGTAGACTATAGAAAAAATTTTTAAAATGTTTATATATAAAGTTGGACTAAATTCTGATAAATATTGCAAATACATACATACAGTATCACAGTCTAATCTCAGTTACGTATTTTGAGGCAAAAATTCCGAATAAAATATGAGCAAACAATGTAGCAGCATATTGATCAAATTAATGACTAAGTACATTTTACTCAGGATTAAGAAAAATTCAATATTAGTAAATTTTTAAAATATTATTTGTCATACTAATAGATCTGGTGGGAGACGAAGTGATCCTCTCTCTAGATACTGAAAAAGTATTTGGTAGAAATTAGCCACTATTTTTTGCCACTATTTTTGATAGAAAAAAATACACATAAAAAATAGGAAGATATAGACTCTTTAAGATGTGCACCCACACACATAGCTATCTTTGGTCAAAAGCCAGCATATTACTTAAATGGAAAAAGGCTAGAGCCTTTCTCATTAAAGTCAAGATCAAGACAAAGAAAACCATTATTTGTCACTGTATTTGAGGTACTACTGAGCACAATTAGATGGGGAAAGAAAACAGAAGTATAAAAATTGAGAAGAGGTAAACTATCAAAAGAATCAATGGAAAAATGATTACCAATACAGAATTTAGTAAAGCAGCAGGGTAAAAATTTAATAAACAGCCATATGTCCAAAGAAAAATGAAAAGAAATGACCACGCTTACAAAAGTAACAAAAATTCTCCATTACCTAGGAATGAAATTCTCAAGAAATATTAATATACAATATCTATGAAAGCAAAACTTTGAAGGACTCTATATATATGTGTGTGTGTGTGTGTGTGTGTGTGTGTATATATATATATCATGTTCTTCATGAAGAATTGCCTTCATAAAGATTTTTTAATAAGAAAAAGACAATTCTTCAAAAATGGGCAAAAGACCTGTAGCATTTCACAAGGTAAAATACAAATACCCAATACAAGTATGAAAAGATCCTCAATTTCATGGGTTATCAGAGAAATACAAATTAAAGCCAAAATGAAATACTATGTACCTGCAAGATTGGCAAAAATGACTGTCTGACAATATCATGTTCACAAAGATAAAGAATAAGGAGAACCCTCATAACCAAGGGTAGGAGTCTAAATTGCCAGAACTGTGGCACTTAGAAAAGTACAGTTTGTCATTGTCTTCTAAAGCTGGAAATTTATATTTTCTCCAGATTATAAACAAACCATTCAGAAACTTGCCCACTTATGTACCAAGACACAAGTAAAAGAATAGCAGCATTGTTTCTGATAGCCCCAGATTGGAAACAACCCAAATTTCCATCAACAATAAAATGATACATTAAAGTGGTGTATTCTTACAGTGGAATACTGCACAGCAGTAGAAATGAATGAACTAGAGCTACATGAACAACCCGATGAATGGCACAAAGCAATATTTTGCATTCTCACAAAAGAATATGTATAATATGTTTCCTTTTAGAGAATGTCAAACTAAATTACCACATAGATGATGAAATTATATGAAAGTGAGAAAGTGATTATAATAAAAGCCAGGTTCCTTTTAGGGCAAAGGAAAGGAAATAGTAAGGAAGACTTGGATGCTTAGACTGTCCTTTTGTCCCTTTTTTTTTTTTAACCCAAATGATATTTAGACAGGTGTCCACTTTATAATGTTTCATTATGCCTCCTATTTTTTTGTGTACTTTTTGCCAAGTTATTTCAGAATTTCAAAGGAAAAAACCCCCCTACAATAGTAAGATGTGCTAAGTATATAAAAAGATACCAAGAAAAAAGGAATGGCAGATGGTTCTTAAATATGAGACAAGATGCTCAGCCTCACTTGTAAAAAAATAGATGCAAATTAAAATTATATTCAGATACCACTTTTTGCTTATAAGATTGGCAAAAATCCATAGCACGCCTTGTTAGTGAGGCTGTGGGAAACAGACATCCTCATATATTAAATCTGCATGATCCCTGTGGAGGGTAATTTGGCAATATCTATTAAATTACAGATGCATATTACCATTTCATCCAGTAATCCAATTTTTGGGAATTTCATGTAAAGTACACCTCCTTATGTCTAAAATGATTTATGTACAGTATTATTCAAGCATTATTTGTAACAGCAAGTAAATGAAAACCACTCAAATGCCCATCAATTGAGAACTGGTTACATAAATTATGGTACAGCTGTACGAGGGAATCCATGCAGCTAGAGCAAGGCAATGAGGAGGGTCTGTATGTACTGACATGTAAAACTCTCTAGGATGCATTATCAAACAAAGGGAAAGATGCAGAACATTGTATATAGAGGCTACCTTTGTTTGTACGTGTGTAACAACTCTGGAGGGATATACATAACAGTGAAAGATGATAACTATAGGAGGGCAGGGAGTGGAAAATAAGTGAGAGATGGAAGTGGGAAGGAGACTTCTGCTATATAACCTTTATATATAATACACATATATAATATATACATACAAAATATGTAAATTATATAATTTTATATATAAATATAAAACTATATAATTATGTATATTCTATATAAAATTATATATTATATGATAGATTATATATTTATAATATATTAAATTACATATTTTATATAGTGTATTTAAATGTTTGAAACAAGTAGATATAATATTAATTCAAAAAGTTAATTTTTTTTTTTTTTGAGACAGAGTCTCGCTCTGTCTCCCAGGCTAGAGTGCAGTGGCACTATCTCAGCTCATTGTAACCTCTGCCTCCTGGGTTCAAGTGATTCTTGTGCCTCAGCCTCCTGAGTAGCTGGGATTACAGGCATGTGCTACCATGCCCAGCTAATAAAAAACTTAAATTCTCAAAGGAAAAAATATATATACACAAAAATGTTTACCGATGGAACCATAAGTCTGTTGGTGTTTGGGGATGGAGAAGAGACAAATGACTTCACACTCAGGTGAACAGGACCAAGTCTGTGAAAATAAAATGACACAACTCTAATAACCAAAAAGTCACTGGAAGGTTCTTGGATAACACTGAAATACCATTAAGAGCCCTTGATACCTTGTGGCAAAGGGGGAATCAACAGTCATTGATTGATAAAAGTTACTAGGAAAATTGTTTCCTTTTTATACCCCATTAAAGTTGAGTCTGCTCACTAAACCTTTGCAATTGTGAAGCGTATCAAAGGATACAGAGTTGTGTCTGCATTTCCTATTTAGTTAAACTTGAAGTTTCATTATTCTTTAATTGAATGATACATCGCCAGAAGTTAAGTAATTTCTCTTAGATATCAGTAGAAAGCTTATTTACTGATAGACATTAGCATCTTAGTAACATTTATGATTGATGAGTCAATTCCACTAACATTTCCTTGCTTGGAAAATTCTATGATCTGGTCCAAGAAATTTCTCAATCTCTACCTCTTTTAATTCTATTATATGTAACATGTCAGGCAATTTTCTTGTGTAGACATTTTTCATTTTAAAACTGCATCATGTCGTCTTTTAAAAATTTTCAGTGACAATCATGAAACCAAATTTAAGTTAAAATTCAACCATGTCTGATATTACAAATGCAAATACCACCAACATAATGTTTAAATGGTCAGATCATTTCTATACATGGCATAGACAATCACAATCACATCACAACTTGCTGCTTTGCCTAAAGGCTGGCAAATTTTCTTAAACATGTATTGCCATTTGGGAATTGTTAAAATATTTTAATGCCTCATATTATTGAGAAGATATGTTCAAGACTTGTTAAAGTGAATTTACGTAATTTTCATCAGTACCTTTAGGATATAGTTTAGGGAATAGGTAGTAAATTTCAAAGTTTGTAGGTGAATTGACTGAATAACATCATTTAAGATTGTGTTTAGCTGCATATGGCCTAACTGTGGTGATATGTCCAAATAGGGGTATATTTCTCACATCGGTGGAATTCAGAGGTTGGCAATCTGATCTGCAAGCAATGTCCTAGGATCCTTCCACTTTGAACTCCACCATCCTTAGAGTGTGGTTTTCCATACTGTGCTTGTTACCCAGTGAATATGTGATGGTGACTCCATCACCAGCCTTATGTCTGCATTCCAGCAAGAAAGCATCAACAAGACAGGGAGGTGGGGGTAGCAGCCATATCAGAATATCAGTCACATTCCCAGAAACCCCTTGTTGACATCTGTTCAGGTCCCATCAGCTACAATGTGTCACCTGGCCTTACTTCACTGCAAGGGAATCTGGAAGGGTATTTTTAGCTAGGCACGCTGCCTTCCAGAACAGAAGTCTGTGTCATCAAAGAGAAAATGGGCATTGAGTATAGGTATCTAGCAGTATCTTCCCTGTCACCAAGAGGTTAAGACAAGTTAAGGACTTGTCTCCTTACTGTCAGTTAAATGCCCCACGATTCAGAGGTGGGGGCGCTGAGGAGAAAAATGAAAAAGAGCATATTCACGCAACAATATATTTCATCCAAAAATCCCACTGTTTTTAGATACAAAATTAGCTCCTGTGTGGTTATTAAAGAAGATTTAGGTTATGTAATCCAGAATCCTGGTGTAACCCTGGACCACATGTGATTGTTAGGATCACCATGAACTAGACCTTGCTCCACATGGCTATTCTTGTTTCCAGTCACATTGTCTTCTCACGTTCACCACAGAATGGATGGCAAGACAGAGCTGGTCATTCGCTGCCCCACAAGAATATTTCTATAAAGGTTTCTAGTGGAGGCCATGAACAATCATCCTTGGAAGAGAGTCTTGACTGGAAATAGCTGTCATTGGGTATACCTTGTAGAGAATCAAGGACCCAGAATGGGTCTTTTGGTCCTGTAACTAAAGAACACAGACCTTAGCATGGCCTGTATCAGATCAACTGAGTTCAGTTTTCTGGACTCCTCAAGATTATCATTCAAAAAAATGATTTTATATGTGATTTACAATGATTAGACCAAGAAAGCAGACTGAACCCACATGCCAGCTTTCCCTTCTACCCTCAAAGCTGTTGAAATGACAGAAAAGATATACACACACAGTTTTGAAAATAATTAATGCATGTCAGTGCTGGAAAATAGGAATCTCTGAAAGAGGGAAAATGAGATTGAATAGAAAGCAAGAAAAAATTAGAGATTTTAGAAACTAAAATTTTGATTGTTGACATTTTCTGCCGTGCAAGTCCTAGTTATTTATAAGAAGTTTTAAGAGAGGGGCCGGGCGCGGTGGCTCACACCTGTAATCCCAGCACTTTGGGAGGCTGAGGTGGGTGGATCACCTGAGGTCGGGAGTTCGAGACCCCAGCCTGGCCAACGTGGTGAAAGCCCGTCTTACTAGAAATACAAAAATTAGCTGGGCGTGGTGATGCATGCCTGTAATCCCAGCTACTTGGGTTGCTGAGGCAGGAGAATCGCTTGAACCGGGGAGGCAGAGGTTGCAGTGAGCCAAGATTATGCCACCGCACTCCAGCCTGGGTGACAGAGTGAGACTCTGTCTCAAAAAAATAAAACCCCAAAACAAAACAAAAACAAGTTTTAAGAGAGGAAATAAAGTGTCTTAAGCCCTGTTTTCTAAGCAGTTAGCACCTTCCAAATTAGTAGTTTAAAAATCATGGAGTATAGCTCTTTAAAGATGAAGATAAATCATAGTAGGGTAGAATCACTACCAAAGTTTTGGATTTGGAAAGGACTTTGGCCATTCTGAAAAAATGAGGCAAGTCTAACCAATTTGCTAGCCCAGCACAAAAGAGGATGTTGCTTCTATAGTGTGATATGGTTTGGCTCTGTGTCCCCACCCAAATCTCATCTCAAATTGTAATCCCCATGTGTCAAGGGAGGGACCTGGTGGGAGGTGATTGGATCATGGGGCAGATTCCCCCATGATGTTCTTAGGATAGTGAGGGAATTCTCACAAGATCTCATGGTTTTAAAAGTGGCAGTTTTTCCTGCACCCTCTCGCTCTTCTGCTGCCCTGTAAGATGTGCCTTGCTTCCTCTTCGCCTTCTGCCATGATTATAAGTTTCCTGAGGCCTCGTCAGTCATTCAGAACTGTGAGTCAATTAAACCTCTTTTTCTTTATAAGTTACGCAGTCTCAGGTAATCTTTATAGCAGCATGAGAATGGACTAATACATAGTGCCTGAATGATTTGCTAGCAATAAAAAAAATCCATCATATTTCATGTGGTCCAAACAAGGCTTAAGTTGTGACAGGTGCCAAAACTACACTGGAAGCCTTGACAGAACCAGCTGACTCTTCTATACAGTTTCCAGCCTCTAGGCTTTTCAAGTCTTAGCTGGAAATACTAGAAACAAAGTCTTTCCCAGTCTTTTGAAGTTTGTCTAGCAAAATCACTTTGTGATTTTGTGCTTAAAAAAAAAAAGAAGAAGCATGAATCTGATTCTGTAAAACAAATTAGTGTGTAATGAAATGATTTAAAATTTACTACATTCATTATCTGCTCATAGTATCTGGTGTGATTACATTAAAACTCCATTAGAGAAATATGGAATGGTCCAGATTCAGAATTATCTGATTTCTTAATGAGGAACAATAGGGCATTTAGTTGGTTAAGAAACAACAGTTCCTTTGAATTACAAATTAACTCAATATTAGTGTTGTGGTTTTAATGCATTTAATATTTCATCACAGTAGGAAGTCTACTAGGCTTGAGACAGGACATCTCAATTCTAATTCTAGGTCTGTTACCACATGCCTCATGACTTTGAACAAAGCAGTTAACCTCTCTGAGCTTTGGTTTCCTCATCTGGAATATGAAAGGATTGGACTAAAATATTCTCCAAGGTTTTCTTCCTAACTCTGAAATACGGTGGTTCCATTTCTTTTTTTCCCCCCAGGGCCCTTTGATTCCCACACCTCCTTCCTCTATTCCAGGCTTCTAGGTTACTCTTGCCTCTACTTCCCCCACTGCCCAAGGTTATTCTTTGTGACATCTGCCATCCTAGGCAGTAGCACCTATCCCAGGCTTCTTCCTCCTGGACACCAATGAAAACTTCCTCTCATGTGTCCCATTTCCTCAGAGCCATTCTACACGTGGATTTCCTTCTCTGAATAACAGTTCCTTCACCTAAGGGAGTGAAGTGACGCTGAGGATAGGAGCTACTGTGGCTAGGGCAGGGTTGGGGAAAGGTCAAGTTCTGCTGTCTGTTCCATGCTGCTGGGGCCTGTTGCGTGAGAATCGAGGCTTGCGTACTTGCCTTTAATGTGGGTCTGTAAGGAGGGTCCTGGGGGGTTGAGAGACTGAGGGAGGGAGATGCCCACCTGGTTTTGAATAAAAGCAAAGGGAAAGCCTTTGCCCAACATGCATAAACGTCAGCCTATTCAGGCTGGGCATGGTGGCTCACGCCTGTAATCCCAGCACTTTGGGGGGCTGAAGTGGGCAGATCACTTGAGGTCAGGAGTTCGAGAGCGGCCTGGACAATGTGGTGAAACCCCGTCTCTACTAAAAATATGAAAATTAGCCAGGCAGGTTGGCACGCGCCTGTAATCCTAGCCACTCAGGAGGCTGAGGCACGAAAATCACTTGAACCTGGGAGGCGGAGATTGCAGAGGTTGCAGTGAGCCAACATGGCGCCACTGCACTCCAGCCTGGGTGACAGTGCGAGACCCTGTCTCAAAAAAAAAAAAAGTCTATTCAGTCATTTAAATTTTAATTTAAACTTACGCAAATGAGGTAGAGTACATGTAATTGCATCTGTGTACATAATAACCATTATGTACAGTGTTGTAATAATTTATATCTATACTTAAACATAAGTGGTTTTGTTTTGATTTTTGCCTATGGGGATCTCACCCCAAACCCTTAGATGTTTGTCTAATTCTCTCTCGGGTTTTTTCTGCCCATCATGGGCTTTGAAGGAAGTTTGCTGGGCAGTAGAGACACCAAGGCACTAAGAGTAAAAATTTCTTCATGGCCGGGTGCGGTGGCTCACACCTGTAATCCCAGCACTTTGGGAGGCCGAGGGAGGCAGATCACGAGGTCAAGAGATCAAGACCATCCTGGTCAACATGGTGAAACCCCGTCTCTACTAAAAAATACAAAAATTAGCTGGGTGTGGTGGCACGTGCCTGTAGTCCCAGCTACTTGGGAGGCCGAGGTAGGAGAATCGCTTGAACCTGGGGGGCGGAGGTTGCAGTAAGCCCAGATCGCACCACTGCATTCCAGCCTGGCAACAGAGCAAGACTCCATCTAAAAAAAAAAAAAAAATTAATTAATTCACAATCCCCTATATTGCCTGTCCTCCCAATTCTATGAGTCAGTTGGCATATTTATCTTATAACCCTGCATGTCACAATACCCACCCTGCCTGTGACCCAAACACAAGGTCACAAAGTGCCTGCGTGACATTTACAAGCTCTCCTGAACCCCAAATCTTCTCTCCAAAAACCAAGTTCCCCCGAGCATCTCCCTTCTGGATGGATTGGCATGGTTGTAGAGTATATTTATGCACATGTGTGTTTACCCTGCAGGCTAAGTGATTGCAGCTTCTCTTTTAACACGCTTACATGAGAAATGTCTCCTGCATATAGCCTGAAACTTTATTTTTCACTTTAACCAAAACATTATCTCTCACCTATCAATATCTTGGCCCACGTGGTGTTGTGCCACGGCAGAAATACTGAGTATGAGAAAACCAAAAGGCAAGGAAATTCTGTGTCGCCTCCCTTGGTATTCCACCTCCCCACCCCCACCCTCGTGTCTAGACATTGCAGCAGGCTTAACAGTTACCACCCTTTTTTTTTTTCCACATTTCATTAATTGGACAAGTCAAACAATCGCTAATCTGGCAATTCTGTGCAAGTTAAAACACTGGAACATGTTACCCCGCATTGCCTGCCAAATCACACTAAAATTCGGATCCACGAAGGTGCTGAAAGACTTTTTCAAAAGTTTGTCCTGCCTGGCTTCCTGCTTTTTCGGCCGACTTTGAAAAGGGATCAGAGGAAGCTGTTCAAGAAGCAAATCAACAACAACAGCATAAACAGCAAAACAGCATAAAAAATAACACTTCTTTGTTATTTTTCACAATTAACTGAAATCCAGAGTTTGGTGGCAGGGGAGAAAAAAAGGGAGTGGGACAGAGCGTCCCCACACCCTGAGATAATTGCATCAGGGTGGAAAAATGACCACCACACCCAGGCGGTCAGATTTCTGGGGTCACTTAATCACGCTCTGCACACCTGTGCTCAGAAGGCAGTGCAGCTGCAGACACAAATACTGTTAGATGAAGAAGCCAATGATCCTGTTCCTTGCTAGATTTAGCTGCTTCCAAATGTCCAAGATGAGCTCAAACAATCTTTGAAAAGTGAAGTGAAGCAAAAGCACAAAAATGGTCTCTGCAGTGTGCTCTGCCAGAGTCAGTCTCGGGGCCAAAACTTCTCTTCCACACTGCTTCAACCTGTGCTCGGCCTTCCACTAGCCCACAGGACCTCAGTTTCCCATGGCCATGATGTTCTTCAGATGCTCTGTGCATGGGGCGAGCTGTATAAATGAGGGTCTCCAGCAGACCCCAGAAGTACCGTCAGATTGAGTCCCTCTAAATATCATCAACTCTGTCTGCACCTCTTCCTCCTGGGTTTCCTTGCTTATAGTATTCCCAGTAAATGTTACTAAGAGGTGAGAATGTGAACACTTGCAGGAAGCAGAACAGCAATCATTCTTTCATCACAGATTTCCATGGAAATCCAGGAAATGAAACAGAAAGGAAGTTGATCAAAGAACTGCTTTAGGTTTGTAGTCTGATTTTCATGAAAGTTCGTTCAGGAGACCATACTAGACAATCTCAAAGACCAATTTAGGCCTGAAATGCATCTTCTTTTTTTTTTCCCTACACATTAGGATTTGGGTCTGGATTGGGAACAGGATGTAATATACCAATACAGGCCATGAGCCTGGCTGCTGAACTTCCTGAGTTCAAAAGACGTGGTTGGTTGCCACATCCCGCCATGGATTTGGTCTATTTTATAGCTAGAGGCAAAGATCCAGTGTTTGAGCAGAAATCCTGGGATGGTTCTGAGATTGCTGTTGATGATCCCAAACCTACCCTGGAAGTCTTCAGAAGGACAAATCTATCCATCTCTCTAGGGCACTTAGAAGAGGACCTGGGGTTGGCCTGGAGCCTCTGAAAGCAATTACCAGCAAAGCCGATTCCCTCGTGGGAATCCACTTCAGCTTTTACACTCATCTAGAGCTAGCACAGATGATAAAGCAGGTTTGCCGTCAGTGCCCTGTATCCCCTGTTAGAGCCCACAGACCCCTTATTGTTCTTTCCCTTTCTTCCTCCCAGGTACTTAATGCACTCATGAGGCCCCTGCATGGTCCAGCGTATTCCACCAGCTAGATGAACCCTGGTGCCTCCCAGCCACTGTCACACCTCACTTGGATCCTGCAGCAGTGTCTGGTCTTGGACCTCCTACAATCTGTTTTCTATCCTAGAGCACAAATCTTATCAGGTTATAGTCTTTCCTAAAACCCTTCCTTGGCTTTCCATTAGCATTAGGTTGGACGGCACGCTTCTTTCCATGGTGGGCTTGTCATTTAACATCTGGCCTGTGCTGCTCTCTCCAGCCTCACCTCTTGCTACTTTCCTACGCACATGCAATGCTCTCTCCAGCCTCACCTCTTGCTACTTTCCTACGCACATGCAATGCTCTCTGCAGAATTTTCTTCAGTTCCTTTACTGCACCATGCCTTCTGGCCTTCATATCTGCTATTCCCTCTCCCAGAATACTCTTTCCTTCCTTCTTTGCCCAGGTCATCATTGTCATGGGGTCACTCCTCATCTTTCTCCACCATGAAGCCCCCTAATTTCCCTAGGCTGGTTTCTGTTCTCTTACAGCCACCTGTACGTCTCCAGTCACACCTCCTTGTCACTGCTTCGTTGGTTGCCTGTCATCCCTGACTAGACAGAAGGCTCCACGGATGCAGGAACTTTACCTGTTTTGTTTGCCATCAATCCGTCCAGGCACCTGGATGTATTCTTACTGACATGCTTAGCAGATTTAGCAGAAACTCACCGTCACCCTTGGCCTGATGGATCTTGAAAAATAACAATACTATCTAATATTTCCACTTCGGGGTCTACAACATTACTTCCTTTGAGACATCATGTTGAGAGGTAGGCAGATGAGCTCCACTTTAATATACCAGTGCCCTGGGGCTCAGGGCGAAAGCCTCAAGCGTCATTGTCTATTCACTCAGTGGCTACTTCTGTCTACAATACAAAAGGCCTCATGTTAGTTTCTAAGGATACAAAGATGAAAAAAGAATGATCTTTGTACCTGAGAATCTCAAAGTCTAGACGGAAACAAAGTGTGAGAAGTTGTAATGGAGGTATGAACAAAATGTGGTGGAAACAGAAAAGCTACTGACTCGACTTGGGGAAGGTGGAAAGGTCACAGACAGTCCCTCCTGTCTTCCTGCAAGCTTCCACTGATCCTTTGAGACTAACTTAACCTGTTACCCGATCCTTGTCTTTTCTCCTCTCTATCCCTTTTTGAGGCTCCCTCAGTTCTACATAGAACAAACTGAACCGTGGTCCCATAGCACACTTCTTTTATAACACCTATCAAGTTCCTCGAGTCTAGGAAATTTCTGTAAGTCAGGAAAAGCGGAAGTCGGGCCCACCAGATGGCTGCTACATGTGGGCTGAGGAGCCTCCAGAGAGAGAACTTGATCCCAGACACACTGAGCCCAGTGGGAAACCTTAGTCATCAGGCAGGAGAGGCAATCCACAAGCTGAAGGATGAGAAGCGATTCTGAGGACAGCAGGATGTCTGCCACTGAGATTTTCATACCTCTAAACCTCCAATGCAAACTCACAGCTGGAGTGTGAGCTGGAGGGCTATGAATGAAAGCCGAAAGAGCTGTTTCACTAAGAACCTTTAAGAAATTAAGATATTGGCTGCATGCTTTGGGAGCCCTCTAACAGACTGAGACATAAAGGAGAGATGGGCATCCTCCCCCTTTGTCCACTGCAGACAACTTCTCTGGTACTACAGGGACCCCAATGAGCCTGGAATTGCCCCTGGCCAAGCAGCAGTGACACCCAGCCAAGACTTCGATGCCATAAGTAGAAAGACAAGCACCCAGTGGGACGAGATAGATTCCTAGGGTAGTACTTACCAAATTGTGGGGCTTGATGCATTAGTTAGTGGGTCATGAAAATAAATTGGTGGCTCATGACCAGCAGTTTTTCATAGACTAGAATAGGATTAAAAAATCAGAGCGCCTCACAAGTAGTGTTTTATGGAAGTAGGCATATATGTATATGCAAGTATGTGTGCATGTGTGAGTATACATGTATAAATGTACTGGGTCATTATGTAAAATATATCCCTTCCTGTGGACCATGGTCAAAATCACAAAGGGATTGCCTGTGGAACAGTAGTATATGATAGAAATGGTAGTTAACTTAAATCCTGTATTTAAGTTCATAAATATTCCCAGATATAACCAAGTAGGGTTTGCAAGAGCTAGCTGCACGATCTACTATAGTAGCCACTAGCACATGTGGCTATTTAAATTAATTAACTAAAAGTAACAATTCCATTCCTTAGTAGTACCGGCCACATTTCAAATGCTCAAAAGAGACTTGTGGCACAAAAGAGGCTATGCTCAAAAGAGTCTAGTACATTTTTTGCATATTCCTTATTGGATAGCACAGATATAGAACATTTCCAACATCCAGAAAGTTCTATTGGACAGCTCTAGGCTACAGGTTCCATATCAGCAGGAGCGGGGAAGAGTTAGTAAAGTATAGGCACTGACTGTTCTGGCTTCTGCCTATACCCACAGACAGATGAGCCCTGGGGATCCTATAGAAATGATGTACTATCTACTTTCCCACAACCTATTTCCAGCCTGTCCAACTGGATTGTGAGGCCCTTGAAGATGGATGCTATGTCTTACTCATCTTTGTCTACAAGAAGAAGAGCAAGTTTGGGGAACTGAGAGAACTGAAGCTGAAAAGATTATGGGATATCCAGGAAGAGATATTCCCAGGATATGATTCTTAACCCTGCTTCTGTGTCAGAAATTACCTGTGGAGTTTTAAAAACATGCAAATGCTTAGGCCTTGCTCTGCATAAATTGGACCAGAAATCCCAGGGATGGGGCGTGTACACCTATATATTTTTAAAGTTCTACAGATGATTGCGAAGTATAGTCTGACTCCATCATTGACCCCTATAAATATAGAACTTGAAAAAGAGGTTAAGCTGGACATTAGATTTAGAAATCATCAACATGTAAACTGTACTTATGCAAGAGGAATGGATGAGTTCACTCACGGAGATTGAAGAACAAGAAGAGAAGATAAAGTACAAAACCTAAGATGGAAAGAGGCAAGACTAACATAGGAGTCTGAGAAATGGAGGCCAAAGAACTAAAAAGGAACATCAGTAAGTGTACATTTAGATGCAAGTAACAGAACGTCCTAGCTCACATCAGCTTAAACAATAAGGAAACTGACTATGTCACACACAAGAAGTTCACTAGCATGGGCTCCAGGCATAGTACATGAGGATTTCAACTTTACTTCTGTGAAACTTGTCCAGAATAGTGTCGGCTTCCTCCCCAGGCTGGAGGGGAAGTGACTGCAGAAGTTCTTAAAACAATTGTTCATTGTCATGTGGGATAGAACCATCACGATTGACTTAGACTAATCATATTTGGGTTTGAATGAATGTCGAGGTGTCAATCACAGTAAACAGGACAGAAGGGAAGCAGAAGAGATGGGTGTCAGAGAAGTCAAAGGAGTAAGTAGATTACCTGCAGAGTCAAATGCAGCATTGAGGTGAGGGTGCATACTTTGCACATAGTAGAATTGAATTATTTTTAATAAAATATATTTTCTGGTGGTTGATCATGATAAATTAGCCTTACCTAGCTGGAACCATGGTGTATAACAGCTCAGAATTCTAGCAGATCACTCAAAGGCAGAGATCAAGAAACAAAGAGGGTCATAGTAAAACAAGAAGAAAAAAGAATGGAAGGTCAAGAGTAGGGAGAAGAAAAAAGAAGTTTTTAAGTTGCCATTAACAGCACAGAAGACATCTTACCATCATATCCGGCCAAGAAAAAATGTTAAATCAACCAGAGAACACATATTCCAAAGATTCAGATTTAAGAGCAGCTGTAACTTGTGACTTATGGTAAATTTAAAGAACTTCAGTGTCTTGTTTTACTTAGTGTTGTCAAGGCAGCCCCATGGCCTCGAAAACTTTGGCAAAGCAATTTTTGGCCAACAGAGAAGCCATCTCTCAGAGGCCTCCGTTGGCCATTACCCACTATATAGATCAGTTCCTTGATGCTATCCTCAGAACAAATTTTCCAACAGATGATAAGTCAATGAGAACACACTGAGAATTGTAAGATAATTTATTTTCCATCTGTTTTCACCTGTATTCAATTGAGGATACCAGACCATAGCCCAGGCAATATATGACAGAGGCCAAGGGCTACTCCACCCGTATTTTTAAAAGTGCCCATCATGCCAATTTTAGCATTGCAGCTGTAAATAACAAGACCCCAGAGTCCCGGGGAGTGATCTCATTCCCAAACATACATCTGAGCTTAAAGATAACCAGTGCGTTGTTAGGGATCATTGTGTTACTGGGGGTGCTGAGCTCACTAAAGCTTATGTGGCCCAGCTTCATTTCCTGAGGGTTCTTATGTACATTCTCCCCTCCCTTTTCCATCTGGGAATTGCATAAACTGTTTCCCAGGGACCAAAATATAAGAACCATGCACTGGGAGATTTGGTAAGAAGTAGGGGAGGCACATCATCTCTACTGGCATAGTCTGATAGTTTCATTTTTGTATTACTCAGTGGGGAATTTAACAGCAAAGCACACTGGAGATGTCGATTGAAAACTCTCCTTAAAATCTGTCAACAGTTTCCCATGGCTTTTGCAATAAAGATCAAATTCCTAGTATGGCTTACAAGACCTTGCAGGGTCTGCCAGCCCCTCCAGTATCCACCATGCTGCCCCCTACTTCTCACTGTCCTCTGGTTCCCTGGCAGAGGAGGTCCAGTTCCCTCTATCTGGAACCCACTCTACCTCACACACAGTCTTCACCTACTTTGTTCTTAATAATCCTAAAAAGTTCAACTCAAAAGTTACTTCCTCAGAGAAGCCTTCCCAGATTATATTAGGATCATCCTTTATACCTTTTCCTACTATTTGAATTTTTTTTTTCTTCTAGGACATTTATTCAATTGTGTAATTGGTTTTTTAATTTCTGTCTTTCATGAGCACTCTAAGTATAATATTATGAGTTTAGTGATCATGCCTGTCTTGTTCACTCTACTCAGCACCCAGCCCAGTGCCTGGCACATTGTAACTCAGTAATTAAGTGTCTTGCCTACCAAATGACTGCATGCATGAGTTGCCATTCCTCATCTCCATTTGAGCTAAAGTGGGTTATTCTGAATCTGTTCAATATTGAAATAGCTCAAAAGGTTTTTTCTTATGCTAGTTAGTTAAATTCCATCTGATTTCTTCTCCCTTGTTCAAACACTTTTTTTTTTTTTTTTTTTGAGATGGAGTCTTGCTCTGTCGCCAGGCTGGAGTGCAGTGGCATGATCTTGGCTCACTGCAACCTCTGCCTCCCGGGTTCAAGCGATTCTCCTGCCTCAGCCTCCAGAGTAGCTGGGACTACAGGCGCGTGCCACCATGCCCAGCTAATTTTTGTATTTTTAGTAGAGACGGGGTTTCACCATGTTGGCCATGATGGTCTCGATCTCCTGATCTCGTGATCCACCCGCCTCAGCCTCCCAAAGTGCTGGGATTACAGGCGTGAGCCATCGTGCCTGGCCCTGTTCAAACACTTTTTAAATAACAGTTTCTTTGAGATATAATTCACATGCCATATAATTCACCCACTTAAAGTGGACAGTTCAATGATTTTTGGCATATTCACAGTTATGCAGCCATCACCACCAGTAATTTTTGGTATGGTTTGGCTTTGTGTCCCCATCCAAATCTCATCTTGAATCGTAATCCCATAATCTCCATGTGTCGTGGAAGGGACCCAGTGGGAGGCAACTGAATCATGGGGGCAGTTTCCCCTCATGCTGTTCTCATGATAGTGAGTGAGTTCTCACGAGATTTGATGGTTTCATAAGCGACTGGCATTACCCCTGCTGGCACTCATACTTCTCCTTCCTGCTGCCATGTGAAAAAGGACGTGTTTGCTTTCCCTTCTGCCATAATTATAAGTTTCCTGAGGTCTCCCCAGCCTGGTGGAACTGTGAGTCAGTTAAACTTTGTTTCTTTATAAATTACCCAGTCTCAGGCAGTTCTTCACAGCAGCATGAGAACAGACTAATACAATTTTAGAATCCTTTAATCACCTCAAAAGGAAATCCTGTACCCATTAGACAGGCACTCCTCCATTTTCTCCCAGTCCTAGTCAATCAGTCTACTTTCTGTCTCTGTAGATTTGCCTATTTGGGACATTTTATAAATGGAATCATATAGTATGTGGTATTTTGTGACTGGCTTCTTCACTTAGCGTAATGTATCAAGACTGTAGCACATACCAGCACTTCATTTCATTTTATTGCCAAATAATACTCCATTCCATAGATAAACACTTTATCAGTTGATGGTCACTTGAATTGTTTCTATCTTTCAGGTATTATGAATAATGCTGCTGCTATTTGTACATTGATGTGCAAATTTTTGTATGGACATGTGTTTTCATTGTTCATGGCATATACATAAGAGTAGAACTTCTGGGTCATATGGTAATTCTATGTGTAATCTTTTGAGGAACTGCCAAACTGATTTCCAAAGCAGCTGCATCATTTTATATTCCTACCAGAAGGATATAAGGGTTCTAATTTCTCTACATCTTCACCAACACTTGTTATAGTCTGACATTGTAATTAGAGCTATCCTAGTGGGATATGAAGTAGTATCACATTGTGGTTTTTTGTGGGGTATTTGTTGTTGTTGTTGTTGTTGTTGTTGTTGTTGTTGTTGTTTTGAAATGGAGTCTTGCTCTGTCACCCAGGCTGGAATGCAGTGGTGCGATCTTGGCTCACTGCAACCTCCGCCTTTCAGGTTCAAGCAATTCTGCCTCAGCCTCCTGAGTAGCTGGGACTACAGGCATGCACCACCACGCCCAGCTAAGTTTTGTATTTTTAGTAGAGACAGGGTTTCACCATGTTGGCCAGGCTGGTTTCAAACTCCTGACCTCAGGAAATCCACCTACCTCGGCCTCCCAAAGTGCTGGGATTATAGGCGTGAGCTACTGCACCCGGCCCATGTTGTGGTTTTGATTTGCATTTCCTTGGTAATGAATGATGTTGAGTATCTTTTCATGTGCTTATTGGTCATTTGTACACCTTCTTTGCAGAGCAGTCTATTCAGAGCCCTTTCCTATTTTTTAATTTAGTTGTTTTCATTGTTGAGTTCTTTATACATCCTAGATATGAATTCCTTATCAGACATCTGATTTACAAAACTTTTCTGTCCCTCTGTGGGTTGTCTTTTCACTGTTTTGATACTGTCCTTTCGGGCACAAAACTCTTTGATTTTGATGGAATCAAATTTATCTACTTTCTCTTTTGTTGCCTATACCTTCGGTGTCATATCTGGTGTCATATCTATGAAATCATGCCTAATCTGAAGTCATAAAGACTTAGGCCTATTTTTCTTCTGTGAGTTTTTATTTTTGATCTATTTGAGTGAATTTTTGTATGTAATGTGAAGAAGAGTTCTAACTTCATTCTTTTCATGTGAGTATCCAGTTGTCCAGTACTATTTACTGAAAAAACTCTTCCCCCAATTGAATTATTTTGTTACCTTTGTCAAAAATCAATTAACTGTAAATGTGATTTATTTCTGGACTCACAATTTTATTCCATTGAGCTATATGTCCAACCTTATACAAGTACCACACTGTCTTGATTGTTGTAGCTTTGTAGTAAGTTTTGAAATTGGGATATTTAAGTCCTCCAACTTTGTTCTTCTTTTTCAAGGTTGTTTGAGCTACTCTGGGTCTCTTGAATTTCCATGTCAATTTTAGGGTCAGTTTGTCTATTTCTGCAAAGAAGCTAGCTGGGGTTTGGATAGGGATTACATGAAATCTGTAGATCAGTTTGAGAACTATTGCCATCTTAATGATATTAATTCTTCTGGCCTATGAACATGAGATGTCTTTCCATTTATTTAGTCCTTCTTTAATTTCTTCAACAATGTTTGGTAGTTTTCAGAGTACATGTTTCATACTCCTTTTGTTAAATTTATTCCTAAGCATTTTATTTTTTTATGCTGTTTATAAATGAAATTATTTTCTTAATTTTATCTTTGGATTGTTCATTACAAGTAGATAGGAATAAAATTGATTTTTGTATATTGATCTTGTACCCTACAACCTTGTTGTTAAAGGTATCACAACCTGGAATCTGAACTATCAGTTCTCTTTCTTTCTTTTTTTTTTTTTTTTTCTTTTTGAGGTGGAGTCTAGCTCTGTCACCCAGGCCAGAGTGCAGTGGCATGCTCTTGGCTCACTGCAAGCTCCACCTCCCAGGTTCAAGCAATTCTTGTGCCTCGGCCTCCCAAGTAGCTGAGGCTATAGGCGTGCACCACCACATCCAGCTAATTTTTGTATTTTTAGTAGAGATGGGGTTTTGCCATGTTGGCCAGGCTGGTCTCAAACTGCTGACCTCAGGTGATCCACTCACCTCGGCCTCCCAAAGTGCTGGGATTACAGGTGTGAGCCACCGTGCCCAGCCTATTGCTTCTATTTCATCTAATTAATCACATCTGGGTTGAAATCTTACTGTTCAATGTTACTCTTTATATGGAGGTTTTATTTTAAATGAATCAATTAAATTGTCATATTTAAAGGATAACTTGGCTGAATATAAAATGCACAGACCACACTTTTTTTTTGCTGAGAACTCTTAAAGCTACTGCCCCATTCCTTTTGGGCTAGACATGGCTATGGAGAAGAATTAAACCCGTCTGCCTCTATCCCTCTTTTGTGGTTGCCTTCTTTGTGCTTGGATGCTTGATTGAAACTCGATTACTTAATAGTTCCGTATCTTTTTCCTCGAATGGAGGGGTTTCCTTTAGATCCACAGCAGTTATCAATTTCAGTAAATGTGATATTGGCAGTACTTTATCATGCATATTCCAATTTTGTCAATTGACTCAATAATGTTCTTTATAGCATATTCCCTTGTAATGCAGGATCTTCTGTAAGTTCATGTATTGCATTAAGTTGTCATGTTCTTTAAACCCCTTCATATGAATCAGTTCATTGGCGTTTGTCTTTTATGACATTGACATTTTAAAAAAGTACAGATCGTTGGCTTTTTAAAATAGAATGTTCCTTAGATTCCAGTTTTATATTCCCAGCCAGAATACCCAGAATACTATATACATGTTGTTGTGTCTTTCTCAGGGTCTCACAGCCATCTGATGTCTATCTGACCCTCATTTGTGATATTAATTCTAATCCCCTCATTGAGATGTTACCCAATTCTATTGCATTACTAATATTCTAAAATGTTAACATTTGTCTTTTTCCTCTGTTCCAGCTGCATAATCTCAAACTTTTTCTCTGTCAATAATTTGATATTATACTTTGTATCCATTCTCCTTGCTGTTTCTAATTGATTCATTCAACCTCTAATAGTATTGTTCTGGTCCTCAGTATGTTTCCTTATCTCTGACATCTCCCTTTTTAGCCACACCTGTTGTTTCAGCATTTCATCTTGTTTCTTTGTCTTACTTTTATTTTCTCATTCTCAGTGTTGGCAGCTGTCCAGATCTGTTTTTCCTGACATGATGTGGGTCAGTTCTTGACCCCCTTCCAATTTACCTAAAGTTTATTTATTTTTCTCTTAAAGCTCCAATATGAGGTCTAAATCAGGTGTTCTGTACACCGTTCTCCACCCTAACAATATGATCATGTGGGTGGAGGCAGAGAGTTCAACTGGAATTGTGTGTCCCCAGTGGACATGGACTCTACAGAATTTCTTCTGTGTCCTATGCTAGGAGTTCAGACCTCATACTTGGGGACATATCCTGTTCCTAATGTGTTGCATCTTTAGGCTTGAAATTTATGCTTCAAATTTTAAATGAATCCATAGTAAATGGCACAATCAGACGATTTAATTTTTCTGTGTCGAATAAAATACTCAAGGCTTTTCCTTGTTTTTTCCTAGAAATTGTTACTTTCTTTTTTTTTATTATTTTTTATTTTTTTGAGACAGTCTTGCTATGTTGCGCAGGCTGCAGTGCAGTGGTGCAATCTGGGCTCACTGCAACCTCTGCTTCCCGGGTTCAAGTGATTCTCCTGCCTCAGCCTCCCAAATAGCTGGGACTACAGGCATGCATCACCACGCCCAGGTGATTTTTGTGTTTTTAGTAGAGATGGGGTTTTACCATGTTGGCCAGGCTGGTGTTGAACTCCTGACCTCAGGTGATCCTTCCGCCTTGGCCTCCCAAAGTGCTGGGATTACAGGCATGAGCCACTGTGCCCAGCAAGAGTTTGTACTTTCCTTGTCAATTCTCTTTTCTCCAAATTGAGAGTTACTGGTAAGAGTTTGAGTTTTTGTTGACTCACCTTTTTCTCCTCCAGTATGACTTCAGGTGACTGTAGGTAGAGGTAAGGATGAGGTTAAGAGCAGTGGTGTGGGGGTAAATGTTTAACAACTGGCTCTCAAAAATAAAAATCCCTAATGTATAAGGTATGCCAATTTTCATAGTATAAATACTCCCACCATCGCCAGGTTCAAGCTGCCAACGTGACACTACTAAATGTGGAACTGGCACACACATCATTATTATATAGTATTCCTACCACACAGATAGACTAAATGTAAATGGCCTCAGGAGCATAGACAAAACCAAGATGAAATAAAACAATTAGGGAGTGATGATTTTTGAGAATTTACTACCTTTGCTTTAAATATAACTTACTAATTATAAATTTATATAATTTAATTTGTAAAATTGCTGTGTTTATGAACTGGCTCAAAAGATCTCTGAAAATTGGACTTTGGGCTCCGACAAACCCCAGTATGAAACCGCTCTAACACAGCATTGAGCCCAGAGTAAGAGACTGAATTATCCATTTCTTCCTCTGGCCACCATTTCTTTATTTTTATTTTTTATTTTTTGGCACAAGGTTGTACCCCTTTTCTTCTATGGTTGCTGTTGTTAAACTTTTGCTATTTTTTTAAACATTCCTTTTTGTTTGTATTAAGGGAAAGAAATTCTATGATTGGCTTCATCCTGCCATCTTTATTTCAAGATCTTACTCTTTTTCTTGCTCTACAAGTTTCTCTTGGTCTTTTTAGGTTTTGTGTACTATTTGGAACTGAGAAGAAAGTAATAGCATCTAAAATAGAAATCATAAGTCTTAGCTAAGTATAAACACTAACCAGAGTTGGGAAAACAGTAAGTTAAGCACTCAAGTTGAGGAACGTTAACAAAGAAACAATTGTAGAACTATGTAAAGATTTCAAACAGACAATATTCAATGATAATAATGGAGATAATTTACCTTGAAGAAAGAAAGAATCCTTTTCCAACACATGGCAGATGAGCAGCCTCTTACATGTTACTTTGAAGGGTGAGGTTTGGTGAGAGGTGCCTCAGTGTACCCAAGAGCATGTGAGCTGGTCAAATACAGGTAATTTGTTTTATATATATATGTTGGCCAAATTATTTATACATACACACACACACATACATGTACACACATACACACAACATATATATAATTTTTTGAAAAAAATTCTATACGGAGAAATTAAAAGTGTTTTTAAAGGATTACTTATTAAATGATTCCTCACTGAATCAAATCATAGATTCTAGTCAGTATTTCCAAAAATACAAGTTATTCCCAGCTCTGGCTGAACATTAAAATCACCTGGGGAGCTTTTAAAAAGCACCAATGCCAGGACCCCACTCCAAAAAATTGTGATTGAATTGGGCTAGGGTGGAGCTGTGCTATTAGTATTTTTGAAAAGCTCCCCAGGTGATTTTCATCAGCAGCCAGGGTTGAGAATCCCTGTCATAATGTAACATTTAGCATTTTATTAATACTTCAGAGAATTTACTAAAGTAAATGTATTCGCCCCATAAGACAGTAATGAATAGGAAAAAAGGTAAATTTCCTGGAGATATTTAAAGAAAAACCAGATAATCACAACGTCATGAAGGTCTGTTTTGGCTGGGCCTCCAAATGTTTTATAATTTTTAAAAAAACCTATGCAATGACTTATGGAGCAAAAGTTTAACCATTATAATAATAGCTTAAAGCTACATACTGAAAAATAGCATGTTTTCAGTTTTTCTTTTGGAGTTCAGGATTGTCATGATCGGGACAACAGCATGTACAGTTATTCATCAGGCGGGGAGAGACCCCATGAACCTTCTACAATAAAATTCTATTGATGTGTTTTAGTTAAAGGGGGAGCCAAAATTTATCCTTTCTGAGCAAGCTGTTTCTCAGGAAGACAAATTAAAATGATAAATAAGATTTTAAGGGGAGATCTCTAAAATATTGAACCGAATCAACTTCCCCCAAGGACTTGATTACAAGGGAATTAATAGACTTAATAGATGCGGTAATTATCTACTCATCAAAACAGGATCCCCGAAGATCTCTTCTACTTTTCAAGTTAGATTTAATTATTGAGTGTATTTAAAATAATATAGATACATTTCTCTATTAATCAGGACTCTTTTGGTTGCACATAAATCCAATTCATTTAAAGTTAAGAAGAGAAGGAATTTATTGGGTCAAATGACTAAAAATTCTAGAGACAGATTTCAGGCAAGGCTGGATCTAGGGTCTCAAACAATGTCATCAGATATCGGTCTTGTCCTTTCCATCTGTCTTCTGTTTTCCCTGCAAGTAGACTCCATTCTTAGGCAGATTGTCTCCTCATGGTAGCAAGATGGCTGCCAGTGGCTCTAGGCTTTCCTACAGCTGTTCAGCAGCCCCAGCAGAACATCACTCCATCTCAACGGTGCCAACAAAAATCACAAAATTGAGTCTTACTGGCTCGGATTGGCCTGGTTTGGGCCCCTCCTTGAGCCAATCTCCATATGCACTGGGGTGCCATATTCTGATTGCCCAGGATTTTTTCACATGCTTACCCCTGGAACTGGAGTGGGGTCAATTCCACCTGATTTACATGATTGAGGGTGGGGTAGAGTGTGGTTACCCAAAGGGAGATTGCTATCAGAAGACTTGGGGAATAGATGTTGAGCCAAGAAAAACAGGTTCACCACGATTTAGACAAATAATTTCAAATTAAACTTCCCCACCTCTCTTTACTCCAACTTCCCATACAGCTACAACCACTGAGGCTTTATCGTATCTTAGAAGTTATTTTGTTTCTCAAAATTCAAGTATCCTATATCCCTTTGGTATCGTGAATAAATATCTTTGGATAAGAGTTAGGTACTTAAGCAATAAATGCTGAAGGGGGATTGTGCTATATGAGGCTACTACTAAAGTTTGATATATTACCTTTTTATTTGCCTCAAGAGAGCTAAATTTTATTTGGTATGAGAAATGTAACTTTTTAAAGAATAGATTAACATGGCTGAAGACACTGCTCTCTTTAGTGACAGAGACAAAAAGCCTTATGTCCAAGTTTCCCTTGAACCCAAAGCAGATGTCTTGAGGTTATTTTCAAACTAGAAGGAAGCACACCCTGAATGGATGAGAATATCAATATAAACTACCTCAGAAACACCATCAGTTTCCACAGTTCTGAGGTGTACTGTTAGAAGCGAGTTAGGGACCAGTGTTGAAAGAGTTTATGGTTTCTATTTTGTTAGTCCCAGTCGTCATGGCAACCCACGGGTTCTACATAAAGCCTGAAGCCAGCAGACATGTAATGGAATACATTCCTCCGTGTGAGTCAAGCCTTGTTGAAAAGGAAGCAATCACCCTGTTATGGAAATAAATCATAAACTCCTATGAACTGCCCAGCGTTGAAATAAGCAACTTTTTTGGAATCACATTTCCCCCTCCTCCCACATATTTTTGATGATAAGTAAGTTGGCAGCGCTTCATTTCTGATGAGACTGTCCATTCCATCTTTGAGAAGGGGCGTGGTAATCTGTGGCCTGCCTGTCTACCTCCCGAGATTTCAGCAAGGATCAGATGAGAAAGTACGTGAGAGAACTGTGAACAATGCATTGGGCTACACTAACGTGGCTAGTGCTATTGGTTAGAAGTCCTTAACATTCAGAAATGGAAGTTCCAGATATTATTTTCACCCACCACTGAGCCATTAGAGACAACTTCCTTTGACATACATACTAATATTTTGTTCAGTCTAAAAACCCAAGTGACAAAACTTCCACTGTTCCCCTGGGGCATCCTGTTCCACCACAGAGCCAGCAAGTTCATGCCAGTAGAATATAGTGTTTAATAGCTTGGACTTTGGAATCAGACAGATGTGGATTCAAATCCCAGCTCTGCTGCTTTGTAGCAATGGGAACTCAGGCGTGTTACTTAACATTTTTGCATTTCAGATTCTCGTTTATAAAATGGAGGTAATGGCACCTTCTTCATAGAGCTGTGAGGAAAATTCAATACAATAATGTTAATACAATAACGTTAATACAGTAATGTTAATAAAAGCACCTAGCGGTCTCTGGCACATAGGGACAAATACATGTTAGATATAATTGTTATTAGCTTTATTCTCTTGGGACATGACCATTTTTACTTTCTTGCTAATTCTTGTTGGAAGTGTTTCTTACCATATTAAATTCTTTTTTCTTCTTGATTTTCTTTCTTGCTTTCAAGTACCATTTTAGGCCGGATGTGGTGGCTCACACCTGTAATCCCAACACTTTGGGAGGCAGAGGTGGGAGGATTGCTTGACCCCAGGAGTTCAAGACCAGTCTGGGCAACATAGTGAGACCCCCATCTCTACAAAAAATGAAAAAAATAGCTGGGCATGGTGGTAGATGCTTGTAGTCCCAGCTACTTGGGAGGCTGAGGTGGGAGGATCCCTTGAGCCCAGGAGTTTGAGGTTGCAGTGAGCTGTAATCGCACCACTGCACTCCAGCCTGGGCAACAGAGCGAGACTCCATCTCAAAAAAACAAAACAAAACAAAACCCAAAACGCCAAATGCTATTTTAATACTTTCTGCTATTTTAATCATCACCTTTTGTTATCTCATTGATTAGAATAAATACAAACCATTGATTGGTTTATCCTTGAAAAGTAGATTTCATAACAAAGATTCTTAGCATCTTTTGTTACTTATTGTCCAGTATTATTATTATTGGCTTTACTGGACTATGCTGACCCCAACTCACCACTATGTTTTCACGGGACCTCCTTGGCTCAGATATGAGGACATTGTTAAAGTGTCAGTGGGAGAACCCACTTCTGGCAGGCGGGATAATGGGGGTCAGCGGTGACAGCCATACACTCCCTGATGCCTTCACCTGGCAGGGAGCTGGGCTTGGATGGTCCACAAAAGCCACGTTGCACAATTTTGGCAGCAAGTTTCATCCATTATTTATCCATTACGTGCACAACCTGGTTAGATGCCTGCAGCTTGGGCCTGAGCTCTTCATCATTCCAGCATTGTCAGCCTGAGCCGACCGGTTTCTGCTTCTAGGAACGTTCCTTTAGAGAGGGGTGGAAATTCCACCAAACTCCAGAATTCCTTCAAACTCCTGAACTGGTGAACCCTTGAGCAGATTCTTCTAATAGACTCAGAAGAACAGGATTTGGAACTGCACATTTGCATAGGATCAGTTTTTCCAAGAAATGTAGCCCTCCCTTTGGATAATTAATTTGGAAACATTGGCGATTCCTTCTACCTGGCCACATTTGTTTTCCCCATCTTCTTGGAGACTGACCTTAAAATAGTTTCTCTATTTTCATCCTTCCAGAGATTTCATGTATTCTTTTCCAGCATCTTCATTAATTTTAATACCAGGCTGATTTTTCTCTGCCATAAAAGGTTTTTAGGTTCTTTAATGATAGCTCCTTGATTCCTCCTGAACTTGCTTCTCCAGCACAGAGTACAGTTCAACAAAAGGGATTTTTACAAGCACACCACATCCCTTAGTGACCAACATGATAAGTAATATATTCTTGGCCTCTCCTTCACCAGCAAGCCTCGATAGCTGGGTTGTGTGGGGAGGGAGGTGGGTACAGTAGTGAATTCCCAGAGCAGATTTTTTCCTCTTTACTCAAAGACACCTTGAGGACCTCATGTTCAACTCAGAACTATTTTGGGCAAAAAGGAGACAGGACATTTGATACCTTTGTGTCTGGGAAAATCCTTCCCAAATAGCATTAAGACTCTCATCTCTTTGCAGCTGCTAATGGGTCGGTCAAATGCTGATTACACCACCCTTGCCTTTGTCTGTACTCTGAACCTAAGACCACTTCCTTTTAGTCTGGGCATTTCTTTAGTTAGAAACACAACCTGAAGGGAAAAATGTTTTTGATTAGAGTCTGAGGCAATTTTTTAAAAAGACTTCATGTGCTCCAAAATTATTTTATTCCATCCGACCAAATAGCCTGGTGTCTATTTTTAAAAATATCGATTATGCCCTGCAATAAACTTGCCATTTTCAGAACAACACAAACTCTAAGGCAATAATAGTGATCTGTAGTTATATTGGTAAACTAGGGGTACCTAACTTAATTGGAGTGTGGTTTTTAAATTGCAAAGTTGTAAATATTATTTACAATTTCTTCACTAATGGAGCTGTAATTTCATGCAGAAAAGGGCTCCTCACCCTCAGCACCATTGACATTTGGGCCGGAGAATTCTTTGTTAGAGAGTAGTGTTCGGGGTCCTATGCATTATGGGATGTTTAGCAGCACCCCTGATCTGTACCCACTAGATGCCAGCAGAATTCTCATTCCAGTTGTGACAACCAAAAATGTCTTCAGACATTGCCAAGCATCCCCTCGGGGACACAACAGCCCCCTGGTTGAGACACACTGATGTACAGGACCCCGTGACTCAGTCTTTGCCTTGCTTGCTTTTCTGGACTGTGAAAATCTTAGAGTCTGATGAAAAATAAGAACACATTAAGTCCCAGAATGTCCCATTTCGACTCTATTATTATAAAATCCTTTACTTTTCTCATTTGACATTTTTAGGAAAACAATAACATTTCCAAATATAGTTATGATATATAAACATTGGCCCCTGGCACATCTCACCTCTCTGCTAATGGGTCAACAAGAACAGGACTTTTCGTGAGGTTTCCCAAGAGCTTGCAGGCCCCCTCTCTGGCCTAGTTCACTGAGGGCCAGGGTAAAACTACTCATTAGCAAAGTGACTAATCTACAGGCCCATTAGTTGAAACAGTCAGTGAGGGGAAAAGGAGCATAATGTTTCCTGTGTGCTGTTTTCTTTTTTAAAGTTTAATATGCAGTCGTCTAATGAGTGGCCACGTCCAAGTTGGTTTTACAAATTGGCAAGTTTGGTCTTTTGCTGTCCAAGTACTTCCAGGCTCATCAGGATTTCTATAGGCCCTGAAGTAAAAGGAAAATGGTGGCATCCCATGCATTCTCTGCTCTAATAACTGCTCCTCTACCCCATCTCCGCTTTCCTTTGCCATCCAGCTTCTTCCTGACTTAGGCTTTCTTGCTATTCTGAAGACCGCCTGACCATCCCACCCACTCCCCTAAGCTTGGAAAGAGGCAAAGAAAAGAGCAGTAACCAGAACCTGGAAGAGAAGCTGTGGGGGCATCCATCTTGTGGGAGCTGGTTGGTACACCACAAAACCCAGCAAGCCATGTTGACCTAGCGGGGAGGGGACCTGGAGAATAAGTAGCCCAACCTCACTCTCTCCTGCCCTCCCGTTCCTGCCGCAACCTTCTATTGGCCAAACCCAACCAGAAGAGGGAGAGCAAGGGAGCCTGATGATGCCATCCATATGGGGCGGCCTTCCCAGGCATACAGCAGAGTGGAGGAGAAGGAAGAATGGATCTGGGGAACAAACGGAAGATATCTAGCCCACACTGCAATCCCAAGGAACATCAGAAGCCCTTGGAGTAGGGAAAGATGTCACTTGAAAATTCTCCCCTGGTAATTCCCCTATGTCCTCTGGGGTGGAGACAAGCTGCCTTAAAGCATGATGGAATTTTTCAAAGCTCTCTAACCCCCTGCAGAGGGTTCCATTGCCGAACTACCCAGAAATAGACTCAGCTTCTACAATCACCATTCCATTCTATGCCTTTTCCACTTACCCATTGTTTTTCTGATTTCTGCATGAATCTGTAGGAAGATCATTTGCTAATCTGTTTTCTCCTCACTTTGGTGTTCACAGTCACTTCAACTCCATATAATATTCTTACGTAAAGCAAACTTTTAAAATCAGCTTTATTAAGGTATATCTGACAAATAATAAGCATTTCACTTCACATGGGAGGTCATGAATATTCCTTCATAGAAGAGTGTGGGCATCCCTAGCACGTGGACAAACTGTGTTGGCCTCTGGGGTTTTTGGTTTGTTGGTTTGGGTGGGGAGGGGAGTGTTATTGGGGTTTTTTTCTGAGAAGCACACAAAATCACACTGCTTTCTGGAAAAGGTACCATCTCAAATTAATAGCACTACGAAAAATGTGAAATCCTGGTGAACAGCAGAATGATACTGCATATACCCACCTAAATTTGAAGTGTCTCTCAAAGCATCCCCACTACTTAGAAATATCAGTGACAATGTAGTTTCTGATTGACTACTAAGAGAGTTTTACAAGGTATGATTTATAAGCTAATTTAAATATAGCAATCATCATCATCTTCTTCTTCTTCTTCTTCTTCTTCTTCTTTTTTTTTTTTTTTTGAGACAGGGTCTCGCTCTGTCACCCAGGCTGGAGTGCAATGGCACTATCATAGCTCACTGCAGCCTCACACTCCTGGCCTCAAGCGCTCCTCCCACCTCAGCCTCCTGAATGGCTGGGACAACAGGCACGTGCCACCATGCCTGGCTAATTTCTTAAATTTATTGTAGAGACGGGGTCTCGCTCTATTGCCAAGGTTTGTCTTGAACTCCTGAGCTCAAGTGATCCTCCTGCCTCCACCTCCCAAAGTGCTGAGATTATAGGCATGAGACAGCACACCCAGTAGCAATCTCCTTGCATAGCAAAATAAGTAAATCTCACAAAGAAAATGAATATGGGAAACTAATGTTAGTATCATCAAAACACAATAGACAAGAATAATGGAAGTTGTAGGAGTTACCCTTCAGTTTACATTTAAATCTACAAACATCATTGTGGGATGGTTACACCTAGATAAGTTATTAGTGTCCATTAATAAGTACAGCTTTTATTTCAAAAGCATATTTGAATTTGACCACTAATATATGTAAAGCAAGAAACCAAGTTTAACCAACTTCAATATTAACAAATAATTAGCTTTTACAATTGAAGTGTAAGCAGAGATAATCCCTGAATATTATCATTCTTTCTATCCTTACTGCTAAGTTTTTAACTATTACATTTACATTTTTGTGTATGTTTGATACTCAGAGATACACATATAATGACGTAGCTTGTGTTTTTGTTTGAGAAACTTAAAATTATGCTCTGATATTATGCCAAAAAAAAAAAGACTTGAATTCGCTACCACACCTGAAGTTGACACAAAATCTGCTAATCTACATACTCTTCAGAAGCTGCTGTGAATTTCTAATTTCTGGTAGGGTTGAGGAACAAAAGCCATCTATATCCAAGACCAGTTTTACATGTGGGTGAAGTCAGTGGTTTATTATTTCAACAAAAATTAATTGAGCTCCTCCTATATGTGGGGCCCTGTGCTAGATGCTAGAAATGTAGTGTAAATGTGACAGGAAATGTCCTGATTATGTTTCAACAGAGGAGACAGACAACAGGTCAACAAATAAGTAGGCGGTGTCATTCCAGGGGGTGATAAGTCCTCTGATGGTGTGAAAGGATAGGAAGTGGCTAGGTGGGTGGCTGTCTTAATAGGATAGTCAGGGAAGGCGTCTCTGAGGAGATGTTGTTTAAGCAAATATCAAAATTGGTGGCTCATGCCTGTAATTTCAACACTTTGGGAGGCCGAGGCAGGAGGATCCCTTGAGTACAGGAATTCGAAACCAGCCTGGCTGATGTGGTGAAACCCCGTCTCTACAAAAAATACAAAAATTAGCTGAGCATGGGGGCGTGCACCTATAGCCCCAGCTACTCACAGGAGGATCGCTTGAGCCCAGGAGGCTGAGGTTGCAGTGAGCCATGATCGCACCACTGCACTTCAGCCCAGGTGACAGAGCAAGACCCTGTCTCAGAACAAACAAACAAACAAACAAACAAACCCACGAGTGGAAGAGTGAGCCATGAGAGTACCTGGAGAGTGTTCTCAGCAGAGGGAATGGCAAGCGCAAAGGCCCTGAGGTGAGAATAACCTTGATATATCCCAAAAACAACAAGAAGGCCAATGTGGGTGGTCTGGAGTGAGCACAACATGGGATCAGAGGCAGAATCCAGCTAATGCCAGGCTTTGTACACATAGGAAGGCACTGGGGTTTCATTCTAAGTGCGATAAGAAAAACTACTGGAGGATTTTAAAGGCGAGGAATGAGCTGATTGAACTTGAATGAATAGTTCTGGCAGCTGTGTGGAGAATGGATGAGGAGGGGCAGAGAGACTGTGGGATAGTCTAAGCAGGAGATGATGACAGCTTTCTACAAGGTGAAATTGGGAGCATATCAAGAAGATCTTCTTTAGCCAGGCATGGTGGCACATGCCTGTAAGTCCCAGTTACTCATGAAGCTGAGGTGGGAGGATCACTTGATCCCAGGAGGTCGAGGCTGCAGTGAGCCAAGATCGTGCTACTGCACTCCAGCCTGGGCGACAGGGCAAGACCCTGTCTCAAAAATTTAAAAAAAAAAAATCTCAAAAAGACCTTGTCCTAAAATATCTTCCCCACTACCCACCACCCATTCTAGAAATTCCATCTCACATGTACTAAAATCAGAAGGATACAAACATGACTAGCACGGCACCTGTGCGAGGTAGTAGTTCATTTGTTTCAACATGGCATTTTTCTGGGCATTCCTTGAAGTTGCAGGCATATAACATCAGTTCACCAGCTGCGTGGTACCAATGAGTTTATCAGGGCATTTTCCCCTAGGTCAGGCTGAAATGGGCAGCATGGTGGGGAACCCTGGCCTCAGCAGAAAGAAAGGAGAAAAATGGAAAAAACTTCTTCAGTGGAGGAAGAAGTCTGTAGTGGGCACTGAATAAGTACCTGTTGAAGAAAAGAACCTTTCCTGTCTTTTCTATCTTACCCAGAGCTGACCCAGCGTGTTGAGTAGGCCACCAAATGGCCCACAGTCATCAACACCAAGGACCAGGATCAAAACATAGAAGACATGTAGGTGTGGACTCAGCCCCACTAGACCAGACAAGTGGGTGATCAGCTGGCAGAACTCCCCATAGCGGCTGCAGTCCTGCAGCTTGGAAGACAGGCAGGCCTCTGTGAGGAAGCTGCTTGACCTGCCTTCCAGAAGGGCTCTGAGGACACAGGCCATGACTATACACAGCTAGGGATACCCAGTAGCCTCTGAGCCTGTGGCCATGACCCTCTGGAGGTTGTGCAGCTGTATACCCCCTGAACTCTGGAAGACAGGCCCGCAGGAGGAGCGAGGGGTCTTGTGGATGTGGACTCTGAGCTAGGACACATCATTGCTTTGCAGAGCAAAGCCCTGCAATCATTAGTACTCACTCCACATGCAAAAGAACTCCCTGCCTGTCTCATGGTTTGTACCCATTTTGTTCTGCTTATGCAAGAGTAGCGTTTAGGGCTGGGTCTTCCCTAAACCCTACTCTTGCACCAATGGATCCTGGTGATCATAATCACCAGAGGTAAATATGTGCATTGTCCTGACCTGAATGTTTATATTGGTTCACTCACCGGGTCCCAGCACAGTGGTAAATAAGGTACTGCTATCTTCATTCTCCAAGGGAGTCTCAGAGAAGTTAAGTCATTCGCCCAAGGTCCCAAACCTAGAACCCAAATCTGGGCTTCCTCATGCCGAATCCAAGGCTTTTCTCATAATCCCAGCTCACAGTATCACAGGTAGATCATAGCAAATCTTAAATTCACGTGTGTTGGAAAGAAGGGAGGGAGACATCAAGTGGGGAGGGGGTGATTATGTCATATCTTTAGAGAACTGATCAAACAGTGAATTGAAGCACTTGGATGCCAACCAGTTCTCTAAGCTCAGTTTCTGAAAATTTTGACCTCTGATAAAATTATTTCCTGGGTGGAAGATCATTAGATGTCAAATCAATCATGTTGGCAAGATGGACTTTAGGGAGTTTTAACTCCCTATCCACCCTTTCCCCATCCCTACCTCCCACCCTTTTCAGGGCAGGTTTACATTTAATTCTATATTGATCAGGGAGCCAAAACAAATTTATATTTAACTTTCTAAAAAAAAAAAAGCTAGATGTTTATCAAACCTCTATTGTGTGTAAAGCAAAAGTCCAAGGGCCATGGGGAAGCTATGTTTCCTGGAACCTCAGAGTTTAGAATGTAGTGTAGAACTGAGTCTAATTTACTTAACCTCATAAGACCTTAACCTTCTTATCTGTGAATGGAGATGATAGTGCCTACCTCATAGGATTGTTGTGGGGATTAAAGGAGAATGTGCCATATACACTAGTGCATAATAGATGCTCAAAAACATATAGCAATGACTCCATTCCTGGAAGGGTCAGTATGTTCTTAAGTAACCAAATTGTATTAGTCTGTTCTCACACTGCTAATAAAGACATACCCGAGACTGGGTAATTTATAAAGGAACAAGGTTTAATGGACTCACAGTTCCACATGGTTGGAGAGGCCTCACAATCATGGCAGAAGGCAAGGAGCAGCAAGTCATGTCTTACATGGATGGCGGCAGGCAAAGAGAACTTGTGTAGGGGAATGCCTCTTTATAAAACCATCAGATCTCATGAGACTTATTCATTATCATGAGAATAGCTCAGGAAAGACCCACCCCCATGATTCAATTACCTCACACTGGGTCCCTCCCACAACACGTGGGAATTGTAGGAGCTACAATTTAAGATGATATTTGGGTGGGGACACAGCCAAAACATATCACATATCCAGCAAATGACATTAGAGGTATGCCAAGAGTTGGCTGATTTAACTTCTCACTAAGATGTAAAGGGCTGGCACTGGACCCCTTCCCTAGTAGGTTTTGATAGGAAGAATGGAAGGGTAGGCTTCTGAGGCAGGGAGCAATGCCAAGAAAAGGAAGAACACACAATGGGAAACAAAGTGCCCGAAGGGCTCAAATAAGATGTTCAATTTGAGGGCAGAGGCAGGCAATAAGACACCAAACCATAAACAAAGCTGGTCTGAGTATTTGTTTTCTTTGTTCTGCACCTCCTGGAAGCAAGTGCAGCAGGGAAAGGCCAGGAATTCTGAAAAATAAAGGTTCATGTTAGCATCAGTCCCAACTCACCAAGCCAAGCTGTCCTAGAGATTTTAGCTGTGCAGCATTCATCCTCATTGCCCTATGGGTTCTGGTCAATGGAAACTGGTTTGCTCTTAGAAGGATTTTGCAAGCTGACTTCAGTCCCTGACAACATCTGTACTCTCTTGCTTCCCTTAGAACTTGAAATAATATTTAGGGACTGTCTTGAAACACTGAGTGCTGTCTGGTTCTTTAGTTAGGTACTTCCTCTATCATCTCATCCTGTCCACTGAAGGCCCCAGCTTCTATGAAACAAGCAGGCTGCAGGCTGCCTTGGTCACATGGTGCCTGGTTGTGTTACCACTGCCCCAGTTTATGCTATCACATTACCACTTAGGCTTCTTGGGATCAGAGCTTGAGGCCCCCATCCAAGATGACAGCACATTAACTTGTGCTGCCCCAGAGAAGGCCCTGCATAACCTGAGACCCCCATTACTGTGACTGGAATGAATGAAACCAAAACACACGCTTCATTGGAGAAACCTTGGTGGAGCAATTTCAAAAGGACTTGAAAATCACACAAATCATGGGAATGTCAATTAGTGCAGCCACTGTGGAAAACAATTTGGTGGTGTCTTAGTCTGTTCTGTGCTGCTATAACAGAATACCTGAGAGTGGGTAATTTGTGATGAACAGGTATTTACTGGCTTACAGTTCTGGAGGCTGTGAAGTCCAATATCAAGACACTGGCATCTGACAAGGGCCTTCTTGCTGTGTCCTCACATGGCAGAAGGTGAAAAGGAGAGAGAGAGGACAAGAGGGGGACCAAACTCACCCTTTTATAATGGCACGAATCCCACCCATGAGGGTGGAGCCCTCATGGCCTATTACCTCTCAAAGTTCCCATCTCTTGATACTGTTTCAATGGCAATTAAATTTTAATATGCATTTTTGGAGGGGACAAACATTTAAATCATAGAGGGTGGTAACTAAACAAGTTAAACATAGACTTGCTATGTTTATGCAGTTCCACTCCTGGGTGTATACCCAAAAGATCTGAAAATAGGTGTTCAAACCAAAACTTGTACACAAATGTCCATAGAAGCATTATTCATAAATAGCCAAAAGGTGGAAACAACACAAATGTCTATCAACTGAGGAATGGATAAACAAAAGTTGGTATATCCATACAGTGGAATATTACTTAGCCATAAAAAGAAATGAAGCACTGATAACAGTCTACAGCATGGATGAACATTGAAAACATTATGCTAAGTGAAAAAAGTCACAAAGAGCCGATATTATATGATTCAATTTATATAAAATGTCCAGAATAGGCAAATCCATGGAGACAAAGTAGTTAGTGGTTGCCAGGGGCTGGGAGGACAGAGGAATGGGAAATAACTGCTTAATTGAAAAGGGGTGATGAAAATGTTTTGGGCCTAGATAGCAGTAATGGTTGCATGATGTTGTGAATATACTAAATGTCACTAAATTATACCCTTTAAAATGGTTAAAATGGTAAATGTATGAGTATTTTAGTATAATTTTTAAATTAAATAAAATTTTCAAAAAAACAGTTTTAAATACTTCCTTCCTCCCCATATTTTTCCTTCTTTGAACAACCTTGCAGAAAATGCAGTCAAGAAGTAGTATTTGAATTTTGAAGTCTTAGAAGTTTTTAAAAAACAGCTAGTATCAGTTGAATTTTACCTTTTCAACATGTTATTCATTATAAAATATATGGAATTATTTAAATTCATTTTGTTTTTATTTTTCCTGGCTTCATTGCAATATAATTGACAAAAATTGTATATATTTAATGTTTACAACTTGATGTTTTGATCTATGTACACATTGTAAAATGATAACCATAATCAAGCTATTTAACAATTTATAACCTCACAGTTACTTTGTGTGTGTGTGCGTGTGTGTGTGTGTGATGAGAACACTTAAGATCTACTGTCTTAGCAAATTTCAAGTATATGACACAATATTGTTACCTATAGTCATCATGCTATACGTTAGATCTCCAGAACTTATTCATTCTGCATAACTGAAACTTTGTACGCCTTGACCAACATTTCCCCATTTCCCTCACTCCCAGCCCCTGGCAACCACCATTCTGCTCTGTTTTTTATGAGTTTGACTTTTTGAGATTCCACAAATAAGTGAGATCAGCAGTATTTGTCTTTCTATGTCTGGCTTATTTCATTTAGCATAATGTCCTCCAGCTTCATCCATGGTGTTGCAAATGGCAGAATTTCCTTCTCCTGTGGGCAGAATAATATTCCATCATGTATCTATACACCACATTTTCTTTGTCCATTCATCCATTAATGGACACTTAGGTTGTTTCCATATCTTGGCTATTGTGACTAATTGCTGCAATGAACATATGAGTGCAGACATTTCTTCAAGATACTGATTTTATTTCTTCCAGGTATATACACTCAGAAGTGGGATTGCTGAATAATATGGCAGTTCTATTTTTAATTTTTTGAGGAACTTCCATACTGCTGGGAATTTTACAAGGTTCCTCTTTTCTCCACATCTTCATCAACACTTTTCTGTCTTTTTGATAATACTCATCCTAATAGATGTGATGTGATATTTCATTGTTTTTTTGATTTGCATTTTCCTGATGATTATGATGATAAGCACATTTTCATGTGGCTGAGGTCTATTTATATGTCTTAATTGAAGAAATGTCTATTCAAGTCCTTTGCTCATTTTTTAGTCATATTATTTAGTTCTTTTTGCTGTTGAGTTGTTTGAGTTCCTTATATAGTTTGCTTAGTAACCCCTTATCAAATGTGTGGTTAGCAAATATTTTCTTTCATTCTGTAGTTGTCTCTTCACTCTGCTAATTGTTTCCTTTGCTGTACGGGAGCTTTTTAGTCTGATGCGATCCCACTTGGATTTTTTTGCTTTTGTTACCTGTGTTTTTGGGGTCATATCCAAAAAATTATTGCACAGACCAGCATCAAAAATTGTTTTCCCTATGTATTCTAATAGTTTTACAGTTTTGGGTTTTACATGTAAGTCTTTAATCCATTTTTAGTTGATTTTTTTATATGGTGTGAGATAAGGGTACAAATTCATTCTTTGGCATATGGATATCCAGTTTTCCCAAAACCATTCCCTGAAGAGACTATCCTTTCCCCAGTGTGTAGTCTTGGTATTCTTGTCAAAGATTAGTTGATCATATATGCATAAGTTTATTTCTGGACTCTCTATTCTGTTCCATTGGTATATATGTCTTTATGCCAGCACCATGCTGTTTTGATTACTGTAGCTTTGTAAAGTATTTTAAAATCAGGAAGTGTGATGTCTCTAGTTTTGTTCTTCTTTCACAGATTGCTTTGACTATTGGGGGTCTTTTGTGGTTCCATATGAATTTTAGGATTGATTTTTATATTTCTATGAAAAATGCCATTGGAATTTTTACAAGGATTGCATTGAATATATAGATTGCTTTGGGCAATAAGAACATTTTAACAACATTAATTCTTCCAGTCTGTGAACACAAAATATCTTTCCATTTATTTGAGTCTTAACTTCTTTCAGTAATGCTTTATAGTTTTGAGCATATAGATCTTTCACCTCCTTGGTTAAATTTATCCTAAATATTTTATGTTTTCTGATGCTGTTGTAAATGGATTTTTTTTTTGAAATTCCTTTTTCAGCTAGTTTGCTGTTATTGTATTAAAATGCAACTGATCTTTGTATGTTGATTTTGTATCCAGCAACTTTATTGAATTTGTTTATTAGTTGTAACGGTTTTAGTGTCTTTAGGGTTTTTTACATGTAAGATCATGTCATCAGCAAATAAACAATTTTACTGCTTCTTTTCTAATCTGGATGCCTTTTATTTATGTGTTGTTGTTATTTTACCTAATTGCTCTGGCTAGGACTTCCAGTAACATGTTGAATAAAAGTGGTGAGAGTTTGCATCTTTGTGTTGTTCCTGAACTTAGAGTAAAAGCTTTCAACTTTTCACCTTTGAGTTATGATGTTAGTTGTGGGCTTGTCATATGTGACCTTTAGTATAATGAAGTACATTCCTTCTATAACTAATTTATTGAGAGTCTTTATCATGAAAGAGTGTTGAATTTTGTCAAATGCTTTTTCCTGCATCTATTGAGATGATCATATGATTTTTATCCTTCATTCTGATAACTGTGGTGTATTACATTTACTGATTGGCATATGTTGAAACATTTTTCTATCCCAGGCATAAATCCCACTTGATCATACTGTATGATCCTTTTAATGTGCTGTTAAATTCAGTTTGCTAATATTTTGTTATAGAGTTTTGCACCAATGTTTATCAGGGATATTGGCCTATTATTTTTTCCTATAGTGTCCTTTTCGGCTTTGGTATCAGGGTAATGCCTCATAAAGTGAGTTTGGAAGTGTTCTCTCCTCTTCGGTTTTCTGGAATAATTTGAACAAATTTGTATTAATTCTTCCTTAAATGTTTAGCAGAATTCAGCAGTCAAGCCATCTGGTCTTGGGCTTTTCTTTGTTGAGAAGTTTTTGATTACTAATTCAATCTCCTTACCAGTTATTGGTCTATCAGATTTTCTATTTCTTTATGATTCAGTCTGGGTAGATTGTATGTTTCTAGAAATTTATCCATTTCTTTCAGGTTATCAAAATTGTTGGTGTAGAATTGTATCAGTTATAATGTCTCCTCTCATTTATAATTTTATTTGAGTCTTCTCTTTTTTCTCAGTTAGTCTAGCTATAGGTTTGTCAATTTTATCTTTTTAAAAAACCAATTCTTAATTTTTTTTTTTTTTTTTTTTTTTTTTTTAGAAACAGAGTCTGGCTCTGTTGCCCAGGCTGGAGTGCAGTGGCACGATCTCGGCTCACTGCAATCTCCGCCTCCCAGGTTCAAGCAATCCTCCTGCCTCAGCCTCCCAAGTAGCTGGGACTATAGGCAGGCACCACCAGGCCTGGCTAATACCAATTCTTAATTTTGTTCATCTTTTCTATTGTTTTTCTAATCTCTATTTCATTTATTCCTGCTCTGGTCTTTGTTATTTCCTTCTTTATGCTAACTTTGGGCTTAGTCTGTTCCTTTTCTAGTTCCTTGAGATGTAAAATTTGAATAGAGACTCTATGTAGAGAATAATATTGTGTCTACCACTGTTGAATGTCTCGGCCTTGATAATTATATTGTTTTTTCATAAGAGTTTCCTTGTTCATAAGAGACACATGCTGAAGTATTCAGGGTGGGGTAAAAGGTTATCACGTCTACAACTTGTGCTCAAATGGTTCATTTAAAGTTATGGAGCGAGAGGGAAAGAGGGAGAGAAAGCAAATATGGTAAAATGTTAACAATACATAAATCCAGGTGAATGGTGTACAAGTATTTGTTGTACTGTTCTTGTTGTTACTTTTGTGTAGGTATTAATTTTTCTAAATAAGTTTTAGTTGTCATGGAATATGATGAAATGTTCTATGATGAGGCCCTGAGGGAAGGGGGGACAGCAGCCTCATGATCCCTGCTGCCTTGTCAATGCCCCAGGAAGGTGGCAAGACCTTGGAGGGTATAGCCATGTGATACGTTAAGGGACACTGAGTCCCAGGGACAGGTGCTCAGCAAGTAACTGGTAGAGCCAAGATTTGAACTCAGGCAGCCTGACTTTAGAGTCTAGGCTCTTATCCCCTCTGCCATGCTTTTGGGTGGCTGCGCATCTACCCATAAGGCCAGTTTTCCCTGTACAATTCCCACTTCTAGCTCCCAGCTTGCAACATAGAACCTGTGATTTATTAGAGGAAGATGCTACTCTGTGGTGTAAGAGAAATGTCAGAAGCCTATCCCAGCTCAACAGAGCACAGGAAAATTATTCATTCCATCCCTCTCAATAGGCAGCCAAACTTTCCATACTGCAGATGACTAACAGGTAGAGCTGATTGTGCCCAGGAGGGCAGGACTCTACTGCCAAATGTCCTGGCTGGTGATGCTTTCCCCTCCTGCAAAGAGTGAGGTTCTTCCAAGCGACATTGGTATTCTCCATCTCCCCCACGGGTGTGTGACTTAGGTAAGCCTGCCAAAGTCGCACACTGCACCTCATCCAGGGCCTTAAAAGAACTGGTCCTGCACTGACGGCAACTTGCGAAGCATAATGAATTGCAGATTCCTTCTGGAGATGCTTCAGCTCCTTGATGTCTCAGATGTGTGGCCAGCATGGAGCGCTCCTTGGCAGCGAGGATCCTTCCGCCTCCAGCTGGAGAGGAGGTCCAGATGACAGAAACCAAGGGTATCACTCAGATAGAGCATGGGTTTCCCAAGACTCTGTGGAGCAGGCTCACATACATGAATGGGGCTTTGGGGAGCCTACCCTTTCAGCAGATCCAAACCACACAGATCACAGAGATCTATGGAAAATAATGTCTTCCTCATGAGTTGACTCAATGTTAGCAATAGTCTTTGGTTTGGCTCAGTGGCACTCTGGGTGGAGAAATGATGCAAAGAGCTTTTTCTCTAAGAAAAGGGGGCAACAAAGTTGGCAAAGGACATGCTCTGTAACCTCAAGAAAGGCCTTCCCAAGATAGCATTTGCTTTCTGTTCAGGGAAGCACCATGGGCTTTGGTTCTGTGACTAGTGTTTCCAGTTATATTTCTTACCTATTATTATCAAACCATAAAACTAATATGGATGCAGCTGTCTATAAATTTGATTCTTCCCCAAACCCTGAGAGGTAACTGTCATATATCCCATTTTACAAATAAGTAACCAAGTTAATATAAACCAAAATGATTTTAATTTTAAGCAAGATCAAGTTAGAAGCAGAGTACATTCAACAACATGGACAAATCTCATAGATATTAAGTCAAATGAATGAAGCCAGGCAAGAAAGAACACATACTATATGATTCCAGTTATATGAAGTTCAAAAACAGGCGAGAAAAGAAATCAGAACAGTGGTTACTTCTGGGAGGGTGGTATTGACTGGCAAGAGGCATGAGGGAGCCTTCAGGGATGCTAGAAAGTTCCATATCTTAATTTCAGTGGTAGTTCCACGGGTGTAGACATATACAAAAGTTCATCAAGCTGTACTCTTTAAGATTTATGCACTCTATTTAAATTATCTCTCAAAAAAGAGGTCACAATTTTTACAGAAATCTTAAAAGAAAATATAAGAAATCTTAAAGAAAATTTGGGGTTTTGAAGATGCAAAACCCCAAATTAACAATCAGCCTTTATTTAGATGGGTGTGAGCAAATCCGTTTATATCAGTTACCATAAAAATTCAGTTAAGCTTTAGTTATTCTGTATGTTGACATCATAAAGTTGCCCTTAAAAAGAAAACAACAAAAATCCAAAGAAGCGTCCTAAAACGTTGAAAGGTTTGCTTCCAAGGACTGTTGACTTGTAAACTTGGAGCTATGAATGCTTCTTATAGGAACTTACATTTCTTAGAATGTTTACTTAAAGTTGTGGCCTCTGATTGCTATGAATGGTTGATTTTACTCAACTACCTTTGATTACCTGGATGGCCATGACTGTGATCTAATTCTAAATACAGTCATGTGTTACCTAACAATGGAGAATGTTCTCAGAAATGCCTTGTTAGGCAATTTCATCATCTTGCAAACATCATAGAGTGTACTTACACAAACCTAGATGGTATAGCCTACTACATACCTAGGCTACATGATATAGCCTATTGCTCCTAGGCTATAAACCTGTCCAGCATGTTACTGTACTGAATACCATAGGCAACTGTAACACAATGTAAGTATTTGTGAGATAGTGATTTTTCAGCTCCATTATAATCTTATGGGACCACTGTCCTATATACATTTTTTCATTGACTGATTGTCGTTATGTGGTGCATGACTGTAATTCAACCATGCACTTCTGGGAATTAAGAGCATAGTTAAAGGCATTTCTCCTTGAAAGACATTTAGAAGATAAGGCTACCAAATGTGAGAAACAGGCTTGGAGTTTAGAGATTTAAGGTGTATTAATGTGATTATGGAGGCTATGCAGGGTAGACCAGTAGGCTGGAGACCCAGGGAAAAGTCAATGTTGAAGTTCAAGTTTGAAGGCAGTATGCTGGCAGAATTCCTTCCTGCTTGAGGAAGGTCAGTCTTTTGTTCTATTCAGGCCTTCAACTGATGGGATGAGCCCCACCCACTTTATGAAGGGCAATGTGCTTTACTCAATCTACCAATCCCAATGTTAATCTCACTCAAAAACGTTTGACCAAATATCTGGGCAAAATGGCTCAGGCAGGTTCACACATAAAATTAAACATCACAAGTCCATCCCTTGTGAACCTGGCATTTATATGCATCTCCTTAAGCCACACTTAGTCTCTAAATAGAGATAATAACAAGGTCATAATTCCACCTAACATGATAGAACCATCCTGCATACAACTGAAAACCCACTAACCCCTTCCCCAGAAGAGAAGGTAAAGTCTTTAATGTTTACCCTTCTCTTTGACGTCCCATAACTTAAATACTATGATGTAAAGTGAATAATACCTAAATACTATGATATAAAATCAACACATCTTATGTTACATAACAAGGGGATAAGAAAGGGAAGAAACAAAAGGTATTTCACACACACAAACATAGTCACAACAAAATAAGAAATACTCATGACGATTACAGTTCTGGTTTCTATGCTAGTCACATAGTCATAGCTGATGTTTATGACTACCTTCCTTCACTATCCATCAGTATTCCCTTTGCTCTAAGAATCCTATCCTCATACAACAGCATCCAAAGGCTAGACTTGGGAAGGAAAATACCTCTTTACCTCCAATATTTTCTTAAAAGTCAGGAAAACTTTCCCAGAAGTCCCCAGACAGTTCCATATGTCTCATTAATCACAACTGCCTTCCAGGCCCATTCATAAACCAGTCAATAGCAAGCAGAACAGAATTTCCATGATTGGCTTAAATTAAGATTCTTCCCAAGGATTGGGGTGGGTGGGGGGGACGGGGGGAGGGGGTGATGTCTGACACCTGAACAAAATCAAGGCTCTCTTCAAAAGAAGAAACGCAAAATGGCCGAACCAAGATGCAACCAACAGTATCTGTCACACAAAGTCAGGAACAAGACAAGTACAATATTACTACTGTTCAACAATGTCCTAGAATCCTAGACAAGGCATTAGGACAAGAAAAAGAAATGAAATACAAATAAAAGAGGAGAACATTGTCAGAGTATATTCTGACAGTATGATTTTCTGGCAAATCAACTGAAAATGAACAGACATGTTAGCGATGAAAATTATAAGTTGTAATAGAAAAAAATCTCTTTTTCAATAGCTACAAAAATGATAACATACCTTTGAATATGTCTAAGAAGAAATGCAAAAAATAATAAAAAGCTAAGTAATTGACATGTATTTGCAGTAGCAAATTAAGTACTTAGTCCTTTCAAGATTAAATAGAATCCTCTCAAGAATCCAAAGAGCTAGCACTCTTATTATCTCCTCTTGCCCTGTGAAGAAGCTAGAACACAGATTAGCTACGTTATTTAAGGTTGCACAGCTACTAAGCATCAGAGCTGAGAATAGAACCCAAGAAGTTGGCTCGGGAGCTGGTGTTTGAACTACTACATTGCATCAGCTCCTGAAGAGAAATTGATGAAACCTGACTGAACCATATATTGCAAGATAATTTTTTCTAAGACAGGGTCTCACTGTGATGCCCAGGCTGGAGTACAGTGATGCAGTCATGGCTCACTACAGGATCAACCTCCTGGGCTCAAGCAATCCTCCTGCCTCGGCCTCCCAAGTAGCTGAGACCACATGCATGTGCCACCATGCCCTGCTAGGTTTTGTACTTTTTGTAGAGATGGGGTCTCGCCATGTTACCCAGGCTGGTCTCAAAATTCCCAGCTCAAGCGATCATCCCACCTCAGCCTCCCAAAGTGCTGGGATTACAGGCATGAGCCACCGTGCCTGGCACAAGAGGATTTTTCAGACCTTCATAGGATGATTCTAAAATTCACATGGAAATAAGAATGCACTGGAATAGGCACGACATTGTTTAAAAAAAGAGCAATAAGGGAATGTCTTCTTCTACCAGATAGAAGAGCATGCTATATAGCTATGATAATTAAAAATAGTACAGTATTGGCACAAAAAACAATAGAGCAATAGAAAGGAATTCAGATCCCCTAATAAAGAGACTCATTTGGAGATTAAGTACAAGCCTTTCAGTGACCTGTATGTATGTATCCCTCTTGAGTAGATACCTAGAAGTCGAACTTGGGGCAGGAACTCTATTCTGGTCTATGGCTGCAAACATCCTTGGTTCAAATCCTGGGTCAACCACTTGCTAGATGGCCCCCCATGTGCCTGTTTCTTCATAAGTAAAGAGGAAATGCTCAGAGTACCCACCTCATAGGATTTCTATGTGAGGATTAAATGAGTTAATATTGATGATGTGCTTTGACTGGTACCCAGCACATAGCAAGCGCAATTGAAGTGTTTGTTAATTAAATAAATAAAATAAATACAGTTGACCCTTGAACAACATGAGTTTGAACTATGAGAGTCTACTTATACACAATTTTTTTTCAACCAAAGGAAGATTGAAAATACAGTATTCTTGGGGCCGGGTGTGGTGGCTCACACCTATAATCCCAGTACTTTGGGAGGCTGAGGTGGGCGGATCACCTGAGGTCAGGAGTTCAAGACCAGCCTGGCCAACATGGTAAAACCCTATCTCTACCAAAAATACAAAAATTAGCCAGATGTGGTGGTGGGCGCCTGTAATCCCAGCTACTCAGGAGGCTGAGGCAGGAGAATTGCTTGAACCTGGAAGGCAGAGGTTGCAGTGAGCCCAGATTGCACCATTGTGCTCTAGCCTGGGTGAGAGAGCGAGACTCTGTCTCAAAAAAAAAAAAAAAAAAAAAAAGAGTATTCTTGGGATGCAGCACCTGCAAATATGGAAGGCTGACTTGGTCTAAAAGGGCTGACTGTGGGACTTAAGTATTTGAGGATTTTGTTATACGCAGTGGGGAGGAGGGTGTCCTGGAACCAATCCCTGGCCTATACCGAGGGATGACAGTAGATAACAGCAGTGGTAGTTCAAATTAGTGGGGAAAGGATAGTCTATGCAATAAATGGGCTGGGATAATTAGCTATCCATTTGAGGAGAGGAGTTGGGATTTCCATATCATGCCATTCAAGCCAACACATATGCACTCACACATATGCACACATACATAAATTTCAGGTGAGTAAAAGACATAAACACAAAAATATAGAAATATTAGAAGAAGATATGGAATCTGTTTATAACCTCGGAGTTAGGAAAGGCCTTCTTAAGACCAAGAAAACCCCCCACAAACTCATTAATTATTGACATGATTCGAGATGAAATGATTAATAAGTGTAACTGCATCAAAACTAAAAATAAGGCCAGGCATGGTGGCTCACTCCTATAATCCTAGCACTTTGGGAGGCCGAGGTGGAAGGATTGCTTGAGCCCAAGAGTTCAAGACCAGCCTGGGCTACATAGTGGGATGGCATCTTTACCAAAAAAAAAAAAAATTAATTAGCTGGGCATATAATGCATGCCTGTAGCCCCAGCTACTCAGGAGACTGAGGCAGGTGGATTTCTTGAGCCCAGGAGTGCAAGGCTGCAGTGAGCCGTGATCGCACCAATGCACTCCAGCCTGAGCGACAGATCAAGACCCTGTCTCAGAGAAGACAGAGATTAAAAAAAATAAAAATATCTGTACAGCAAAAAAACAACATAGACAAGGCTTAGAGACACGATTGGAATAAAATATACACAACATATGTGACAGGTAAAAAATGTACTGCATATATAAAGAACTCTTAAAAATTCATAAGAAGACAGACACCCAAAAGAAAAATGAGCAAAGGATTTAAGTAGGCAATACACAAAAGTTGAAACATAAATGATCAATTACTTAGGAAAAGATGCACAAAATCATTAGGAATGGGAAAATGCAAAGTAAATAACTGAGATTACTACTATTCACCCATCAGACTGGCAAAACTTAAGAAGTATGACCTCAGGGGCTGTGAGAGGTGCTTTCAGGTACCACTGTTGGGGGTGTAAACTGGGAGGCAGTCCACAGGCCCTTATTTGAAATCTATAGGACCAGCTGTATTTCAGAGTTCACAACACTTCTAATTCTAGAAAGGCAGTGCAATGTGCCCACCATATGTTGCATAACACCCACAACAGGGTCTGTACAGCACCTTTAAAACTCCAATCCAATTAATACGTTCTATAGCAACTCTAAGACTATTAAACACTTTCAATAGGCTCATGTCACTTCAGGTAAGGTTTTGGAACCAGATGGATTCAGAATGAATTGGATTTTACCACCAAATGAATCAGCAAAATCCTTTAAACTTTCAGAACTTTTTGGATATCAGAATTGGAGTGATGAGATTGTGAGCCTGCACTGCTATTTTGAAGGTAATATAGCAATAGCAATAAAATCCAAAATATGCAAACCCATTGACCTAGCAATTCCACTTGCTGATATAGACCCTAAAGAAACACTCCCAGCCTGGGCAACATAGTGAGACCCCTCTCTACAAAAAAATACAAAAATTAGCCAGGTGTGGTGGCTCACACCTGTGGTCCCAGCTATTCGGGAGGCTGAGGTGGGAGGATTGCTTGAGCCTGGGAGGTCGAGGCTCCTGTTACCCATGATCATGCCACTGCACTCCAGCCTGGGCGACAGAGCAAGACCCTGTCTCAAAAAAGAAAAACACTCACATGCATGCTCAAAGAAACATGTGGGAGGATGTTTATTACAGCATTATTTGTAAGGATGAAAATCTAGAAGACAAGGAAACGCTCATTAGTATTAGAATGCTTACCTAAATGAAGATGGCCCCATACTCTGGTATACAATGTAGCATTTAAAACAATGAGGAAGATGTGTATGTGCTGGCATGGAATGATCTCTAAGAAATATTCGTGTGAAAAAAAGTTTGCCAAACAATAATTGCCATTATCACTTATGTAGAGAGAAAAAATAAGATGATGTATTTCTTTAGATTCATGGGTCTTAATCATGGCTGTGCATTAGAATCTATGCATTAGAATCAACTGTGGAGTTTTTAAAACTCCCAATGTCCGGGCAGTGCCCCGGACAATTACATCGGAATCATGCATAGGACTCAGGTATAAGGGCTTTGAAAGCTCCCAGGTGATTCTAATGTAAAGCCAATGATGAGAATCACTGAATTCACTCTGTCTCTTAAACACACACACACTTTTATGTGAACACATAGAATAACAGGCATGAAAAATGCCCACAAAACTGACTATTGTGGTAACCCCTAGAAGAGGACTAAGATTGGAAGGGCTTTCTTGTTTGTCTGTTTGTTTGTTTTTGAGACAGAGTCTCACTCTATTGCCCAGGCTGGAGTGCAATGACATGATCTTGGCTCACTGCAACCTCTGCCTCCTGGGTTCAAGTGATTCTCCTGCCTCAGCCTCCCAAGTAGCTGGGATTATAGGCACATGCCACCATGCCTGGCTAATTTTGTATTTTTAGTAGAGACGGGGTTTTGCCACATTGGCCTGGCTGGTCTCGAACTCCTGACCTCAAGTGATCCACCCACCTTGGCCTCCCAAGGTGCTGGGATTACAGGTGGCATGGGCTACCTTGCCCAGCTGGAAGTGTTAATCTAGGGCTGAGATCAGCAAACTGGATTTGGCCCATGGACCAAATTCAACCAGCAGCTGTTTAATAAATATAGTTTTATTGGAACACAGCCATGCCCATTTTGTTTACCTATTACCTGTGGCCGCTTAGTTGCTACAGTGGTAGAGTCCAGCGGTTGTGACATAGGGACCATATGACCTACAATGCCTATCATATGTACTGTCTGAAGCTTTACAGAAAAAGTTTGCTGATCACAGCTCTAGAAAAACTTTAATCTGTGTTTTTGAAAATAGAGAATTCACTCACATTTGTTTAATTTTAAAATACTTAAACACTGATAAATAAAAATGTAGATATCCAAACTAGGAAAGGAGAAAAGTATGAAAAGATATAGCATATTAATGAATTAATTAATGCTGATGTCTATATAATGGGATTATTTGTGATTATTTTCTTTTTTGCATTTTTTGATATTTTATAAATTAGCCTATATTTTGTGTGTGTGTGTATATATATATATGTGTGTGTGTGTGTGTGTGTGCATATATATATGTGTGTGTGTGTGTATTTTTTTTTTTGGGTGGGGGGAGGGGGTCTCACTCTGTCACCCAGGCTGGAGTGCAGTGGTGTGATCACAGCTTACTGCAGCCTCTGCCTCCCAGGCTCAAGCAATCCTCCCAGCTCAGCCTCCAGAGTAGCTGGGACCACAGGCATGCACCACCACACTTAGCTAATTTTTGTATTTTTTTGTAGAGATGGGGTCTCAGTATGTTTCCCAGGCTGGAGTGCAGCGGCACAATCATAGCTCATAATAGCCTCAAACTCCCAGGCTCGAGTGATCCTCCCACCTCAGCCACCTAAGTAGCTGGGACCACAGGTGTGTGCCACCATGTCCAGCTACTTTTTTGTATTTTTGGTGGAGACAAGAGTTTTGCCATGTTGCCCAGACTGGTCTCAAACTCCTAAACTCAAGCAATCTGCCTGCCTCGACCTCCCAAAGTGCTGGGATTATAGGCATGGGCCACAGCTCCCAGCTATATTTCTAAAAAACACAAAACTTATTTGAACAAGCCATCTGGGTCTGCTTTGATGAGGGTGTGTCCTCCTGCACATTGTATGTCTCTATCGGGTTGTCCCACAGGAACTTGAAATGCAACTTGTACAGAACCAAGCTTTCATATTTCCTCCTTTCTCAACCCAACCCCACAGGCAGTGGGCTCCTCCTGCTGCTTCCCTGGAGCCAGTCCCCTTCCACTCTGTGCCATAAGTCCTCAGCTGCAGAATTAGCTTTGCATTATCCTTCACACCACACGAACTGCCCTCCTTCCTCCGGCTCCCTTCTAGCCCCCTTTCCCCACTGTCACCAAAGTCATCTTTCTAAGATGGAAATCAAATTGAAGCGGCCTCTTGTCTGGAGAGGGTGATGGAGGGGATAATTACGGTGACCCCACTTGGCTTCCATCTTTTGCTGGTGTCACCCACTGACTCTGTTGATGCAGTTCATACAGGTCAGCCTCCCGGGCCACGGGAGAGGATGGAGAAGGTGGAAAGTGGGATTTTGATAGTAGAAGCAGAAGATACACAGCACCGCAACTAGCCAAAATGAAACAGATTGCTCTCCAACCTGCCTTTGCTGAACGTGCATGTACATATATTTTTAAATATATATATATATATATATATATATATATTTAAAAATATATAATAGAGACAGGTCTCTCTATGTTGCTCAGGCTGGTCTTGAACTTCTGGCCTCAGGCGATCCTCCTGCCTTGGCCTCCCAAAGTGCTGAGATTATAGGCGTGAGCCACCACGCTTGGCCGCATGCATGTACTTTGAATCGCCTGTCTTCATTTCCTTCCACCCACACTACCTGCCCATTTCCCATACATTGGCACCCCCTTCTCTGTGTTTGAGGTCCACACCGCCTCTGGATGCCTATGCCCTTGTGCTTTGACCATTTGATGATGCCTCCTTAAACTTTTCTGTAACCATAGGCCAGTGTGGCCTCCAAGAGAAAGTGTTGCTGGAGCCGAGGCATGGATCATGAGAAGAGGAATCTGTGCAGAGATCTAGAGGGGGGGCCACTCTATGCAGAAGAAAACAGCAAGTTCAAAGCTCTGAAACAGAAGAGAGCTTGGGTGAAATGTTTGAGAAACAGACAGTAATCATGCAATCCAGTGTGCAGAGCTGAATGCTTGTCCATAACGAGAATGATCAGCTCCACAACCCCACACATAAACAGCCCTCCATCACTGGGTGGGAAAGGAAGCCTTACTTTGACAATGTGTTTCAGTTCTCTGGATCTGCTGGCTCATCTGTGAAGTGGGAGGCTTGGCTGGATCGAGCCTCAATTCACCTTCTACTCTAAAAAGGTCTAACTCTTTCATCCTACAAGGAAAACAGCTGCCAGTGTCATTAGTTTATTTGAAAATACTGAGTGGGCATCTGCTATGTGTTCACTATGGAGCCAGGGCAGCCCACACTGTCAGTGCACCAATGGTAACACCCTTGGCACTCACCGTTCCCATGCCCAATGGTGGATTCTTCCTGCAAGCACCCCTCACTCTCCAGCCAGGGGCTGTGTCTGGCTATGGTGGGCCTGTGCTGAGCCAGCTTGCAGGGAAGGCCAGGGTGACAGGGAGTTCCCCCCAGGAGAGCCCTCCCTCTGCCAGTGATCAATGAGAGTGGGAGGATCAATACCCCAGCTTCCTCTCCCCTCAGCTGGGACAATCCCAAGATGTGTTCTGCACTCTCTCCTGGAGCTTCCCAGGGGTATGAAGCCCCAGTTGTCCACAAAGGTAACGTGCTCCTTAGAATGCCTTATACTGGCTTCTTTCTCTTCCCTGTCTCACTTCCACACTCCCTGACTGGTGCTTCTGTCAAATAAACTACTCACACTCAAATCTTTTGTTTCTTTTTTTTTCTTTTTTTTTTTGAGACAGAGTCTCACACAGTCTCGCAGGCTGGAGTGCAGTGGCACAATCTTGGCTCACTGCAGCCTCTGCCTCCCAGGTTCAAGCAATCCTCCCACCTCAGCCTCCAGAATAGCTAGGACTACAGGCACGCACCAGCATACCTGGCTAATGTTTTTATTGATTGATTGATTGATTGATTGTTGAGATAGCGGTCTCCCTATATTGCTCAGGCTGGTCTCAAGCTCCTGGGCTCACATGATCCTCCTGCCTCTGCCTCCCAAAGTGCTGGGATTACAGGAGTGAGCCACCATGCCCGGCCTGCACTCAAATTTTATTCTCTTTCTTTTTTTAGACCGAATCTCTCTCTGTCGCCCAGGCTAGAGTGCGGTGGCGTGATATCAGCTCACTGCAACCTCCCCCTCCTGTGTTCAAACAATTCTTCTGCCTCAGCCTCCCCGAGTAGCTGGGACTACAGGTGTGTGCCACCATGCCTGGCTAATTTTTGTATTTTTAGTAGAGATGGGGTTTCACCATGTTGGCCAGGCTGGTTTCGAACTCCTGGCCTCAGGTGATCCGCCCACCTCGGCCTCCCAAAGTGCTGAGATTACAAGTGTGAGCCACCGTGCCCAGCCTCAAATCTTATTGTCAAGATCTGCTGCTGGGGCTGCCTCACCTAAGACACCTAAGACAGGTAGTTACAATAAGAGATACCAAGGACTGCAAAATGTGTCTCCACCCACAATGACCTGACCATCCAGTTAGTTGTTTTCAAAGATAGACACGAAAGCCTTAAAACTTTTGATCCAGCAGCCCAACTTCTAAGAATATCCTTTGGAAAGAATCACACTTGTGCACAAAATGTTCATCTTTCATCAAAGCACTGAGAATAATAGATAAAACCAGAAAAATGTAAATATCCGATGGTAGGGAGATGATTAAATAATACAACAAAATACAACAAAATATGATACGGTCATTCGAAATTATGTAGTAGAATGTTCCTTAATGATATGTACATGGTTCTGCAGCAGCATTTAAAAAGAGTTACAGTGGGTAGGCGCAGTGGCTCATGCCTGTAATCCCAGCACTTTGGGAAGCTGAGGGGGGCGGTGGATCACTTGAGGTCAGGAGTTTGAGACCAGCCTGGCCAACATGGTGAAACCCCGTGTCTACTAAAAATACAAAAATTAGCCGGGCATGGTGGTGGGTGCCTGTAATCCCAGCTACTCAGGAGGCTGAGCCAGGAGAATCGCTTGCACCCTGGAGGCCGAGGTTGCAGTGAGCCGAGATCGTGCCACTGCACTCCAGCCTAGGTGGCAGAGTGAGACTCCGTCTCAAAAAAAAAAAAAAAAAAAAAAAAAAAAACTATTTCTGCCACATATCATTTTTGTTAATAATATATTTGTATTTAGAAAAAAATACTAGAAAGCTAAAACACCAAAAGTTTGACAGTTGCTTGCAGTTTCTCTTCTCTGGGTTTATCTGTATTTTTCACTTTCTGAAAAGAACGTGCATTTTCTTTTCAGGCAATGCATGATTTATTTTCATAGTCTAAGACCATGTTCCTCAACTCCAGCACTGTTGACATTTGGTAACATGTTGTTCTTTGTTGCGGGCTTTCCTGTGTGCTGTGAGATGTTTAGCAGTGTCTCTGGCCTCGTCCCACCAGATGCCAGTAGCACCCTCCTCCCCAAGCAGTGACAACCAAAAATGTCTCCAGACACTGCCAAATGGCTCCTAGGGACAAAATCACTCCTGAGATTTTGAGAACCACAGGTCTAAGAGAACCTGAAACCATAAAACGTATCAATGAATGACCATGAAATGAAATAAGATTATTCAAACTTTGTTTCAGATTTGCATGATATTTTTTTCATTTTGAAGAAACCAGCGTCCTGCCAACATTTAACCTAAAACCATACTTATTCCAGAAGATGAGGCCACGTCCTCAAATGTGTAAAACAGTAGCAAACAAGAAGTGCCAAGATGCAGGAGCCACGTTTCCCCTTTTAAACTCCTTTGTCCACTTGCTACAAGTTTGAGACCTCCAGAAGCTGAAGTCGGGCCAGCCTCACAGGGCATCTATTTCCCATTCGTCCTCACACTGGACCAAGAACAGGAGAGAAACAGAACCCTCTGACATGTTCTCTATCCAAGGCTTCCTAAGGACCCTCATTCGGACTGATGGACTGTGGTTTCTTGTACGTACACAGATGCAGCTGACGCAAGGGTTTTGTGATACAGTATTAGTCTGAGTGGAGAAGATTCCATGAACATGTCATCTAGTACCATTCTAGGCTCTGAGAGGAGCACCATGTTCAAGATACCTACCCTTGGAGGGTCCTCCCATTCTAGTGAGGAACACCCACGACAAACACATGAACAAAATCATTCCACGGAGCAGATGGGTCTAGTCACGGGGAAAAGTCACTTGGCGGCAGCAGGGAGGGGCAGCTTTATCTGGTGACACCAGCTGAGCCCTCAGGGCAGAGAAGGGGGCATCTATGCAGAGATCTGGGCGTCGGCTGGTGAAAGAGCTCGGAGCCTGGAACAAGTGGGAGTATTGGAGGAACAGAAGGGAGAGACGATGTGGCCAGGCTACAGCCAACAGAAGGCCAGTGAGGAGGGGAGAAGTCGGGGTCCGATCAGGTCATGCCTTAATAGGTCCTGGTAAGAACTCTGGCTTTTACTCTAATTGCAGTGGGAAAGCACCGGTGCGCATTAAGCAGGGGAGGGACAAGATCTGGTTTATGCTTTTGGAAGACACCCTTGACTGCCGCATAGAGAGTGGACAGGAGCAGGACAAGGCTGCTACTTAACCTCCGCAAGAAGCCCAGATGAGAGACATGGACAAGCGTGGCCCAACTAGGTGCAGAGGTGGAGGCAGTGACAGACGCAGTCCTGTTTAGAAGAAGGCTCTAGAACTGTGTGGGAAAGCTCAGGTGCCGTGGAGCACAGCTGAGGAGTGGCGGTAGTGTGGCACTCAGGGCTTTGCAAAGCTCCAGGGTGTGAAGCGGTGACTGATGACAGAGACCATGAATGCCAGGGCGCTGGACACCCATTTTGATTTTTAAATAGGCTAATACGGCATCTTGTAACATCCCTGCGAGTCAAAGCCCAGGGCCCCAGGAGTTCCCAGCTGTGTGAGCAATGCAGACCAGGGGCCAAAGCGCAGCCCAGTGCCAGGAAGAGCCCTGGATTTGTCTTTGACCAATCCCTAATCAGTGGCTGATGCCTAAAACACCACCATTTGAGATTTCTTTGGAGTTTAGGTCTTTAGCTGGGAAGAAAACGCAAATTCCCTTCCCAAAGGCAAAACAGAAGGTGGTGAGGGAGACTGGACCTGAAGTTAGCAGTGTGACCGTGAACTTGAGGGCAGTCAGACGGAGAGGCCGGTCAGGACAGAAGATTCGGATTTCCGATTTAGAAACAGCTTTCGGGCTGTGGAACTGGAAATAATCAGGGGTACATTAGCTGGTGAGCCTCCAGGAAAGCAGGCTTTGATGGAATGAGGGAACAGGACTCTGTGGCTTCGGGGGATCTCAAAAAGGAGGAGGCAGCAATTAGCACCAGAAAGAGCCTCCAGCTGGCAGGAAGGGAGCTTGGCTGCTTCCCAGGTTTCCTAAGCGAGCTCCAGCCTGGCCTCGAGTGTGTCTGGTCTGCAAATCACCGGGCCCTTGCCTTGTCCTTCTGCAGCTGCTGGTGCAGCCCAGCCTTGGGCAGAGTGAGACACTCCCTTCTGGGATGAATCCTGTGGGGACCCTAAAGGCAGCTTTTCCAGGCTCCTCTGGGCCATCAACCCAGTTAATTGGAAAACCATGTTCCTGAATAACTAAGTTACTGAAATAGTTTCAATAGCTTCTGAAAGCACAATCAAACCTAATTTTCTTACTGAGTTTCTTTTTTTTGAGACAGGGTCTCACTCTGTCGCCTAGGCTGGAGTGCAGTGGTGCAATCTCAGATCACTACAGCCCGGGTTCAAGTGATCCTCCCACCTCAGCCTCCCAAATAGCTAGGACTACAGGTCTTACTTTTTAAAAATAAACTTAATTTTGCTTATGTTTTAGTTCACTATTTTTTAAAAAAAATCTCAACTTGAAGGCATTGAAAAGAACATCGTTATTCCAGTCTTGATCACATTTCCCCCTACCCGTCCAACTGTCTCAGCCTCCCAAGTAGCTGGGACTACAGGCGCCTGCCACCACGCCCAGCTGGTTTTTGTATTTTTAGTAGAGACGGGGTTTCACCATGTTGGCCAGGCTGGTCTCGAACTCCTGACCTCAGGTGATCTGCCACCTCGGCCTCTCAAAGTACTCAGATTACAGGCATGAGCCACCATGTCCAGCCTCACGTTTTTAATTCATTCTTCCTATTATGCATCAACTACTGTAGTAGAGGTTGAGGAGATTGAAAAATTAGATTATTTGATTTCTGCCCCAGAGGATCTACTACTGGTAGGAATAATGTGCAAACAAGTCATTAAAATGCAAAGAATAAGCCCTATATTAAGATATATTCAAATCATATGTACTAAATTTTAACTTACATTTTAATTTACCAAGTAAATAAATTCTATAAGTTTATCACCATGTATTAATATGGTTCTTGACTAAATTCCAAGAGAATTCCAGACACGTGACAAATTTTCTCATTATGTTACAGCACCACCTGTGGAATTCTTATGTAACTGCAGAGCTGGCTTTTTATTTCTTATGTTAGATGTGGACTTTTTACATAATTGCATAACAATTTTTAATTTGTTGTGTTAGAGTGTCATCATGTGGAATTTTGTGTAATTGCAGAATATATTTTTGTATCTCTTATGTTAGAATGCCCCCTGTGGGGTTGTCATGTAAATTGCAGGATTGTAGGGCAGATTTTTTTTTTTTTTTTTTTTTTTTTTTTTTTTTTTTTTTTGAGACAGGTTCTCACTGTCGCCTGGGCTGGAGTGCAGTGGCGCCATGCACTCGGCTCACTGCAGCCTCCACCTCCCAGGCTCAGGTGATCCTCCCATCAGTCTCCAGAGTAGCTAGGACTACAGGTGCACACCACCACGCCTGGCTAATTTTTTGTACTCTTTATTTTATTTTTATTTTTTTTGAGACGGAGTGCAGTGGCGTGATCTCAGCTGACTGCAATCTCCAACTCCCTGGTTCAAGCGATTCTCCTGCCTCAGCCTCCCGAGTAGCTGGGATTACAGGCACGCGCCACCATGCCCAGCCAATTTTTGTATTTTTAGTAGAGATGGGGTTTCACCATGTTGGCCAGGCTGGTCTCAGAAGCCTGACCTCGTGATCCGCCCACCTTGGCTTCCCAAAGTGCTGGGATTACAGGCGTGAGCCACCGCGCCGGGACATATTTTGTACTTTTGTAATAGAGATGGGGTTTCGCCATGTTGGCCAGACTGGTCTCCAACTGCTGGCCTCAAGTGATCCGCCTACCTTGGCCCCCGCAAAGTGCTGCGATTACAAACGTGAGCCACCGCACCCGGTGAGATTTTTTTCTTTTTTCTGTTTGAAATAGTCTGGCTCTGTTGTCCGGGCTGGGGTGTAGCGGTGTTTTTCTTATTAATGAGATTGGAGTGCCACCTAGTAACATTTTCTTGTAATTGCACACAGATATGTTTTTCTTATTACTCTGATTACATCGCCCCCTGATGGAATTTGCCTGCAATTGCTTATGAGGGTCTTCCCTATTACTCAGGTTAGAGTGCCACCAGGTAGAATTGTCGCGTAATTGCAGGACAAATATGTTTTTCCCACTATAGTGGTCCCTGCCAACCCTTATCTTCAGGGGATATGTTCCAAGTCCCCCAGTGAATGCCTGAAACTTTTGAATAGTACTAAGCTCTCTGTATACTGGCTTTTTCCATCTAATCACCAAGATGGCTAAGTGACGAATGAGGGGTAGCATATTCAGTGTGGATACCGTGGACAAAGTACTGATTCACAGCCTAGGCGGGACAGAGCAGGACGGTGCGAGGTTTCATCACATTACTCAGAACAGTATGTAATTTTAAACATGAATTGTTTATTTCTAGAATTTTCTGTTTAATATTTTTGGCAGAGGTTGACCGTGGATAACGGAAACTGCAGAAAGCAAAACCGTGGATAAAGGGGACGGCTGTACGCAGGTTAGTGAGTCACCTGGTGGAATTTTTCTGAAACTGCAGAACAGATCTGTTTGTTATTTCTCATGTTGGAATGCCACCTGGCGGAATTGTCCTTTGTTAAAAAGTACATCTATGGTCCTCAAACTTGGCATCCAAAATACCTGGAGAGCTTGTTATTTTATTTTATTTCTGAGACAGGGTCTTGCTCTAGCACCCAGGCTGGAGGGCAGTGGTGTGATCACAGTTCACTGCAGTCTTAACCTCCCAGTCTCAAGCGATTCTCCTGCCTCAGCCTCCCAAGTAGGTGGGACCACAGGTGCACCACCACGCCCAACTAATTTTTGTATTTTTAGTAGCAGTGGGGTTTCACCATGTTGGCCAGGCTGGTCTCAAATGCCTGACCTCAAGCAGTCCTCCCACCTCAGCCGCCCAAAATGCTGGGATTACAGGCGTGAGCCAACGTGTCCAGCCCGGAGAACTTTTTAAATCAAAGATTGCAGGTTTCCACTCCCAGAGTTTCTTATTCAGGAGGTTTGGGATGGGGTCTGGGAACGTGCATTTCTAACAGATTTCCCAGTTTGTGTTGATGCTGCTTGTCTGAGGTGCACTTTGAGAATTACTAAGTCCTCAACTCCTTAAATTTTAGTTGCCCACATAAGTGGGTTCTTTCCTATATGATTTTCGCAATTCTTTCATCTTTGAAGAACTGTAGAGATTTGAAATCTTGGCTTTCTGGAGCCTTTCCAAAGAACTCAGGATACCTTTTTTTTTTTTGAGTTGGGGTCTCACTATGTTGCCCAGGCTGGTCTCAAACTCTGTGCTCAAGTGATCCTCCCGACTCCTGAGTAGCTGGGACCACAGGCATGTGCCACTGTGTGCAGCTCGGGATATCTTTTGATTAAATCTACCAGTTGCTTTTGAAAACAGTTTTTACAACCTGATCTAAGTCACTTTACAATGTAGGGTTTTGTCTGGTTTTTATAGCCCTGCATCCTAGAATAGGCACTCTTGAAATATCTGTTGGACGAGTGAATGAATGTGGCCCTTTGACACCATGTCAGTTGGATAAATAGGGTTGTGTCCCACAATTAAAGCAGATGAAGCTCTTTGTCTCCTTCCTTCTCTATAACCTATTATGCTACAAAAAAAGAAGTCATAGACAGAATTCTATCCAGATCATTTATTTATGCAGGCACAAAATGTGCCATACATCCTGTTCCCTTAAGCTTGGCAAGGGCCTGTTCTCTCCTTCTGGGAACCGTGACAAGCTTCTTCATGAAGTGTTGATCCCAGGCAGACCCAAACAGGTGGCTTGTCAGACGGTTAGACTCTATTCACACGAGGGCTGGCGGCCCTGAGAGTCTTTTGAGCCAACTGCATATATATATATTTTTTTGAGACGAAGTCTCACTCTGTCACCCAGGCTGGAGTGCAGTGGCGTGATCTCAGCTCACTGCAACCTCTGCCTCCTGGGTTCAAGTGTACCCTCCCTGGCTCAGTGTAACCCGCACGGACCTAGGGGGACTGAACAAAGGGGACTGAACGTGGGAATAAAAGACAAGAGACAAAATAATACATTTGGAAGAAGGGGTCAGTGGCACCTCAGCTTCCCAAAGTGCTGGGATTACAGGCGTGAGCCACTGCTCCAAGCCAGAAGATAGAAATTTCTAAGCTTTGCTTTACCAGTGAGGACCCAGGTCACCAAGAAGTGAAAAGATTTGCATATTTACTTATAGTCACAAGATTCTAGTATAGTGCTCATTAAGGATGGGGCTCTGTCTTAAGTGCCTGACAAATATTAATCCATATAAGCTTTATGACAGCCAGCCCTATGAGATGAATGTTGTCATTATGCTCCATTTAAAGACGAGGAAACCGAAGCACAGAGAGTTTAGGCAAATTGCCCGAGGTCACACAGCTGGTAAGTCGTTGAGCCAGGATTTGAGACCAGGCAGACTGGTGCCAGAGTCCAGATGCTAGGCCGCCTCTCCGTAGGACAGTTCTTAGGTTTCCAAAGGCTGCTTCCGTTTGGGGATCAGCCACAGAAAATGATTGATAGTAACTTCAGGCCAGACTCATCAGTGTGTGCCTAAAATCTTCCCTATTAAAATATGTATTTTTCCACATATCTCCATTGGATAATAGAAAGACATGATGGGCCGAGTGCAGTGGATCATGCCTTTGATTTCAGCACTTTGTGAGGTTGAGGTGGGAGGATCGCTTGAGCCCAGGAGTTCGAGACTTGCCTGGGCAACATAGCGAGACCCTGTCTCTATTTTAAAAATCATATAGAAAGATATGCTCATACTCACTGTGGTTCACCTATCTTAGATTCAGGAACCCCGTGCTCTCCTGAACACACTATGGCACCTCCTTCCATTAATTTCCTTTAGGATCCTGTCATGAGAGGGCACAGCTCATCTTCCATATTTACAAAATGCAAAGCTGACATGAACATCCTTCTCTGGCTTCCCATTATTCTTAGGAAAAGTGTCTAAATCTTTAATGAGGTCTAACAGGACCAGGACAATCTATTGCCAACCTCGTGCTCAGCGCTCAGACCACAGCTAGAAGGTCTCCTCCTCAGTGCTGAGGTCTGAATGTGCCCCCTAAAATTCATCTACTGAAACTTAACCTCCAATGTGAGGGTATCAGGAAGCGGGGCCTTTGGGAGGTGATTAGATGATGAGGATGGAGCTCTGCCCCACTCCCCCAGGCCCCTTTGAATGGAATTAGCACCCTGATGGAAGAGGTTGAAGGGAACACCCCAGGCAATTTTTTGCCCTTCCACTCTTCTGCCATGTGAGGACTCAGCCAGAAGGCCCTCACCAGACACTGAATGCCCTGACCGTGGACTTCCCAACAGCCAGAACCATAATAAATCAATGTCTGGGTTTGTTTGTTTGGTTGGTTTTTATTGTTGTTGTTGTTTGTTGTTTTTTTTTTTTGAGACAGGGTCTTGCTTTGCCACACAGGCTGGAGTGCAGTGACACAATCGTGGCTCACTGCAGCTTCGACCTCCCGGGTTCAAGCCATCCTCCCATCTCAGCCTCCCAAGTAGCTGGGACTACAGGCACCTGCCACTATGCCCAGATAATTTTTGTCTTTTTTGTAGAGATGGGGTTTCACCACGTTTGCTAGGTTGGTCTCAAATTCCTGGGCTCAAGCAATCCACCTGCCTCAGCCTCGGAAAGTGCTAAGATTACAGGTATGAGCCATCAAGCCCAATCAGTGTTTGTTGTTTATAAGTTACCCAGTCTCACGTATTTTGTTAAAGCCGCCCAAACATTACAAATCCCCCAACAGCTTGATCTAGTACTTCCTCAGGGGTTACAACACAGGGATATTAAAATTATATGGTTCCTTTTTTATTTACTGCTGGAAATTATTCTATAAAGAACTATTCCTCATCAACTGTTTGTTGACATTGAAATTCAGTCTATGTAAGAAAGACAGGATAAATCCTTGGTTCTTTCCCTTTGCCAGATTTCAGAATAATTACTATTGGGCTGGTCTTTGCTTCTAGGTATTTCCAGTGGAGAGAGTTAAGATACACACACACATACACACACACACACACACACACACACATCGTTTTTGCTTTGAGACACAGTCTCATTCTGTTGCTCAGGCTAGAGTGCACTGGCACGATGATGGCTCACTGCAGCCTCCACTTCCCAGGCACAGGTGATCCTCCTACCTTGGCCTCCCTAGTAGCTAGGACTGCTGGTATGCGCCACCATGGCCGGCTAATTTTTTATATCGTGTAGAGACAGGGTCTTACCATGTTGCCCAGGCTGGTCTTGAACTCCTGAGCTCAAGTGATCTGCCCACCTTGGCCTCCTAAAGTACTGGGATTACAAGTGTGAGCTACCGAGCCTAGCCAAGATGTATGTATGTGTGTGTGTGTGTGTGTGTGTGTGTATCTTGAGGGGGGGAAATAATCATGAGTTTATACTGATATTTCCAATTCAAATTCAGGACCTCTTGGCTTTGACCTGTTGAATTTTACATTTGTGTCTCTGTTTTTTATACTGAAAATCTTGGTTCCCAATGGCATTAACATAATTATATATTTACTTTATCAGTGTGGGTATGTGCAGTCTTAAATAATAACACCTGACAAATGAGAACAATTTAAGATTTTTTTCTGTAGAGATGGGGTCTCCCTATGTTGCCTAGGCTGGTCTCAAACTCCCGGGTTCAAATGATCCTCCCACCTCAGCCTCCCAAAGTGCTAGGATTACAGGTGTGAGCCTCGCCTTAAGATTTTTTTTTCCAGTTCCTTTTGTCTTTAGGCTATACCCCACCAGGCATATGCAGTCACATTGCTGTGGTGTGAAATAACTTGAAATCATTCTCTGCGGGGTTATGCTGACAACTTGGTATGTTATTAAATTGGTTTGTTATATTTCATTTCCATTGTTATGTCATTGTGTTTTATGGTCGTGTAAAAACATTTATATGGTTCCAAAGTTAAAATGACCCCTAGCCATAATCCTTTCACCAGCTGCTGCTTAGTACCTCAAAGACATTTGCAAAGATTTGTTGACTTTTATGACACATGTATATGATTGTCCTACTCTAATTCATCTGCTGGGGGATGGGTGTTTCTTACTGGAAAACCGGAGACATGTCAAGGAGCATGATTTGCCTTAAAGCTCAGCTTGATCGAATACTTGTAGGGTGATTCGCTAACGAAAGGTAAAAAGGCATATTTCAGGGTCTCTAATCAAAATTGCCCTGCTTCACCCAGATACGTTTTTTTTGTTTTGTTTTTTAGAGAGATGGGGTCTCGCCCTGTCACCCAGGCCGCCATGCAGCGATGCCGCCATAGCTTACTGCAGCCTCAAACTCCTAGGCTCAAGCAATCCTCCCTCGTCAGCATCCCTAGTAGCTGGGACTACAGGCATGCAACACCATACCAGACTAATTATTTTATTTTTTGTACAGACGAGTATCACTTTGTGGCCCAGGCTGGCCTCAAACTCCTGGCCTCAAGTGATCCTCCTGCCTTGGTCTCCCAAAGTGCTGGGATTACAATTTCCCCCAAGATTAACGAGCCCTCCTTTCTTAAGACTTTCTCTTCCCGCCTTTTGCAAATCTTTCTTTCTCTCCGGCCTCCTCTCCTGATACAAGAGTCTTTTGTGAATGTTCTAGCGCGTTACTATAGCCTATAGTTATTATAGCCTATAGTTAATGACTATAACATTACTATAACGTTACTATAGCCTATAGTTAATGACTATTAACCACAATCATCACCTGTCACCACTTGACACAGCATCTCACAGTGTCCCTCACCTTCAAAGTTGCTTCCAACTCTGCTTTCAAATATCTGAAAACAGCTGGGCGCGGTGGCTCACACCTGTAATCCCAGCACTTTGGGAGGCCAAGGTGGGCAGATCACCTGAGGTCAGGAGTTTGAGACCAGCCTGGCCAACATGGTGAAACCCCGTCTCTACTAAAAAAATACAAAATTAGTCGGGCATGGTGGTGCTCGCCCGTTTTCCCAGCTACTCGGGAGGCTGAATGAGGAGTATCACTTGAACCTGGGAGTCAGATGTTGCAGTGAGCCAAGATGTCACCACTGTACTCCATCCTGGGCAACAGAGTGAGAATCTGTCTCAAAAAAAAAAAAAAAAAAAAGAGGCCGGGCGCAGTGTCTCATGCCTATAATCCCAGCACTTTGGGAGGCTGAGACGGGCGGATCACGAGGTCAGGAGATCAAGACCATACTGTCTAACATGGTGAAACCCTGTCTCTACGAAAAATACAAAAAAAATTAACCGGGCGTGGTGGCGGGCACCTGTAGTCCCAGCTACTCGGGAGGCTGAGGCAGGAGAATGGCGTGAACCTGGGAGGCGGAGCTTGCAGTGAGTTGAAATTGCACCACTACACTCCAGCCTGGGCGACAGAGCGAGACTCTGTCTCAAAAAAATAAATAAATAAAATATATATATATACACGTATGTGTGTATATATATGTATATATATGAAGAACAAGAAGTGCAGAGAAAATATCCTAGTCATTGAAAAATTGGTTACTTTGTTTCTGCACTGCAAAGTTACTTTAAACTTTGTAATGAATCTAGTGGAGAGATCATTTGAGATGAGGCAAATGTCCTGTTTCTCATCATACATTTACCCACTAATTTTAGCCTGTATTGATGATAATTCTCACCTGCAACAGTTACTGTGGTCTTTGCCAAATGGTGATTTTCTTTTTCTATTTTCATCATTCCTTCTATATTAATTAATTGGAATTCTACTGTAAGGAAAAGTTGTTCCTTCTAACCCATTGATTTGTTCAATCATGTATTTAAGTAGGACCTATATTTTACTTGTTCCTTGCTATATCTTCAGTGTGTAGTACAGTGTCTGACACAAAATCGGTGCTCAATAATAGGTGTTGGATGAATGAGCAAATGAATGAATGAATTCATATTCATATGGCCTACAGAGTTCCCGTACATGCACAACCAATATCACCACCCCGTGGAGATGACTCCCAAATTAATATTTTTAGCAAATGTTCCAGACTTACAACTCCAACTTCCCGGGGGACATCTTCAGATAGCTGTGCCACTGCCACCACCAGGTCAACATGTCCCAAACCATTCAGACCAGCTTTTTCTCCTGAGCTGGACATCTGGCCTCCAACCTTTTCATTCTCTTTTACCTTTCATATTCTATCAGCAGCAGCAGCTGCTGAAATCATACCATGCAAGTTTCTCACGTCCATCTCTGCCTTTTAATGGCGCCCTCTCACTCCTTTAAGAAGTTTTCTTCCACTGCAACACGATCTCTCAGTCCAGAGTCTGGCCCAGTGCCCAAATTATTTCTCTAGCTATGCTGAGAGCTGGTCATGCTTTGAACTTCTGCTTTGAATACTTTCAGTGACACTGGGAGAGAATTATCTCATTGGACCATTGTCATTGTTAGAAAATTCATTGTTATGCTGAAATGAAATGATTTTATTCACACACACACACACACACACACAAAATAGCTCTTCCTCCTGGAACATGACTGGCCTGAAAATGTGTGAAGACATATCCAATCCTCTCTGGTTTTACTGTTCATCCAATTTTCTGTTCTCCTCCTGGCAGGAGGATTATATTTCACCTTGTGGAACTCAGACATGGTCGGGTAACTAGCTCTGGTCCGTGAAAATTGAGAGGAAGTGACATGTGTCACTTCTGGGCAGAAGCTTTGAGAGCCGGTTTAAATGATCCCTTTTCTCTTCATCCATGAGACAAGCTAAGTTCCAGAGAGAGGGTGCCACGCTGTGAGGGACCTGTGTTACGAGTACGATGGCTCGCGTCACTTCAAATTCTTGAAATCACTGAAATTTGGAGGTCAGTTGTTACATCATAACCCAGCCAATTCTAGTTAGCCTGTTTTCTTCCTAACTTCTTTAATCGTTCTTCATAAGTCACAATCGCAGCCCCTCACCGTTCTGACCACTGTCCCCTGGATTCCACTCAGTTTACTCATTATCCCCCTTAAAATGTGGAGCCCAAATCTGAACCCGGAACCCCAGGTGCAATCCCACTAGGACACAACACAATGGGTTCCTGAGCCCTTTGATCCTCTGAATAGAGCCCCTTGTTGCTTTGGTGTTTTGTCTCTGTGTGTGCTTTTATCATCGGCTGAGCCACGCTGTTAACTCGCAGTGAGCCTGTGAACCAATAACTAGAGAAAAAAGATTTTTCCCATTGTCCTCTCGACATATATTGGGAAACAAATTTTTTGATCCGCGTTCAAGTAGACAGGGCAGAACTGTCCAACTGCTACGTGATCTTTTAAAGACAAAGTTAGTGGCAGACCATTTACAGAAACCAGATGTTCTGTCTTTTGGCTCTGAGCATGCTGCTAATCTTCATCATCTAGTGTACTGAACGAGATGTACTGAACGAGGGCTGCAGAGCTGCAGCACCGGCAGGAGTAGGCGCTCGGTAGGACGGGGCCTGCACAACCTCCCCGGTAGTCAGCAGAGCGGAATCTAGGAAGGCTCCTTTCCCGCGGCGCCCTGGAGGCGGGGGCCCCACCTTCCCACGCAGGCGCTATCAAGCCCCGCCTCCTCACCCGCCCGCGGCGTGGCGTCGGAAAGAGCCCTCAGCCCCTCCCTCTCTGGCGCTGATACCCAATGGGCAGCCTCAGGCCTTTAGCGGGGGCGGGGCACCCCCTGGACGCCGTTCTGGTTGGCCCGCGGCCCGGCGCAGCGCATGACGTTATTACGACTCTGTCACGCCGCGGTGCGACTGAGGCGTGGCGTCTGCTGGGGCACCTGAAGGAGACTTGGGGGCACCCGCGTCGTGCCTCCTGGGTTGTGAGGAGTCGCCGCTGCCGCCACTGCCTGTGCTTCATGAGGAAGATGCTCGCCGCCGTCTCCCGCGTGCTGTCTGGCGCTTCTCAGAAGCCGGTGAGACCTCCCGGGCGGGCCGGGATGGGGCGCGAGTGGGGCTGAGGCGGGGCCGGAGGGCAGGGCGGGCCAGGCCGGGCCACCCAGAGCGGGGTGGAAGGCGCCAGGGGAGCCGGGGAGCCTTTACTTCGCCTCCGCGCCCTGCATTCCGTTCCTGGCCTCGGGAGAAGCGGCACGGACCGGGATCACGCCAAGGTCCGTGTGAACTTCCCCCTTCTCGACACCCACCTCCCGCCCCCGGGCCCAGCTGTGCGCCAGGCGAAGTCGGTGTGCTCAAGAGGTGCCTGTTGGGTTACAGGACACGGAAAGGGTGGCCTCGGCCTCCTTCGAGTCTCCAATTGACCCCACTCATTTCGGATCTTCTAACTTAATTTCTCTTGACCGAGAGGCTTTGTAATAGCGTAGAATCTGGAGACAGGGTGGCTTCGTTCAAACAGCACCCTCACCATTGACTAGCCCTGTGACCTTGAGCAAGTTTTTAAACGTCCCGGGGACCCGGTTTCCTAAAATGTTTGCTCGAAGTGGAGTTAATCTCTAAATGGAGATAAGAGTTATCTCTGAAATGTTATCAGTTAACTCTAAAATGGAGATAATAAGAGTCCCCACCTCTTGGGGTTGTCTTGAGGATTCAACGAGTGACACGTGTGGAAACGATTCCAAATAGCACCTGGCACATAATCGATAACATGTGTGTTGAATAGTGTTATTTATTGAGTCTCCAGTTCGGTATACATTTCTTGAACACCTGTGCTCAGTTCTGAGGCGGGTTCACAGAAGGTCAGCCTCTTCAGAAACAAACTTCCTCCTCTTCCCTCTCCCTCAACATCTGAGCTTTTCTTGGCAGTGAGTTCAGGAGCGCCGAAGCAGAACTCAGAGGACGCTGCCCTCCCCTCCCCTTACCTACACATTCTTAGGGTACAAGTAGCTAAAGCAAAGAGCAACGATGCTTGAGGGGTGGGGGGTAGAGTTTAGCACTATTTCATGGCCTCAGCATTTAGAGGTGCCTAACACCTGAGCTAGCATTCTGACCCCCCTAGGCACAGTGAGGTCGTGTTAATTGGTGTAACTGCAGGCCTCGGGATTCTGGTATTTCCCCCAGGACTTGATACCGCTCTACTTAGTACAGGCAGAGATTGTCAAAAGGTAAGAGGTATGCCCCTCTAGGAATCCTGTTGCCTAAAATAATGACAAAACTGCCGGGTGCGGTGGCTCAGGCCTGTAATCCCAGCATTTTGGGAGGCTGAGGCAGGTGGATCACCTGAGGTCAGAAGTTCGAGATCAGCCTGGCCAACATGGTGAAACCCCGTCTCTACTAAAAATACAAAATTAGCCGGTCGTGGTGGCGGGCTCCTGTAATCCCAGCTACTCGGGAGGCTGAGGCGGGAGAATAGCCTGAACCCGGGAGGCGGAGTTTGCAGTGAGCGGAGATCGTGCCATTGCACTACGGCCTGGGCGACAAGAGCAAGACTCCGTATTTTAAAAAAAAAAAAAAAAAAAAAAAAAAAAAAGCGTTCCCTTTAGGGATATCTGTGGGTAGAGGGCTGTACCGGTAGTTACGGGCTCAGAAACATCCTTCCTTTAGGCACCTGATGTAGGTTTTCTTCTTCTTCTGCAAGTCAGGTTCATTGTTTCCTGTATCAGTTTGCAGGGTCCCCCCCCCCCCGCCACCTTACAGTAGGAAGAAAATTGAGTTCCAGATATGAAGTCACCTTTGAAAGTGCCCAGGTATCTTTCCACTTGGTGGTGTAAACTCTTCAGATAATTAGAAGTTTTCTGTGTCACTCAACTTGTCATGGACTAATTAGGAACCATTCCTGAAGCTTTTAAGGATAGAACTAAAAGTTTCACTTTTATTTTTTTAAAGGGTGGAATAATAAACTAACGTGTTGACTCTTTGTATTTTGTAATTCTTCATACTTATGGATGTCTTTTTACTTAACTATAAGTAACAAAATAGATCAACGTTTTAGTTTTTTATATTATACATGTAAAAAGACATTTTGCATATAAGCCTTTCACAAAAATCTTGACAGTAAACAATAAGCAGTGGCTCACCCAAATTAGGCAGACTTACTGCACTAGACTCCTACCATCTGTGTGATACTCCATGAAGGGAGGGAGAAGGGGAGGGAGAAGGGTAGGCAGCTGGTCTGATGGCTGTGACACAAGATAATCCCCTTAACCTCCCAAGACGCTGTGTGTTTTTTCCTTTTTTATTCTCCCTGGTTTACTTTCGTTTTGTTTGAGACAGGGTCTCTGTGTCACCCAGGCTGGAGTGCAGTAGCAGGACAGCTCACTGCAGCCTTAGCCTGCTGGGCTCAAGCGATCCTCCTGCCTTAGCCTCCTGAGTAGCTGGGAACACAGGCATGTGCCACCACCACACCCAGCCAATTAAAAAAATTTTTTTTTTACTAGAGACATGGTCTTGCTACGTTGCCCAGTCTGGTCTCCATCTCCAGGCTCAAGCAGTCCTCCCACCTCGGCCTCCCAAAGTGCTGGGATTACTCTCACTCTCTTAAAACCAGGCAGGTAGGGAGATTTATCTCAGGCTTAAAGATTGCCATTGTCTCATCAAAGAGTGTTTGGTGTGAAACTTTGAAATGAATATCAAGATTGTGTTTTTATTTTTGAATAAGGTTTATAGTTTTCATAGTTCTTATTTCATGGAAGAAGATTGAATGCATTTAAAATGTTATTTTATTGTTTGCATTTCTGTATGGCTCCTTTTGTGAGATCTTTACTAGCAATGTTTTGGCTTTATAAGTGGTAGGTAAGAGTTTTAATTTACACTGTTAGAATCTGGAATTTTTGAAACGTTTTTCCTCTTTCACATGAATGGTTCCTATGTATTTAGGAAGTTAAAGTTTTACTTTTTTTTAATTAATTTTTTTTTTTAGGCTGGAATGCAGTGGCACAGTCATAGCTCACTGTAGCCTCAGGTGTGTGCCACCATACCTGACTAATTTTTTAATATTTATTTTTGTAGAGATGAGAGTCTCATGTTGCCCAGGCTGGCTTTGAACTCCTGGCTTCAAGTGGTCCTCCCACCCTGGCCTCCCAAAGTGCTGGGGATTATAGGTGTGAGCCATCATGCCCGGCCTAGTTTTTATTTTTTAAAATTTGAGTGGGTTGTTCGTGGTCTCTGTCAGAGAGGAATCCCATTTAACAGAGAATCTTTTTATGGCTCTCCAGAGAAAATGAATGGTAAACTTATCTTTTCAACAAGCTCTCACTCAGAAATGATACACACACACTTCTGATAGGACTTTTAGCTTCTTTAACTTTGTTCCTTTCACTCATATCAGTGGTTCTTATTTTTGAGATACACAGTAATGAAGCCATGGGAGAAAGTATCTAAGTAGCTTTCTGGCAGTCCTAATCTTTGCAGGCGCAAGATTACAGGCGCATGCCACAGCACTGGGCCCCTTCTTGCTCTTTATTGTATAGCATTATCCTGCCTCATTGTTTCAACTCTAGGATTGAGAAAGAAGTTACCTTTTCTCTGTTACTGTCGCCTGGCTGGTTTGGACTCCTGCCTTCCAAAAACTGCAGTTTCTGTAGTTGTATTTGGAAATTTATTTCACAATACAATAAATTTCTGGCCCCACAAAATATTTATTAACTGCCAAGAATAACACATCTGTTTGATTGCTAAATATAACCATTGATTTGCTGTTTCACCTTCTCTCAGCTTTACTTCTTCCCAAATTCCTAAATTTCCTTCACTTTTTCTGAGATACATTAGTGGACTGTCTCTGCCTGTAAGTTAACTGAAACACTGATTCCTAGTATTTCAGTTGTTTTCCTCCAGCACTGTCATTGTCTGTGTTTGTTGGCTTTGTCCAATAATGGTCTATTGAGGGGTGAAGATATACGTAATTAGCTTTCTGCCTATTGGCTTGTACACTCCAGGGTATACTTGGCAGATCAGTCTTAACTCTTCTCACCAAGATCAGTCCAGTGCTGGATTAGGTAAGGTATGAACACATCAGATGTGCTTTTTATGGAGAAATCATGTTGGTTTACACGTCAGTGTGTGAGAATGTGGCAGAAGGGAGCTAAAATAGTATGATAATACTACTGGATAAATTTTGTGGTCTAACCTAAACCTTAGCCATTACATAGAATACTTTTGCTGTGAGCAGGTTTGCTCAGTTGTAAAACTGGAAAGGAATCATTTCTCACCCCCCGCCTCCAAGCTTTTTACCTCCAAACAGTGACAGCCACCCAAACATCAAGAGAACAGTGTTTCAGAGAACATTTCTACTGGGGCTTCAGGAGGAGCCTGTCCAAGATTTAGGCTGTTCAAATTATAAATTATAAAACAGCTGGCTCAAGCCCATTGTGTTTAAGTCAGAGAGTGCTAAGTATCTTTTCTTTTGTCTTGTCTCCCTAAAGTATTTATCTCATACTTCAATCAATTTAAAATATTTTTTCTTACAGATCCAATTTGATAGAAGAGTCAAGTTTGCCTAGAGTGGAGATTAAATCATAGTTTTATTTGAAGTATAATTTTGGCTTGCTCAAAATGAACAGTATCTGGTTATGACTAAGAATGGCATGAAAAGGCCAGACGCAGTGGCTCATGCCTGCAATCCCAGTACTTTGGGAGGCCAAGGCAGGTGGATCACCTGAGGTCAGGAGTTGGAGACCAGCCTGGCCAACATGGTGAAACCCCATCTCTACTAAAAATATAAAAATTAGCCGGGCGTGGTGGTGGGCACCTGTAATCCCAGCTACTCGGGAGACTGAGACAGGAGAAATCACTTGAACCCGGGAAGCGGAGGTTGCAGTGAGCCGAGATCGCACCACTGCACTCCAGCCTGGGTGATAAAAGCAAAACTCCGTCTCAAAACAAACAAACAAAAGAATGGCATAAACAGACACAGCTCACAGATGATCTAGTCTCTTTAGCCACTAATTTCATTATATTCTCACTATAATTTCTTTGAAAACAAAGGATGGGTTTGTTTTTTGCCCCTCTTTGCGCTGCTTGCCTTCAGATGCGGGATAATCCTGTTTCATTGGCCAAAGCATGGATTCATTTTGGAGGCCAAGGAAGATGCAAACACAGTGCACAGGGTGGAAGAGAAGCCTATGAATATGTTGGGGCTTATTAAATTTCCATAACTTCATTCTGATAACTGATTATTATACTTTCCAAAATAGCTGACAATTAAAAAGTACTGATTTGTTTGTATATTTTTGTCTTTTAAGGCAAGCAGAGTGCTGGTAGCATCCCGTAATTTTGCAAATGATGCTACATTTGAAATTAAGGTAAGAGGTGTTTTACTTTGTTAATAATTTTTTCACAGGTACACTCTGATATACAGTTTTACCTTTAGAATAGAACATTTTGATGTTCATGCTTAGTCATCATTTTCTTCTAAATGTTCCAGGATCAGAAGTTCAGAGAAGCTTCACGAAAACTAGAATTTATTATTAGCAGCTTGCTGTTGTTCTGTGGGGGGAAGGGGGAGGAGCTAGAAAATGAAAATAAAAATAAAAGCTTATTCAAAAGTTTGGAATGTAATTCAGTGAAATATTTGAATAAGAAGAGTCTTAGTTGTTTCTTTGAAGGTTCTTTCAACCTATAACTCAGTTGGCTTCTAGGGGCTTTCAGTGAAAATCATCTTAGAAAGATTTCCTTCCCCCAAGCCCCATCTCATTGCACAGTGAGGTTTATGGATTTAAGGAACAGAGGCGATATGAAGCATTACTGATGTGCTCCTTTGCAGTTTTTCAAGTTCAATATTATTTGCAATGGAGTTAGATCTTAGAGTGGTCAACAGTGTTTGCAATGTAGTATGTGGAGGATAATAACTACCTTATTCCATTTCAGAAATGTGACCTTCACCGGCTGGAAGAAGGCCCTCCTGTCACAACAGTGCTCACCAGGGAGGATGGGCTCAAATACTACAGGATGATGCAGACTGTACGCCGAATGGAGTTGAAAGCAGATCAGCTGTATAAACAGAAAATTATTCGTGGTTTCTGTCACTTGTGTGATGGTCAGGTGAGTGGTAGGTTTGTGGTGGAACTGTGTTATTTAGGTACTGAAGTATGGCTTGTACTTATTGGGCTTTACCCTGCCATATGTATCAGAAGAGTTTGAGGCTGGTAATGTAATTTTCTTTTATTTATTTATTTTTTTGAGACAGTCTCTCTCTGTCGCCCAGGTTAGAGTACAGTGGTGATCTTGGCTCACTGCAGCCTCTGGTTAGAGTACAGTGTGATCTTGGCTCACTGCAGCCTCTGTCCACTGGGCTCAAGCAATCCTCCCACCTCAGCCTCCCGAGTATGTGGGACCACAGGTGCACACCAACACACCCAGCTAATTTTTGTATTTTTTGGAGATACGGGGTTTCACTATGTTGCCCAGGCTAGTCTCAAACTTCTGGGCTCAAGTGGTCCGCCCACCTTGGCCTCCCAAGGTGCTAGGATTACAGGCGTGAGCCACTGTGCCTGGCTGAAGCCAGTATTTTAGAATTAAAAAGTAGAATGCCAAAACCTGCTATGAAGCTTAGGCTAAAGAATTCATTCACACATAACATTGCCAGTTTTCTGTACCTGTTCTTAGAGTTTTACTATTTTAAAACTTTCTGGCACTATGATCGCCTGTACTGTATATAATTTGGAGAGAAAGGATTAGTTTGTTTTTTGTTTTGTGGGCTTAGGTCAAGGGTTAGAGTCAAATACCTACAAGGGCCAGCCAGGTAGAATAAATGAGTGAAGAAGGCTAGGTATACAAAACAGAAAATGGTGACAGGGACTCATGCTGAACTGGCACCAGCATGCCCTACCCAGAGGAATGCCATGACTTGGTTCCAGCCAGTTGGTGCCATGTGGAAATCAGGGGTAATGTTTCCTGTTTTCCATGTCTAAGAGAAGGCGGAAGTCTGGATTTTCATGTGAAATTCCCCAGTGTTTTAATGTTGACATCTGATGTAGGCTTTTCTTTTAGGTCATCATACAGGAGAAAGGAAGGAAGTGGCACATGTGTGGGTTGCCAGTTTATTGCTTCTGGTTTGGGCCTTCCACTCTGTATTTTGGTGGAAAATAGCTACTTTCTCTGGTTATTAATGACAGGTTCTACTAGCCCACATATTTCACTGTGGTCTAGGAAACGTTTTTATTTAGAAACATGTATCATATTGCCTCATAGTTTCTCCTTCCTCTAACACAGGAAGCTTGCTGTGTGGGCCTGGAGGCCGGCATCAACCCCACAGACCATCTCATCACAGCCTACCGGGCTCACGGCTTTACTTTCACCCGGGGCCTTTCCGTCCGAGAAATTCTCGCAGAGCTTACAGGTTTGCTGTTGATTTACAGAAAGGGGAAATGAGTGGATTAAGTTTTTAAATATCTGTCATTAAGATGCTATTATGAGTTAATATTTGTTAAAAATTTTAAGTTTCTTTTTTTAACCCTCTCTCCTTTGGTGCTCTGGTACTTCTGTTGTGCTCTTGAGTTAACTGACCATTTGTGAAGTTCTCTGGCCCCTCAGGTAAAAGTTTAAAACAGGTTGGTGCTATAAAATCACAGTAGGTTTGGTTATCATTCAAGCATGCCAGAAGAAGTCTAGCAGTCATAGAAAGTAAGTTCGGTTGAAGCACTCCATGGTATGCAATGTAAATTCTAGAAATCTTCTTAATATTCCCCTTTTCTTTGTCCCCCGTGACTATTTGTTTGTTTTGGTGGTTTTTTTTTTTTTTTTTTTTTGAGACTGTGTCTCACTCCGTTGTCCAGGCTGGTGTGCAGTGGTGTGATCACGGCTCACTGCAACCTCCACCTCCCGGGTTCAAGTGATTCTCATGCCTCCACCTCCTGAGTAGCTGGGACTACAGGCATGCACCACCACACCTGGCTAATTTTTGTATTTTTAGTAGAGATGGGGTTTCAACATGTTGGCCAGGCTGGTCTCCAACTCCTGACCTCAGGTGATCCACCTGCCTTGGCCTCCCAAAGTGTGCTGGGGTTACAGGCGTGAGCCACCGCACCTGGCCTGTTTTGTTTTTTTGAGACAGAGTCTCGCTTTGTTGCCCAGGCTGGAGTGCAGTGGCCTGCCTCAGCCTCCCAAAATGCTAGGATTACAGGCGTGAGCCACTGTGCCCGGTCCTCCTCCTCCTCCTTTTTTTTTTTTTTTTTTGAGACAGAGTTTCACTCTTTCACCCAGGCTGGAGTGGCTGGAGTGAAGTGGTATGATTTTGGCTCACTGCAGCCTCCGCCCCCCGGGTTCAAGCAATTCTCCTGCCTCAGCCTCCTGAGTAGCTAGGATTATAGGTGCCCAACCACCACACCTGGCTAATTTCTGTATTTTTAGTAGAGACCAGGTTTCACCATGTTGGCCAGGCTGGTCTTGAACTCTTGACCTCAGGTGATCCACCCTCTTCGGCCTCCCAAAATGTTAGGATTACAGGCGTGAGCCGCCGTGCCCGGCCCTCCTTGACTCTTGAACTATGGTTGTCCCTCTATATATCCAGGGGATTGGTTCTAGGACCCTCGAGTATACAAAAATCCTCAAATACTCAAGTCCCAAAGTCAGCCTTCCATATCTTCGGGTTTGCATCCTGAGAATATTCTATTTTCAATACATGTGTGGCTGAAAAAAAATCTGTGTATAAGTGTACCTGTGCAGTTCAAACCCTGTTCAAGGATTGAATATATTTAGTGTACTAGTATAGGAGAGGTCCTAAGATGTTTGTAACTGGCCAGAAAACCCAGAAAAGTCCAGGGTATCATCTGGATGGAACATCTGAAGGAAACTAAGTGACTAGAGAGTAGGAAAAGCTGGAAAGGTTGAAGCACATGGAACTAGTGAAAGGACAAGGAGAAACATGTGTTTGCCTGGAGGGACAGGTACTTAGACGACTGAACTGGCCTCTGTGTTCTAATGGTTGAGCCTCAGAGTACATATTTGGGGTGCGGTTTGGTTTGCTTTGTAGAGTTGGTTTGTTCTGCACATGTGTATGTTCTGCCATTTCCAGGACGAAAAGGAGGTTGTGCTAAAGGGAAAGGAGGATCGATGCACATGTATGCCAAGAACTTCTACGGGGGCAATGGCATCGTGGGAGCGCAGGTAGTCAAGGACGAGGATTGTGTGCTGCTTTAGATTTGGCCCTGGACTTTGTCTTCAAAAACTTTCACAGCCCCAGACAACTTTTCCTGAAGTAGTACAGCCATGTGCTGCACAGTGACGCTTTGGTCAATGTCGCATATATGATGTTGGACCCATAAGATTATAATGGAGCTGAAAAATTCCTGTCGCCTAGTGATGTTGTAGTGGCACAACACATTACCTTTTCTACGTTTAGGTACACAAATATTTTGCCTACAGGATTCAGTAGAGTCACATGCTGTGCAGGGTTGTAGCCTAGGAGCAGTAGGCTCTACTATACAGCCTAGGTGTGCAGTGGGCTGTACCATCTAGGTTCGTGCATTACAGTATGGTGTTCACATGACAAAATCGCCTAGTGATGCAATTCTGAGAATATATCCCTGTTGTTAAGTGACGCGTGACTATTTTGGGGGCTTGGTTTGCTTTTAAAGACCTAGTGCTTCATATCCTACCGTTTGAGAGATGAGTAGATTTGGATGGTGATTTATAATGTTTCCTTTTAGGTGTCTGCTGTTTTATAAGTAAGCAGGAACCTCTAGCAGTGGAGCCATACCTTCCCCTTCCTATTTATATTTCAGTACATTAATTGCTTTATCTTGTCAACTTCATTTTGGGGTCCTTGTTCTCATCAGTTAGTGAATGATGAAGAATTAACAGCACAAAATTATATCCGGACTGTTTCTTTTCCTTTCTAATATATTAAGATTCTATTATGTGTTGTTTTTTTTTAAACCTAGGTTTTATTTTTCCTTTTGAAATGGAGTCTTGCTCAGCCGCCCAGGCTGGAGCAGTGGTGTAATCTCAGCTCACTGCAACCTCCACCCCCGGGTTCAAGCAATTCTCCTGCCTCAGCCTCCCGAGTAGCTGGGAATATAGTTACGTGCCACCATGCCCAACCATTTTTTGTATTTTTAGTAGAGACGGGGTTTCACCATCTTGTCCAGGATGGTCTCGATCTGTGGACCTCGTGATCTGCCCAAAGTGCTGGGATTACAGGCGTGAGCCACCACGCCCGGCCAGGTTTTATTTTTTAACTCTTGAATGCAGAAATGTTAGTGCTTACTGGTTAAAATAGAACATAGTATTTATATATTACTTTAGTGCTTTATTGAAAATATCGGAGGTGGGATAAACAGAGAGATAGGGTTGGAAGGAGAGTTTGTAGCAGCAGTGTAATTTCTGTGTCAGATTCTGGCCAGGAGTGAAAATGCAGGGCATTAATTAGTATCTCCCCTCATGGATTTCTGTGGTTCCTTTCTCGGTTGTCCTTAATGTTAGGTGCCCCTGGGCGCTGGGATTGCTCTAGCCTGTAAGTATAATGGAAAAGATGAGGTCTGCCTGACTTTATATGGCGATGGTGCTGCTAACCAGGTAATTATGTCTCTTAACTTCCCAAAAACAGTCTTATTTTCAAAGTCTTTAATATTTACAGTTGAATTTCTAAAGAAGTAGCATATTGCTTATTAGGTGAAATAGCAAGTCCTATGGCTAGCTCAAATTTGGTTGACTTATGGCCAGATTAGAGATTGACCTCTTAGCGTTGTTTCACAAGAGACTTACGGGGGCACATTCCTGTGAAGGAGCTCACCTTTGCTCTACATCAGTGCTTGGCAAAGGCCCTGTGGTAAAGGACCTCCCCACAACCTATTGCAAAACAATACAGACCCATTCTCTTGGATGTCCGGGCTGGCAGTGTCAAATTCGGATAATAGCGTCTGAGTCCTAACTCAGTTTCTATGCTTCTCTTGTTACCGAGTAATCCCCAGTCTGTGGCCAGCACTCTGTGAAGCCCTGTTCTAGAGGCTGATTCTTAGGTGCTGGTTCACTCTGGCTATCCAGTGGGCCTGATAGATTTCATATTGATCTTTTTTCCAGTGTGTTCCTTACTGCTAGCATGGCCCCAAAGAAACAAGTAGTAGTTGGTTTGTCACCTTCCTTAGTTGCAAGAGTATGATGCCTGCTACTTCTCCTCCACCACCCACCCCGCTTTCCCTCACCACCCAAAGCTCGGTTTTAGAAGAGGAGGCTTTCTGTGCTTTATGAAAGCTTTCTGTGCCAGGCAGAGCAGCAGCTGTTAGAGATGATGAAGCCTGGAGAAAGAAGCCAAATGAAACCCCTTTTCGTAACTACTTCCAGGGCCAGATATTCGAAGCTTACAACATGGCAGCTTTGTGGAAATTACCTTGTATTTTCATCTGTGAGAATAATCGCTATGGAATGGGAACGTCTGTTGAGAGAGCGGCAGCCAGCACTGATTACTACAAGAGAGGCGATTTCATTCCTGGGCTGAGAGTAAGGACACCTGTGGTGGGGCCGGGGCCAAGGCCAAGGCCAAGGGTATGTCCTTGTGCAGACCCTTGACGATCTTAGAAACATTGGAGAGTTTCATTCTCATACAGGAGCAGGTCATGTGAAAGTAAAATGGTTTGGGGCAGTTGGATTCATGCTTCGCCCCTCCCCTGTTTATTACCAGGTGGATGGAATGGATATCCTGTGCGTCCGAGAGGCAACAAGGTTTGCTGCTGCCTATTGTAGATCTGGGAAGGTAAGGCTCTAAAGCCCTCTGGGCTAGTGACATTTATCTCTGGAAGTTCAAAGACTGCCTCCCATGTGCCTGCTGAAGCTGTTAGTGGGTACCTGCTAATTGAGGTGCATGAGATGGAAGCAGAGTGAAGGGAGCAGGGCTCCTTTGGGTAGCTTGGTCTTGGTAGCTCACCTGCTGGGAAGCCTACGTTTCTCTCATTTGGGGGAAGTCCGTTCTGGTGCTTCCTCTGCTTTGGCCTGTCTTCATGACAACTGATTTGCCTTTTCCTTAGGTTAATTCTGTCCCTCCTCCCCACCCCCCATTAATCATGAGTCCCTTGAAGGAACAGATTGGGGATCCCCACAGTGTCCAGCATAGAATGTCATGTATACAATAGGCATTTAATATGTGTGTCTTATACAAATTAAACAGTATGGTAGAAGCTCGTAATCTTAGTCTTGCTCAGTCCTAAGGATCTTTCCCTTTTCAGTGTATGGCAGTGAGGGAGATGGTAAGAGGGAGACTGGCCTAAAGAGGTTTCACTTCCTTTGGCACTAGTATAGGCTTAGGAGGTTTGGGTGTTCTCCCTAAATCAGTGTTCTACAGCCCAGAAACAAGGTTTCTGAAGTTGGCACTTCAGCGCCATACCATGTACGTTTAGGCAGTGATGTGAATCAGATGTGGCCAGCAATGATGGAAATGTCACAAAGTGGAGAGACAGGGAAGTGAGGGTGGGAATGTAGTAACATTAAATAAGAGCTAATGAGTAGAATGAACTAGAGCAGGACCAAGACTACAGCTTGGGTACAATGGGCTGAGCAGTCTATGTCAGGACCCTAAGGCTGGGAGTGCCAGGCCCTGAGTGATGGGTATTGACGCCACCTCTCCCAATTCCTGAAAAGAATACATGGGGGCCAGCCCTGGCTGGAGACAAGGGGAGTTGTAGAATGTAGTTGTAGAATGTGTGACTTTCCCAAACAGATAACCTTCACAATTCTGAGTTAGGTGTTATTGTTTTGCCCATTTTGCAGACAAGGAAACTGAGCCATAGAGCAGTTAAAGGTACACAGCTACTCTGTCTTGGAGCCAGCTCCCCACTCGCCCATTTTAACTGCTGCACCAAACCAACCAAGGATCCTCAATGTTTCTCCACCCCAGTGTTCAGAGCCGTCTCCTGGAAGTGGGCTAGTGTAGAATGAGCGAGCCCAACTGTCCAGACTCCCAGCAGAGCCTTGGGGTTTGGGTAGCAGAGGTTGTTGGTGCCTGCCAACTTTGTTACACACTAGCAAGGTCTGTGAAGTAGGAGTGGCTGCCAGCCCCACAACACACCATGAGAAAGGAGCATGAGATGGAAATCTGTCTAGCCAATAGCAGGAGGCTCTAGAACATGCTCAGAGCCTTTTTCTTTTTTCACAGGGTCTCGCGCAGTGGCACACTCACAGCTCACTGCACCCTTGACCTTCCAGAATCAGGTGATCCTCCCAAGTAGCTGGGACTACAGGCGCACGCCACCATGCCTGGCTAATTTTTGTATTTTTTGATAGAGATGGGGTTTTGCCATGTTGTCCAGGCTAGTCTCGAACTCCTGGGCGCAAGTGCTCTGCCCACCTCAGCTTCCCAAAGTGCTGGGATTACAGGCATGAGCCACCATGCCTGGCCTTCAAAGCCTTTTTGATTCAAAACAAGCTGTTGGCAGATTGCCTTATTAAAAATGAGAAAGATGAAATATGCAATCAATACTTGCTAGAAATGAGAACAGATCAGTCAACCAATAAGAAATTCGTGACAACTCAGAAGATCTGATAAGACTACACTGGACGCTTAATAAAGGGCCTGCGTTTGAGGCCGTGGATTGCCGGCCTGTTCTTCCAGTCATCGTTCCTAACTAACTAACTGCCTACCGGTTCTGTTTTAGGGGCCCATCCTGATGGAGCTGCAGACTTACCGTTACCACGGACACAGTATGAGTGACCCTGGAGTCAGGTACGCTCATGGGCAGTGTGGTTTCCATAGGGGTGGGCTTTGAATGGTGTTACATGGCAAAAGCAACACATTTCAGTATTTGCTTTTGGAGCTAGATACCAGTTCACTTCATGTACGCAGTTGTGTTGGGCATCAAGTTATCTGAAAGCAGTGCCTCCTAATAAGAAAGCTTTCTGAAAATGCCTACAGTGTATAGTGTGTGTGAGCACAAGCAGCAATTTTTAAAGAAAGAGTGTTATATACCTTAATTGTAGAGGGAAATTGTTACATAAAACAGGGCTGATGGTAGTGTAGTATCTTGGGGGCATTTAGCTTTTGTAGGCATTACCCCAAGTCTACACCTGGCATACTCTACCTGAAGAGGATCAGAATTTGGAGATGTTCCTCTGTCTGGTATAGAGCTAAGGGTAACTGGGTGTTCAATCCGTTGAAATACATCAATCAAAAAAGCTAGGTTCCACTAGGAAGGCATGAATTTTACTTTTTTGCTTAGTAGCTCTGGCCTGTGATTCTGGAATCCCAGTTTTGACACAGTTGAATAAATAAGCCTTTGTAGAGTGGACTTCTAAGGAAAAATCATGTAGAGAGCACAGTATATGGAAAAATGCACTTTGTGTAAATCTATTGTTGAAAATGGTAGAATCCTTTTAGTGTTACTTCAGATGATATAGGCATAAGATACATTGGTTTTGCTGGCTGTGCTTCTTTAGGGGGACTTAAGGGAGAAAGGCAAGGCACATGGATTTCCTGCTTGGCGCTCTGATGTCTCAAAGTCTAATTATCACCACACACACCATCTCTGCTGTCCCCACCCATGTAGTATACAGGAGCCCAAATGGGTGGGACAAGTGACACTTCTTTAGAACCTTACATCTAAATCAAAGCAGCAAGCAAAAACTTGGCCCCTGTTGTCGGAATGCCAGGGAAGCCATGTGACTCACCAGTGTACGGTTTTCTAGAAAAGACAGAAGCAGTTATTACAGAATGTTAGGCTGCGTTCTGGTATTTTGAAAGTATAACAACAACTCTGCCACGCCTATAGTGACATAAGCATTGGTATGCCCCTTTGTTTCAGAAACACACTTCTGTATTTCACCTCATTGGGACAATCCAACCCCATATCATGTTTCATCACGCCGTCCTTGCTCTACTGGAACTGCTCTTACTGATCGATTACTACTTTTCCCTCCCCATAGTTACCGTACACGAGAAGAAATTCAGGAAGTAAGAAGTAAGAGTGACCCTATTATGCTTCTCAAGGACAGGATGGTGAACAGCAATCTTGCCAGTGTGGAAGAACTAAAGGTACAGTCACTTGTTCATGGTGGTTTGAAGGTTGGCTTTAAAAGTTGCCACCCCTGGGTGGCCACAGAGTTTGTGTGGGTTCCTCCAAGCCCAGAAAGTGATGTCCTGGGACATAAATAGTTCCATAGTTCCAAAGTCCCTTGGGGTGGGGGCTTTTCCTTTAGTTTCCTCTATTCAAAATTGTATTACTCTTCAGATTTCAGATTTTGGTGGACTGTGAACCACCATCACAGTGGCAAAGCCCCCACAGTAGTATGGTTCTTTTTTCCTAAAAGTATACTGTGGATTTTTAATTCATAAAATAGATACACCCTAGAAATCTGTATTCCAAAATCTTCTGAATTAGCAACTGTTCGTACTTGTAGTTAAAGAGTTACACCAGCAACAGGTCCTCAGCAGAACTCTAGTTGGTACCTAAGCTGCTGTTCATTCTAAAACCTTTTACACTGTTACCTAATTTTTAGGAAATTGATGTGGAAGTGAGGAAGGAGATTGAGGATGCTGCCCAGTTTGCCACGGCCGATCCTGAGCCACCTTTGGAAGAGCTGGGCTACCACATCTACTCCAGCGACCCACCTTTTGAAGTTCGTGGTGCCAATCAGTGGATCAAGTTTAAGTCAGTCAGTTAAGGGGAGGAGAAGGAGAGGTTATACCTTCAGGGGGCTACCAGACAGTGTTCTCAACTTGGTTAAGGAGGAAGAAAACCCAGTCAATGAAATTCAATGAAATTCTTGGAAACTTCCATTAAGTGTGTAGATTGAGCAGGTAGTAATTGCATGCAGTTTGTACATTAGTGCATTAAAAGATGAATTATTGAGTGCTTAAAGATTATTTTTGACTTAAAATAGTATACTTTGAACAAATACTCTAATTATGAAAAGGAAGAACAATTCCTTGTATGCCTGTTTCCCCTGCCCCCAGCCACCTTTTTGGGAGGAGACCATTATGGCGGGGCCCCTCACAGCATTCTACCAACCATAGCACCCACCCCGAGCAGCGCTGGTGCTGCAGCCTGTTCGCGCTGACCATTTCTCTACAAGATACAATATTTATTATCAGGCAAGAGGACAGTTCCATTTTAAAATAAGACTTTTGTAATCATTCCAATTTTGTAATCATTTCAAAGGCCACATAACTTAGTTTTCTCTACTTACACATTCAGTATAAATATGAAGCTATTTTCTGTTCATATCAAACATTAACTACAAGGCACATTCGTATCAGTTTTGTGTTTCTCAAATTGAAGTACCATACCAGTTCTGAGGCAGTGTCCCAGCTTCCATGTTTGTTAAATACCCCTTGTTTGTTTCACCATTCCAGCAAGTGCTGAAGGGTGTACTTTTTTTGAGACAGGGTCGGGCTCTGTTGCCCAGGCTGGAGTGCAGTGGTGTGATCATGGCTCACTGCAGCCTCCACACCTCCTGGGCTCAAGCAATCCTCCCACCTCAGCCTCCTGCATAGCTGGGACTACAAGTGAATTTCCTAATATTCCGGGAGGTCAAAACCAAGGCTCACTGTTTTCACAATACACACAGTTCTATGTTTATAAATAACAGGTTTCAAAAGAAACTCAGGACAGTATTTAAAACAAGTTCTTAAACTATTAATTGAACAATGGCATTTTTAAATATGTAAACACAGCGGAATTCGTGTATACACTAACAGAAGCTTTAACAAAACATGTAGCGTGGTGGGACACTCTGCCACAGCTTAGCTGATTGGTATCAAGCCTTGTCTTTGGTTTCTGAGGCCTCCTGAGCCCTTCTGTACTGGGAGACCGCACTCCAGAGTCTGCAGAGGAGACCACCCCTGGGAAACAAACACAGCTGTCTTCAGAGTCAGTGCTTCAAGCCAACAGAGCTTAAAACTGCAGTCCCTAATTTAAAAACCTAATGAAAATAAAAACATTCTCCTCACATATGGAGGTGACGCTCGTGTCCCAGCAGTAGTAGGACATGGCCTTAGAGGTACGTACCTGCAGAGAGCTGGCTATTTCAAATGACTCGGGAACAAGAAGGCAGGCTGCAGTTTAAAGAAGGGGGTGGGTCCAGCGTGCAGGCACGCTTGCCATGTGCCTCCACCCACTCCCAGCCAGGCATTAATGGCAGGAGATTGGCCAGCTCTTCTCTGTCACATTCCTATTTCTGACTTCTGCCTGGCTTTCAGTTTCTGCCCCACCTTGGCTTTTTCCCAGCTTGAACCTAATAGAACTCCAGAGTTTGGGGGGAGGCCCAGCCCTTTGTTTTCTGCTCTTGAAGCATATTCACACATAAAAAGTTGTATTCTCTTATACAAACTGTTTTGAGGCTCTTACCGTAGTCGAAGGTATCTTAGATCTTCCTTAGTGATCTCATTAAGAATATCCGAAAGTGTATAACCCTCTTCAACAATCTGAAACAAAGATCAGATCCTTAAGAGCTGAGCAGCTGTGTAACAACAGCATAAGAATTTCTTTGTTGTAAATTTACCTTTTCAATTGTCTTTGCATCAGCTCCTTGCAGCCGCAACCAGTCTATAAGCTCTTTATCTGTTCTCTGCCCGTAGGGGCCTGCTGGGTTCTCTGTAATACCTGTAACGATTGGCAATTTGTTATATATTAGTCTAACCATAAAACTCTTCAAAAGTAACCAGTTGGATTAATAAATGATTCCAGAATGTAAATGTGATGTGAAAAAGAGATGAATTAACCCTGTATCACTGAACCACGCTAATACGTATTACACAATTCATAATTCTGAGATTCACTTTCTAGAAAGCCTCCTCATCTAGGATACCTTCAGTTAGTTTGGAATTTGACATGTTAGGTCTACCACTTTAAATGCTTATCCCCACATCTTTCAAATGCCTTTCCTTAGGAATCACATCCCTAACTGCACTGGAAATCCTACAAGGAAATAGGTTTTAGTGTTGAGGTCAGAGCTTATCTAGTCCACATTCCAAGAGGTAGCTCTGGAGCTCGTTTCTAAGTGGCCCAAAACGAATGTCAGGTTGATGGAGGCATATTTATTTACTTATGCAGTAAACTACCCTTTTTAGGTGTCCAATGTGCTATGAAGGTGGCAGCACAGATACAGAAATGACTGTCACTCCCAAAAGTCCTCATGTGCCCTTTACAATCAGTCCCGTCACCTCCCCATTCTGATTCTGTCCCTGTAGTTTTGCCTTTTCTGGAGGAAAAGGAATCATGGTATGTGGCCTTTTGAATCTTTTTTTTTTTTTTTTTTTTTGAGACAGGGTTTCACTGTCACTCAGGCCAGAGTGCAGTGGCATGACCTCGGCTCACTGCAGCCTCAACCTCCTGGGCTCAGGTGATCCTCCCATGTCAGCCTCCTAAGTAGCTAGGACTACAGGCATGCATCCACCAAGCCCAGCTGGTTTTTTTCTATTTTTTGTACGGATGGGGTTTTGCCATGTTGACCAGGCTGGTCCTGAACTCCTGGGTTCAATTGATCTGCTAGCCTCAGCCTCCCAGAGTGCTGGGATTACAGGCACGAGCTACGGTGCTGGCTGTGAATCTAGCTCTTTCACTTAGCATACTGCATTTACAATGCAGCCATGTTGTTGAATCTATCAGTAGTCCCTTTTTATGATTGAGAAGTAGTCTAGAATCTACTGGAGTCCTGGATTAACAGAAGATAACCTCAAATGTTTCTTCAAAGCTAACTAGAATATTAGCTAGATGTTAAAGTCTGTCTCATTGGAAAATGACTTACAATTCGATTTTAATTTTAACTGAAGGTGATACAATTCTTGAGTTTTCTGTTCTAGAGTTTGCCGCAGAAGATTCTGGTACTCTCTCTCTTTTTCAACTAGGTGTTCCAAAAGTCTGGTTTAAAAAAAAAAAAAAAAAGCCATTATCCAGAGAGCATTCAACACCATTCAATTTAACTCAAGCATCTGTTGTGCATACATTAGAGATGGAAAAAAAATGGAAAATGGGACAAGTCTAAGAGTCAGCCTAGAGAGGGAAGCACATGTGTTTCTTCAGGTTCTGTGACTCAGACTTCAGTCTGCAGAGGGGAACCTTCCTTGTGTTTTCCTCCCCTTGACAACAAAGGCCAGTGCTCACAGCTTGGATATATTTTTGCAATGGACTCAATGTGTGCCCCTCACCCGGCCCAAGTTCATATGTTGAAATCCTAACCCACAAGGTGATGGTGTTAGGAGACGGAGCTTTGAGAGGTGAGGTGAGAGGAGTGTCCTTGTGAAAGGAGACCCCAGAGGCTCCCTCATCCCTTCCACCATGTGAGGACACACCGCGAGAAGATGGCCATCTGTGAATGGGGAAGCAGGCCCTCACTGGCCACGGAATCTGCTGGCACCTCGATCTTGGACTTCGAGTCTCCAGAACTGTGAGAAACACATTTCTGTTGTTTATAAGCTGCCTGGTCTCTGGTTATTTTGTTACAGTAGCCTGAACGCACTCAGGCAGTTTTGTCTCAAAAACGTATCGTGAACCAAAAGATGCCGATGTTAATCAGAACTCAGCCAGAAGGACGATGTGATTATTTAAACCTGGCTCCCTAAGTCAGATAAGGCAGCTGAAACTAGAATAGAATGGTAAGTTTCTTTCCTCCTCACACAGGGACTAAACGAAGGGGACAGAAGCCCCTGCTTCTTATTTTGTTTTTGTTTTTTTTTTTTTGGAGACAGAGTCTCACTCTGTGGCCCAGGCTGGAGTGCAGTGGCACAATCTCGGCTCACTGCAACCTCCGCCTCCTGGGTTCAGGCAATTCTCCTGCCTCAGCCTCCCGAGTATCTGGGACTACAGGCATGCGCCACCATGCATGGGTAATTTTTGTATTTTTAGTAGAGACAGGGTTACACCATATTGGCCAGGCTGGTCTCGAACTCCTGACCTCAAGTGATCCACCTGCCTCGGCCTCCCAAAGTGCTGGGATTACAGGTGTGAGCCACCGCACCCAGCTGGAAGCCCCTGCTTGTAATGGGGCAGAGCAGGGACAGTGAGTGAGACATGCTGCTCTGCCGGTGGGGAGGATGGCTCCTGCCAACATCCACCAAGCACTTCCTACCCAGAATCCAGGACTGTGCCAAACACTGCATGAATTCAGTCACTGAAGCCCTGCGGCACTTCTAGGAAGCACTGGTTGTTCTAAACCCCTGTTTTGAAGCTGAGGTAACTGAGGCAGAGGAGTTAAGTAACGCCCAGAGTCCACAGGCTGGGCTCTTCCCAAGGGACCGCCTCCTGAAACCCAGTCTTGCTCATGGGCTCTCTGGGATCAGATATGACTTGGCACAACTGTGCCTCAAACTTCCCCCACATGCCAGCTCAGGCATAGCATGCCTTGGGGGAAAGGGCTGACAGATTGGAACCACGTCTAGCTTTTGTTGGGGCTCAGAAAACAGTGCCCCCAAATGGCCTCAGCAGCAGCCTCAGAAGAAAAAGTTTTCCTCTGACCTTCTCCTGCCTCCCTCTCTCAGTCCATTCTCCTGGAGGCACCATAGAATCCCTCTTCCCCAAAGCGGGGCACAGAAACCAGAACTCCTCCCCAAAGCCAGCCACAAAACCTAAAAATACGACTCTAACTTTCCCTCCGCCTTTCTGTGTAAAAATTGGTTATAAAGAAATTCTTGGCCGGGTGCGGCAGCTCAAGCCTGTAATCCCAGCACTTTGGGAGGCTGAGGTAGGCAGATCACCTGAGGTCAGAAGTTTGAGACCAGCCTAACATGGAGAAGCCTCTCTACTAAAAATACAAAATTAGCCAGGCGTGGTGGCACATGCCTGTAATCCGAGTTACTTGGGAGGCTGAGGCAGGAGAATCGCTTTAACCTGGGAGGCAGAGGTTGCGGTGAGCCAAGATGGCACCATTGTACTCCAGCCTGGGCAACAAGAGCGAAACTCTGTCTCAAAAAAAAAAAAAAAAAAAAATTCTTTGGGCTGGGCGCAGTGGCTCAAGCCTATAATCCCAGCACTTTGGGAGGTCAAGGCGGGAGGATCACCTGAGGTCAGGAGTTCAAGACCAGCCTGGCCAATATGGTGAAACCCCGTCTCTACTAAAAATACAAAAATCAGCCAGTTGTGGTGGCGTGCGCCTGTAATCCCAGCTACTCGGGAGGGGAGACTGAGGCAGAAGAATAGTTCGAACCCAGGAGGCAGAGGTTGCAGTGAGCAGAGATTGCACCACTGCACTCTAGCCTGGGCAACAGAGTCAAACTCCATCTCAAAAAAAAAAAAAAAAAGTTCTTCGACCTACTTTGTTTGACTGTAGTTCATAAGACCCCCGATTCCAGAGGGTCCTGCCCCACACCCAGGAGAAAGGAATGCTACTCAGAGAGGCCAAGAAGGATCTAGACAGACAGGCCTTGCTGGGTTTCCCCACTCAGTCTATCAGCATTCGATCAGGCCCTTTTTATCCCTGTTTCTCCACAGCTCTCCATACTTTGTTAAGCCTAAGCATAAAAATGGACAATTTCCCCTGGATCTTTGGGTCTTCATGCTGAAGTTAAATACATGTTAAATACATTTGCATGCCTTTTCTCTCATTAATCAGCCTCATGCAGGTGATTTTCAGCAAACCTCCAGGGGCCAAGGGCCTTGGCCCCCACACTTTTATTGTTTGCTTACATACCTAGTACATGGGATTTGTTTCTTAACTGTGTGTTCCTTTAATTCATTTATATGATCCATGCTGGTGAACTTGGGAATACAGAACTAAGCTTTATTGAAATTACTGAAGGCTGCTGGGGGTGGTGGCTCACACCTGTCATCCCAGAACTTTGGGAGGCCAAGGCAGGTGGATCACCTGAGGTCAGGAGTTTGAGACCGGCCTGGCCAATATGGTGAAACCCCATCTCTACTAAAAATACAAAAATTAGCTGGGTGTGGTGGTGTGCACCTGTGGTCCCAGGTACTCGGGAGGCTGAGGCAGGAGAATCGCTTGAACCCGGGAGGTGAAGGTTGCAGTGAGCCAAGAATGTGCCACTGCACTCCAGCCTGGATGATAGAGCGAGCCTCCATCTCAAAAAAAAAAAAAAAAAAAAAAAAAGACTGAAGGTAATTATTGAAGTTGCCATGAGAAGTCACTGCAACAGTAGAGAGATGAGAACACAGGAACTCCTGGATTATTTGGTGGCAAAGTGGGGTGGGGAGAGGAGAACACTTCTGCCCCAGCACAACAGCAGAGGAAATATTGGCACTCAGCAAATTAGAAGTCCTCTCCCAGCCCTGCCCAACTGCCTGCCTTCATCCTGGTCTCTCTAGTAGTCCTCCTTTTACGTTAGTGAAGGAGACAACTCAAGCTTGTGCCTGTATCCAGTGGGAAGGACTCTCAGGACTTCATCAGGACAGACACATCATCCTGTCTAAGAGGTGTCATCTTCCTTTGGCTCTGCCCAACTGCCACATAGCCAAGGCACTTCATACTACAGTGATATGGTTTGGCTGTGTCCCCACCCAAATCTCATCTTGAACTGTAGCTCCCATAATTCCCTTGTGTTGTGGGAGGGACCCAGTGGGAGATAATTGAATCATGGGGGTGGTTTCCCCCATACTGTTCTCATGGTACTGAATAAGTCTCATGAGATCTGATGGCTTTATAAGGGAAAACCCCTTCCGCCTGGTTCTTTCATTCTTTCTTGTCTGCTGCCATGTAAGACGTGCCTTTTACCTTCTGCCATGATTGTGAGGCCTCCCCAGCCTCGTGGAACTGTAAGTCCATTAAACCTCTTACTCTTATAAATTGCCCAGTTTCTGGTATGTATCAGCAGCGTGAAAATGGACTAATACACACAAGGACAAGCACCTTATGCAGGAATGTACAGTTTACGTCAATGCCATTCACAGACTGGCTGCTGCCTAACCAATTCCTCATTCCACTGAGACTGGAAAATAACACAATGACTATCGACAGTGGAGAGAAATAACCTTCAAACCCATATATAATCATTTTATGAATTTGGTGATTATAAATCTTATTGGGTGACCCAGCAACCTCATTACTGGGTATATGCCCAGAGGAATATAAATGGTTCTATTATAAAGATACATGCACATATATGTTCATTGCAGCACTATTCACAATAGCAAAGACATGGAATCATCCTAAATGTCCATTGATGATAGACTAAAGAAAATGTGGTACATATACACCATGGAATATTATGCAGCCATAAAAAAAGAACGAGATCATGTCCTTTGCAGGGACATGAATGGAGCCGGAGGCCATTATCCTTAGCAAACAAATGCAGGAACAAAAAACCAAATACCACGTGCCGTGGGAGCTAAATGATGAGAACATATGGACACATAGAGGGGAACAACACACACTGGGGCCTACCAGAGGGTGGAGGCTGGGAGGAGGATCAGGAAAAGCAACTAATGGATACTAGGCTTAATGCCTGGGTGATGAAACAATCTGTACAATAAACCCCCATGACACAAGTTTACCTGTGTAAAAAACCTGCACTTGTACTCTTGAACTTAAAAAAAAAAAAAAACTTTCAAAATGTTGCCACCACTACCATTTAACTAAAGCTCTGGGTCTTTTAAAAAAAGAAATGATTAGATGATCTAAGATTGAACTTGAGAGATCCCTGACAGCATACACAACCTTTCATCCAAAATACGTAACTGGCCCCTTGTCTCCCGGTTAAATAGTCATTAGCATTCCTCAGCAATGATCCCACAGCAACAAAGTGTCATTTGGAATGAGTACCAACTCATTTGCTATAACTATGGATTTTTTTTTTTTTTTTTTTTTTTTTTTTTTTTTTTTTTTTTTTGAGACAGAGTCTCATGCTGTCGCCCAGGCTGGAGTGCAGTGGCACGATCTCGGCTCACTGCAACCTCCGCCTCCCGGGTTCAAGCAATTCTTCTGCCTCAGCCTCCTGAGTAGCTGGGATTACAGGCAAGTTCCACCACGCCCAGCTAATTTTTGTATTTTTAGTAGAGACGGGGTTTCACCATATTGGCCAGGCTGGTCTCGAACCCCTAACCTTATGATCCACCCATCTTGGCCTCCCAAAGTGCTGGGATTACAGGTGTGAGCCACTGTGCCCGGTCAACTATGGATTACTTTTAAAAACCAAATCACGCAGCTGATAATGTGACTTCCCAGAGCAAACAGGAATAATTTTATTCATTTCACAAATATTTCTTCCCCTTTTTTTCTTTTTTTCAGATGGAGTTTCTCTCATTGCCCAGGCTAGAGTGCAATGGCACGATCTCAGCTCACTGCAACCCCCACCTCCCGGATTCAATCGATTCTCCTGCCTCAGCTTCCCAAGCAGCTAAGATTACAGGCGTGCGCCACCATACCTGGCTAATTTTGTAGTTTTAGAAGAGATGGGGTTTCACCATGTTGGCCAGGCTGTCTCAAACTCTTGACCTTAAGTGATCCACTCACCTCGGCCTCTCAAAGTGTTGGGATTACAGGCGTGAGCCACCACGCCCATCCACTTCACAAATATTAAGCACCTACTATGTGCCAGGAAGTGAACAAAACAGACCAGTGCATTGGAGGAATATGATGGTGATGCCAGGGTTCCCTGGTTGGGAAGCTAGTCCACTAATGCCCGTCTAGGGATCATGACAAATCACATGGAAGAAATGACAACAGGACAAACTTCCTCGGGGTCGGGATTATGGGATGTACATCCACTGATGAAGTGCTAACCAACCCCCAAACCCTGCTACTTCTGCAGGGGCAGGCTGCTGAGCCTGCGAGACCCACACACCATGCCAGGGGCCCCGTCTTGGTGAAAAGAGAGAAAGAATTCACAGATGCTGCTGCCTTTAGTATGAGTAATTTCTGTGTGGTCTGGGGCAAGGTACTATATATACCTCTCTGATTCTGAGTTTTTTTTTTTTTTTTTTTAAAGGAAGGCATTCCTCTAGTCCCTCAATTGAGGCTGAGAATATGCGCCCTTGCCTAGTTCGTGGATGATGAAGCTGCTTTTTCCTAAGACCTGGGTGAGATGGTCAACAATAAAGCCAATTAATCAGCATCTTGGTGGCTCAGGCCACTGTCCCAGCGCCTGCTCCCAGAGGAGGGCCCAGAAGCTCCTCACCTGTTGGTCTCCTGTCTGAGCTCACCCAGCTGGAGGCTCAGGTGCTGCTGGTGGGGCTGGGCCTCCTGGCCAGGTCCGGTGGCTGGGGGATAGCCCTCTTCCGCTTCATCCATGTCCTTATCTACCCCTTCAGTCTCACAGGTAGGCTCAAAGTGGGCTCGGAGCTCTGCAAATCACACAAGACATGACAATGGTGAGCAAACCAGGCCAGTGGGGCCTGGGGTCGCAGACACCCAGGTCAGCAAACCGGGCTGTTCAGAAGCTGGCCCAGCCCGTGCCATGCTCCATTAGGGGACTGCTGACTTTACAAATGGAGAAGAGACTGTTCCATTTGGTTCTCTGCAGCGTAAAGTTGATCACGCCAGTTTCCACAGGAAGAAATTGAGGCTTAAGGATATGAAGTGAACCAAGGCCAGCGTTCAAAAGGTACAACCAGGCCAGGAGCAATGGCTTACACCTGTAATCCAAGCACTTTGGGAGGCTGAGGCAGGCAGATCACTTGAGGTCAGGAGTTTGAAACCAGCCCGGCCAACATGGTGAAACCCCATCTCTACTAAAAAATATATACAAAAATTAGCCAGGTCCAGGCGCAGTGGCTCACGCCTGTAATCCCATCACTTTGGGAGGCTGAGGCGGGCAGATCACAAGGTCAAGAGATCAAGACCATCCTGGCCAACATGGTGAAACCCCGTCTCTACTAAAAAAAATTAGCTGGGTGTGGTGGCGCGCACCTGTAGCCCCAGCTACTCCGGAGGCTGAGGCAGGAGAATTGCTTGAACCTGGGAGATGGAGGTTGCAGTGAGGCGAGATCGCATCATTGCACTCCAGCCTGGGTGACAGAGCAAGACTCTGTCTCAGAAAAAAAAAAAAAGAAAAGAAAGAAATAAGTAGAGCCAGGCTGCCACCCAAGCCTGTGCCGTTTTACTACAGAAGGTGTCTGCTTGGAGTGGGAGAGGAATTAAGCACTGGGGTTTCCCAAGCCTCTCCTGCAGCTGAGCCTGGGCTACACAGTGCATTCGGGAGGGTGGGCTGGAGCCAAACAGCAAGGAGCTGAAGGAAAGGGGGAAACCATGATGGCGACAGAATGGGCTGTAAAGCCTCCCTTAGCAGGAAGAAGTCACCAGAGAAGGAGAATCAACTTTGGTAACATTTCAAAAAGGAAATTGACAAAAACCAAAAACTTCTGTAACTACTACATGATGATTCAGAGAGAGGAATCTGAGCCACTGTATTGTCAGTTACCCAAGAAACATTCCTGAGTGCACGATGAAGGGGATACCAGAGGACTGGAGGATCCTTCCCCTCTGGCCCCATGCTCCCTTTTAATTTAATATTATTTATGTATTTGTTTATTTTTATTGAGACGGAATCTCACTCTGTTGCCCAGGCTGGAGTGCAGTGGCGTGATCTCGGCTCACTGCAACCTCCACCACCCGGGTTCAAGCGATTTTCCTGCCTCAGCCTCCCGAGTAGCTGGGATTACAGGCACGTGCCACCAAGCCTGGCTAATTTTTTGTATTTTTAGTAGAGACGGGGTTTCACTATGTTGGCCAGCCTGGTCTTGAACTCCTGACCTCAGCTGATCTGCCCACCTCGTCCTCCCAAAGTGCTGGGATTACAGGCATGAGCCACCGCGTCCGGCCCCATGCTCCCTTTTGAGATTGTGAGTTATAGTTTATGTGTAGTCACCTTCATCATGCTTCAGGGACACGTAAATACAGCACCACGAGATGCTCTCAGAACTACAGAATCAGCCCCGGAAGAAGTCTATGACAACATGCATTTAATTCCAAGGAAGTAGATAACCAAGATGGAAAAGAGAAAAGCAACAACTGTTGAATGAAGAGGATATTTCTTATCTTTTCACGGCCTAAAGCTGACCTTGACCACAAAGGGGGCGCTCACCTGGGATGAGAATGGTGACCGCGGCCTGCACCGCTCGGCGGATGATGTTGTCCATCGCGAACATCCAGTGGGGCCTAATTAAGTGGTTCCTCAAAATTTTATTTACCTAAAAAAAAAAAAAATAATAAAATAAACTAAAATCACAAAAATCCAGATTTCCAGTGCATTGCACGGAGAATCACGGCAACCTACACTCATCCTCTTGGGGGCCGCATGCAATCAGCCAGTTCACCCAGATGCCATTTCCTGGACTTCATTGTTTAGGAGGAGCTGCTGAAGCTTGGGATTCAGGTGTATACAGTTAAGAAGAGATGGGGGCTATGGGAGGAGGTGGTAACTGAATTCCAAGATCTGGTGTGTTCCCTAGGGCCAGATGGAGCACTTACGGCATCCTGAAATCCGAACAGCACCAGGTGAATCTGACTGATGGACGAGCTGTCAAAGTCCAGGTCCACCTTGAGCTTTGATATTGTGGTCGCCATCACCCGGTGCTCTGGGGAGCGGATGAAGTCCCTCAGGATCCCAATGATTTGCTTGATGTGTCCAACTGAGAGATGCAACTCTTCGGAACTCTGAAAACACACACAAATCATTTTCATTGAGTCAGATTGAGAGAGCGAGAGTTCAGAACACACTGGGGGAAACAAGATGGTCCATTTGCTAAGAAACTTGTGGAACTCCCAGGTGAGAAGGGGTCTCTGTTTGTTCCCTCCATAACCTTCCTGTCAGGGTCCTGGCCCCTTCTCCCTGGTGGGTGTACAGCTAAGCCCCTCTGTGAATGGCTTCCTGTTTAACCCCTTGTAAGAGCCCCCATCAAGGCCATAGACATAGTTCAGAGCGGAGCAGCGGCCTCTTCCTAAAAGGCCCTTTTCCATCTGAAATAAGGGAGGGGGGCCGGGCACGGTGGCTCACACCTGTAATCCCAGCACTTTGGGAAGCCTAGGCAGGCAGATCACCTGAGGTCAGGAGTTCAAGACCAGCCTGGCCAACAAGGCGAAACCCCATCTCTACTAAAAATACAGAAATTAGCTGGGTGTGGTGGCAGGCGCTGTGTAATCCCAGCTACTGGAAAGGCTGAGGCGGGAGAATCACTTGAACCTAGGAGGCGGAGGTTGCAGTGAGCCAAGATCACACCGCTGCACTCCAGCCTGGGCGACAGAGTGAGACTGTCTAAAAAAAAAAAAAAAAAAGATTAAAAAACAATAATAAATAAACTGAAATAATGGAGGGGAATCGGTTTGCCAGTCCTGTGCCCTAGTTCAAAATCAGTTATTTTCACCCATAACCACCCTCCCCAAGGTGGCTGTTCTCCCAGCTTCTGAGGGCAGCTCTAGCGTGTCCTACAGCTGGGGATTAACTCCAGGACTCAAAACCGGATCATGAGAGGCCAGAGAAGGTGCTTCGGGCTTTCTGCTACAATCTGGCTGGTTTTCACCAGGGGGCAGCACCGCCCCACCAGTGCCTGGAATCACTGCGGTATCTGCAAATTCATGTTTCGGCAGAGCTTTTTTTCTTTGTATTTTCTTTTGTTTTGTTGGGGAAGGGAAGGACGTTAGGGAAACATTTACAGTGATCACCGTAACTATGCAGATGTTCCAGGGCGGCAGGAACTGAGGTCCTGATTGGACCTGTCTGGGGACTGGGACCTGGGCAGAGGGAGCGGGAAGAGTCGGTGCCCTCCCTCGGGCAAATACCTGGGCCACACACTCCTGCAGGTTGGAAGCCACCTGGTTCTGCTCCTCCCAGAGGATTTTGTACAGGATGGCACGGCGCTCACTGTCCTTGCGTAGCAGGAAGAGGCCCTGGTCCCTGTCCTCCGGGGACGAGGCCAAGCCCCGGTCTTCCAAGGCTGAGCTCTCGTCTGGAACACTGTGGACAAACACGTGTGACAATCTCTGTGCGTGCCGGGGCACTGTCCCTGGGAGTGTGTCATGTTAGGACGCCCTGGAGAAGGGCTGAGAGGTAACTGCGATGCAGTCCCTGTGCTCAAGAAGATGAAATTGCCGGAGGAAGGACAGACATGCAGTGTTCTGTCAACCCCCACAGCAGGAGGGAGAGCAGAAGGAGGGGGAGGCGGGGTAAAGGAGCCTCCCAGGAGACAGGGAGGAGGGAGGGAGGGAGGGAAGGGGGCAAGCACAGAAGGAGAGGTGAGGGAGGGAAGGTGAGGGGGACAGGGGAAGGAGGAAGAGAGAGGAAGGAAAAGGAGGAAGGGAGGAGGAGGGGCCAGGAGGAGGAGGGGGCCGGAAGATGCAGGGACAGAGGGGGCAAGGGTGAGGGGGAGAGAGAGGGGGAAGAGGAGAGAGGGGAAGTGTCGAAGGAGAGGGGAGAGAGAAGGGAAGAGGAGAGGTGGGGGAGGGCACATGTGGGGAATGAAAGGACAGGGAGGGAGGGGAAGGGACAGCAAGTGAACGAAGCACCCTCCTTGCCGGGATGGGGCGGCTCAGCTGCCCTACTGCCCTGCAGAAGGGAAGTAAAACCCCTCAGTGGCCATCTGGTTGGGACCAGGGAGGTGCCCTGTGGCGGAGGACTACCAGCACCCTTTCGGGCCCGCGGCAGACAGACAGAATACGGGTGTACCTGAGGAGGTGGCCAAGGTGGTGCCTGGGCGCCCGGGTCCTCTCAAAGAGTGCGTCAGGCTGGGCGTCGGAGTCTGGGGAGACAGAGCCGTGCTCGCTGCTGCTGGTGGCCATGGGCTCTCCCTGTGTGGGCAGGGCCAGGACGACACCGCGGGGACCTTCTGTAGGGGGACAGCCAGACACCGAATGGGGAGACTCAGAGAGGGACGGGGTGGAGCTGAGTCCCTGGCAGCCCCTCAAGCCCAGGTGAACCGCCCAGGCACCCAGGATCCTGTAGAAATGTGGGTTGGGCGGGGGACGGGCCACAGGTGCTGTATTTCTACTCAGATGCATGCAGTTGGGGGTCCCTCATGGAGCAAGTTGCTGAGCCACTCACTCTGGCAGCTTCTGACCCCGATCGGTACCAGGGAAAAGAGGACAAACTGCTTCCTTTTCAGGGGCCACTCTTACATCATTGCCAGTTAGGACTTACTGCCCCAGAAGGTGTCACTGGACTTCGGTGGCCTGCAGGACAGCCACATCAGGCAAACCTCCCTGACAAATCCTTTAATCAAGGTCAGGGTTGGCACACGATGACAAGCCAGGCTCCAAAACTGAAGCCCCAGGCTCTGGCACATGGTGAAGACGCAGAACCCCAGCTGGGGTACCTCTTGCCTCCCCACTCTCTTCCCAATCCCGAAGGAACAACTTCCAGCAGACGGCAGCCCAGTCACCCAGAGACTCCCTGGGCCTCTGTCAGGAGATCGAGGTGCATGTATTAGTTGGATTTTGACAACCTCCAAACCTACTGCACAGGCCCCGTCACTCTTCACAAAAATGGGAATGACGTGAGCAGCCCAGGGCTCTGGATAGCCAGAACTCTCCCTCCTGAGCAGCAGAGAAGCCCAGCGCCCAGCATTCTTGTGGCCAGGGTGCTGCCCCAGCTGTCCAGGGAGGCCTCACCTGAGGGCTTGAAGGCAATTCGGTTCTTCTTGCCCTTGTTCACCTGCCTTAAGAAACCCTCTCTCAGTAGCTCAGCAGTGGTGGCACGTTTGTGGGGGTCAGGCTCGAAACAGGATAAAATGAAGGCTCGGGCTTCAGCTGAAAGGGCTTCTGGAATCTCAGGGTGGATCTTAAACATGCCCACCTGCATTTAAGGGAGAGGTAACCGATGTGTCAGTGAGGCCTTGGGTGAATTCAGGTATCCATGTCTCAGTCCAAAGCTCCTGTACACCTGACATCCCAGGACAGGCATAATCCATGCCCCCTTGCAACGTCACGTTCTTGTTCCTCCCACCCCAAGGTGGAGTCCATTTCCCCCTCACTGGCATCTTGTGACTTGACTTTGACCAACAGATAGTGACAGAAGTGACATGGTGAGAGTTTCAGGGCCCGGGCCTTAAGAGGTCTTGTGGCTCCGCTAGTCACCCTTAAAGCCCCGAGACCACCATGCAGAGAGGAAGCCCAGGAGGTACGACCCCGTGGAGAGGACGCCCCAGCCATCCCAGCTGGAACTGCCATGAGGGAGGGGCCTCTCAGGCCACCCTGCTCCCCCAAACCACCACTTGGCTGCAACCATGTGAGTGAGCCCAGGCAAAACCCACAGAAGAGCCAACAGTCAGCTCAAAGAGGCATGAGAAAAAGTCATCGTTTTAAGCTTCTGAAATTTTGGGGTGGTTTGGTACATAGCAGTAGAGAACTGAGATGGGACTTGGGCCACAGCCTAGGGCGGCATGTCCTCTAAGGATACTCAAAGGCATCTGTTACCTGTTCCCTGACGCACAGGGTCCCCAAGAGATGCCTTTAACACCTCTCAATCCCTCTGCATCCACAGCCCAGATTCCCAGCCTCCAGCTCAAAACCACAAGCAGACAAAACCTTGAGGCTGCCAATGTATAGACAGGTAACTAATGGCTCTCTGTCCCTGTGACCTGTAGGGAAGTAAGAGTTGGTTCTGAGCTGCCACATCTCGCTGTGACACGGACATGCTTCCGTGACATGTTATATAGCCCCCTCCTTCATAACTGTTCCCAGTAGGGTGGCCCTCTCATCTTTTTAGGAGTTGTCACCTTCAGTTTCACAGTCCACCCTGTGTCTTTTCCAAGCCCACCCAACAATCCAGGCGTGGAAGCTGTTCTGTCCTCCAGACCCATGCCCATTCCCAGCTCCTCAGAGCTCCTGGGGGCTGGCTCAGCCTCCACAATCCCCGCCGAGTGAGCTCAGGGTGCTGCAGAGTGTAGAGGGCCAGGCCTCCCCACTTCCTGTCCCCAAGGCCCTTGACCTGGCAGTCACGGCCATGTGCTGTTTCCAACACAGCGCTCCTCCTGGCCAGGCTGCCCAGCTCAGGAGTTACGGATTCGAAGAACACTAAATGCTGGGTGAAATCCCACCCACCGCCAGGTCTGCAATGCAGGGTGCCTCACAGGTGGCTCCTCTCACCTGAGCGGTAGGGAGGTTAAGCTGGCACTGTTCACAGGCACTAGGGGTACAAAGACCAACATTCAGGCAAGAACATGAAAAGGAAAGGGTGGCCTCTGCCCGGCTCTCTGAAAACAGCAAATGTGGGCAGCACAATGACACCCGGCTGGGATGTCCTCTTTAAGGGTGCTTTGCCGTGACCCAAAAGCTCCTTGTATTGGTCTCCTAGGGCCACTGTAACAAAATACCACAAACTGGGTGGCTGAAACAACAGGTGCTTATTGTCTCACAGTCCTGGAGGCTGGAAGTCCAAGATCCAAGCGTTGGTAGGGCCAGGGACTCCTGAAACATGCAGGGAATCCCCGCCTTTGCCTCTTCTAGCTTCTCGTGGTCTGCGGGCGGTCTCTGGCGCTCCTTGGCTCCTAGATGCACCCCCCTCTCTCCTCTGCCTCCCCGAGGCATTCCCCTGGGAATCGTACTTTGTCTTCTGAGCATGTGTGTCCAAATCTCCACCCCCACCCCCCAACTTTTTGAGACAGGGTCTCACTTGGTCACCCAGGCTGGAATACAGTAGCATGATCATAGCTCACTGCAGCCTCCAACTCCTGGGCCCAAGGGATCCTCCTGCTTCAGGTTCCTGAGTAGCTGGGACCACAGGTGTGCACCACCACATGGGCTAATTTTTTCATCTTTTGTAGACACGGGGTCTTGCTATGTTGCCCCGGGGGATCTTGAACTCCTGGCCTCAAGTGATCCTCCTGCGTCGGCCTCCCAAAGTGCTGGGATTATAGGGGTGAGCCAATGCACCTGGCTCAAATATCCCCCCTTTTTAAAAGACACCAGGCTGGTCCGAGTGCAGTGGTGTTTGCAGCTAGTTGATGACAACCAGTTAGAGATTTCTTTGTTCCTTCCCCACTCCCACTGTTTCACTTGACTAGTTAAAAAAAATAAAAAGAAAGATTTAAAAAAGAAAAAAAAAAAGTCCAAAACACCAGTCATACTGGATTAGGGCCCACATTCCAGAACCCATTTTCATTTGATTTTCTTTGTAAAGACCCTATTTCCAAAGAAGGTCACATTCTGAGGTACTGGGGGTTAGGACTTCCATATATCATTTTTGGGTGACACAGTTAAATCTGTAACAGTCCCTTCAGGGGAAAGAGAGTGTCCTTTGTTTCAGACACTGCCCAGAAGTTTCTTGAAAGTTTTCTAAAGGAATGAAGGATCCCAGAAATAACACAGGGGCCATTACTTATTTAATAATAACTTTCTCATTGGCAATGAAAAGTGACTTCATATGCCATCCAAAAAAGTCAGTACATTTTCAAACCCTTCATACAGGCGGGGCACGGTGGCTCTCGCCTGTTATCCCAGCACTTTGGGACGCGGAGGCAGGTGGATCACTGGAGTTTGAGACCAGTCTGGCCAACATGGTGAAACCCCATCTCTACTAAAAATACAAAATAGCCAGGCATGGTGGCCCATGCCTACAATCCCAGCTACTTGGGAGGCTGAGGCAGGAGAATCGCTTGAACCCGGGAGGCAGAGGCTGCAGTGAGCCAAGATTGTGCCACTGTACTCCAGTCTGGGCGACAGAGTGAGACTCTGTCAAAAAAAAAAAGAGAGACTTTGTACAGTGAATTCGCTAAACAAAAACAAGAGGAGGCGGGGAGCCAGGCATGCCCTGCGGAGGAATCGAGCCAGTCACAGCCTTCAGCTCTCTCCCTGGTTTCCCGGAAGTCAGCAGCAGGTCAAAAAGCAGCCAGCCATGGCTCTCAGGTGGGCCTCATGTTTTCCTCGTCACCAGCTGCTGTTTATTCCAACGCTGCCATGGAAGCTGCAGGTTAGATCTACAACGGCCCCAACAGGGTCCACCGCACACGGTCAAAGTGCTGAGGACGGTCATTGCTGTCTTCCAGCCCAGGAGCTGAGGGTCCTCTTGGGATTGCAGGTATCAGAAGACTCTTGTCGACTTGAGGTCTTGGCCTGGGCTCTGAACCCAAGCAGCTGATAGGAGGTGAGAAGCTCTGAGACCCTTCTGCAGGGGCCTCGCCGGGCTGGAGAGAGCAGCCAAGGCACCCAAGCAGGCAGCACTCGGGACCCATTGAACATGCTGCCCTCACCTCAACCGGCAGAAACCTGCACTCACACCTCCAAGTTCCTTCTGCCCAAGAGGGAAGCAGAGAGCCTGGCACAGACACAGGCCATGAAGGCACCGTGTTTGGCAGAGAAGCCAGGAAGACGCCTCTGGAATCGCGTTCTATCAGGGCCGTGTCCACACACTGCGGCCTCATCATCCATAAGCAATGGCCATTTGGCCTTTTGTGACCCTGCTGTCTCAAGGCAGTGCCCCATGGAAGGTCAGTGCTGGTAATGGCATCCTAGGGCTAGAGCTCTGCATTAGTCTGTTCTCATGCTGCTATGAAGAAATACCTGAGACTGGGTAATTTATAAAGAGGTTTAATTGATTCACAGTTCCACGCGGCTGGGGAGGCCTCAGGACATTTACATCCATGGCAGAAGGCACCTCTTCACAGGGCGGCAGGAGAGAGAATGAGAACCAGCAAAGGCGGAAGCCCCTTATAAAACCATCAGATCTCGTGAGAACTCACTATCAGAAGAACTGGATGGGGGAAATCACCCCCATGATTCAATTATCCCCACCGGGTCCCTCCCACAACACGTGGGGATTATGGGAACTACAATTCAAGATGAGATTTGGGTGGGGACATGGCCAAACCACATCAAGCCCCTTACATGTTTCTAAGCATACATGAGGCCAGAAGCTGCACACCCAACCTTGGGTACACCGGGGTGTCCTGGCATCAGCTTCCCGTGAGGTCACAAGGAAGGACATCCCTTTCCACAATCTTGGCTGCTCGGCGGTAAAACCCCCACCCGCAATGCTCAATCTGCACTATGTTGGCCCCAGTACATGGGCTGCCCTTCCTGTTAGCTCGGGGAGGGTTGTTGGAATGATAAGGGATATATTTACCTGATAGCCCAACTCCCACCTCTCCAGAAGCCAGTCAGAAACCTGTCCCCCAAAGGCACAGATCCCACATGGCCTTTGAGCCTTACCCACTGTAAGAGCAAACATGAAGGGAAACTAAGGGGCTGGATTCTCCCTGTTGAAAATAAAGGGAAAGGACCCTCCCCCACCCTGCCCAGCTTTCTTAGAGCCTTGACTTGAGAGAACTTATAACTTTAAGGTTCTTTCTCTGTCTCTGAGATATACGTGAATCTTTTAAACGGCTAAATAAGACTCTTGCCAGAAATGTCTTTTGCAAGGACCTGGAAGCCATCTCTCTGAAATGTAATCATCAAAGAAGATAGGGCCTCTATCTCCTAGTTTCCTTTTTCTTTTTTTTTTTTAAACCTGTCATCTTTTATTAATGTTTTCATAACTCTGCTCTCCCAGAAATAGGAAGGTAGGTTTCTAACTTTGATGGTGGCTTCACTCCAAAACTACCTACTGTCTTAAAGATATGAGAAGTTTAGTGTTTTTCCTTTTTTTTTTTTTTTTTTTTTTTTTTGAGGTAGTGTCTTGCTGTCACCCAGGCGGGACTGCAGTGGTGCAATCTCGGCTCACTGCAACCTCTGCCTCCTGGATTCAAGCGATTCTCCTGTTTCAGTCTCCCGAGTAGCTGGGATTACAGGCATGCGCCACCACGTCCAGCTGATTTTTGTATCAGAGACGAGGTTTTGCCATGTTGCCCAGGATGGTGTCTAACTCCTGACCTCAGGTGATCCACCCATCTCGGCCTCCCAAATTGCTGGGATTACAGGCGTGAGCCACCGCGCCCGGCCTATATTTTCCTTTGGATGAAGCCAAACAGTGAACACCAATGGTCCCCCCAATCACCAGGTGAATCTAAGATGAGCTCCTTGTGACAAATGGCACCACCAAGTTGTCTTACTTGAGGACTAGTTACGGTTTCTCTTGAGAACACAGATGTCACGGGTTGTGTCTGCTCGGCTCTATGAAACAGTGAGATTGCTTTCCATCTTTGCAGTCTCAGTGGATTGCCTGTGATGCACCTCGCATTCTGGTTTAATGCTTATCCAATAATAAAACTGTTTCCTTCTCTCCTACCTTTGTGGAGAGGTTTTCTGGATTGGGAGGAGACTTTGTTTTTAATTCTACTTCCCAACCACGCCCAACCTCAATCACGAAGCATGACTTACTTTGAACATGGCTGCCTGCGGCTCACCAAGCTCATGGAACGGAGGCTTGCTGGTGGCCATCTCAATGATGGTGCAGCCCAGGGACCAGATATCGGCTGGGGCACCATATCCGCGAGGCCCTTGGTCAATTATCTCAGGTGCCATGTACTGCAGGGTGCCTATTTGGAAAACAAACAAACAGGCTGTGGGTACCATATTGCTCAGAAACTAAGTGGCCTGTAGTCCCAGCTACTCGGGAGGCTGAGGCAGGAGGATCACCTGAGCCCAGGTGTTGGAGACCAGCCTGGACAATGTAACAAGACCTTGTCTCAAAAACAAAACAAAACAAAAAACCCACCACTAACTGTGAAATGAATGGCTTCACAAATGGCAGATGGAGTCTTGTCCCATGCATAAATAATATGGTTGCTTCTTTTTTTTTTTTGAGACAGAGTCTTGCTCTGTCGCCCAGGCTGGAGTGCAGTGGCGTGATCTCGGCTCACCGCGAACTCCGCCTCCCGGGTTCAAGCGATTCTCACGCCATAGCCACCCAAGTAGTTGGGATTAGAGGCACACACCACCATGCCCGGCTAATTTTTGTATTTTTAGTAGAGACGAGGTTTTACCATGTGGGCCAGGCTGGTCTCTCTGACCTCAGGTGATGTGCCTGCCTCAGCTTCCCAAAGTGCTGGGATTATAGGCGTGAGCCACTGCTCCTGGCCTGACTGCATATTTCTTTGAGCAGAGGCATGCAACATGCCTTCCTTTAATACTAACCACGTGGAGAGAGGACTGCCTGGCCCATCAAAGGACAAATGGCGCAATTCAGTCAGCACATATTAGTACATGCCAAATACAGGGAAGCCAGAACGTGAGAAACACAGCCTGATGGTAGGGAGGTGCCTAGTGGAGGAGACAAAGACAGAATGCTGGCAGCGGTGGCAGTAATGGCAAAATGTGGTAGGTGCTAGGACAGAGAAATACACAGAAGGCTGCAAGAGCATTAATAAAATAGGGTTTGACTCTCTGCCTGGTTCGGGTCAGGAAACACTATGGCTGTGTCCATTTGGGCCTCTGAGGAGTAAAATGCCAAGACGAGATGAGACATATGAGAGATTTATTGGGGAGAAGGTCTCTGAAGGACAAAGCGGGAGGGAGCAGGGTGGGCAGGGCCGGCTGCGGACCACATGGCAGGTGCAACACCTGGGAGCGGAGAGGAAGGCAGAATCAGGAAGAATCTGGGATGGGAGAGCAGCCCGGAGAGGGCTTCAGCCAGGCTGCTGGGGAGTCTGCAGCCCCAAGTCATCCACTGGAGGAGTCCCACCTGGGTTCTAGCACCCCTGCCAGGCTCAGGCCTTGGTGGGGAGCAGCCTGGGTAAAGTGTAACTTTGCTGGGTTGGTAGCCGGGGCTGTCAGGGAAGCAGGGTCCTGCTGCGAAGGCTGGAGGGCTGGACAAAGGGGATCATGGGTGTGAGATAGACAGCGGTCCGGGGAACAAGCGATGTCTGACACGGGGCAGGGTGTGGGAATAGTTAAGGAGGCAATGGCAAGGGCACAGGCCCAGTGGCAAGCAGGGTGGGCCCAGGGCTCTGGCTTTGGACGTGCTCTTGTGGGAGACAGCACACGGGGAGGTCAGTCAAGGGCTCTGCGAATAACATCCTTCGTTTTCCTTGAAACTCAGCCTGTGCAAAGGGGACGTGTGTGAAAGTGACAGCAGCTCCTGGGGGCTGGCAAAGAAATTTAGAAAAAGACAGCAAAGTCAGAGCTCTGACCTTGGCCACGCATGAATAGAACACTGAAACCCAGAGAAATTCAAAGGCCTATCTGAGGATTACACAACTAAAGGTTTAATCAATGAAAGCAGGGCCGGGCATGGTGGCTAACGCCTGTAATCCCAGCACTTTGGGAGGCCGAGGCAGGCGGATCACCTGAGGTCAGAAGTTCGAGACCAGCCTGGCCAACATGGCGAAACCCCGTCTCTACTAAAAATATAAAAATGCAAAAATTAGCCAGACATGGTGGTGGGTGCCTGTAATCCCAGCTACTCGGGAGGCTGAGGCAGGAGAATCCCTTGAACCTGGCTCGCAGTGAGCTGAGATCGCATTACTGCACTCCAGCCTTGGCGACAGAGCGAGACTCAGTCTCCAAAAAAAAAAAAAAAAAAAAAAAGGAAAGCAAAGGGCGCACTGGCTATAAAGAAAGTTTGGAGAAACTACCTCCTGTGTCCCCCTCTGGAAGATCCTATGTCTTATTAGCATTCTTTAAATACTCTAGGGGCAGCTGTGACGGATGGAATGTCCTGCGCTGATGGCAACGTTCTATCCTGTGTGGTTAAATATGGTAGTCACTAGCCTCATATATTTGACTGTTGGGCCCTTGAAATGTAGCTAGTGAGACTGAAGAAATGCATTTTTAAGTTTTAATTGTATTCAATTACAAGTGACTTAAATATAAACTTAAATATGAATTGGGTTGTATCAGTGAGCACAACAGATCGATGAGGAACAAATGATGGCTTTGGTCTCCAGAGCTGATGCCCTGGCGGGGAAATGTTCAGTGAGTTGCAGAGTTGGGCAACATGGCAGCGCATTACACTTGATGCCCTGTTAGGAAATCCCAGAGCCCCAAGAAGGGAACATCCGATGACACAATATCCCCTATGGGCTCTTGCTGCTGTAACAGAGGGAGAGGTCTTGGCAGGGAATGTGCCTTCTAACGAATCCCTAATTGAGGAAGGATCCGATACTGTGCTGCTTATGAAGCTACCCTCTCTCAGCTCTGCTCTGTGATGCTGAGTCTGGGACTCTGCTTCGCCTGCAGCTCCCCATTAGGCTCCGCAACCAGGTGGCGCTAAAGAGAGACCCTGGAAGGATGCGGGAGGAAGCGGAGACCTGCTGTGTGCTTGCTGTGGCCCTAAGCTTGGCGTTGGACCCTCAGTCGGCCCCAGTCTCCCGCTGTGTGTCACCCCGTACTTCCAGAACCAGCCTCATCTTGCCCCTCAGAGGTACCTGCTCCAGCCTGGTGACACTCCCTCCGAACAAGTTCTAATCTCACCCTCCCATTTGACCCCCAAGCCCCAGGGGTACAGGCTTCCTGATACCTCAGGGCCTCCCTTTCTGCCTTTCTGGTTTTTGGTAACCAGCAAACAGTTATTTCTATTAAATTCTCTCCATGGAAATAACTGGGGTTATTTTTGTTTTTCTGCCTGGACCCTGACTAATATAATCACTAAATTTATTTCTTCAAAGAGCAAGAGAATACATTTATAGATGTATCCAGCAGTAGAAAAGAAACGCTAAACCAAACATCAATGGCTAATTGGCTCTGGTCAAATAACTGTCCATCCTGGTACAATTATTTCCTAATTGAAGCCTATTTAGTCTGCTTAATTCTAAATTTGGAGATTTTGCACAGCAAAGGCAACAGTCAGCAAAGTGAAGAGACAACCCACAGAATGGGAGAAAATATTTGCAAAATACCCCTCTGCCAGGAGATTAGTCACCAGAATATATAAGGAGCTCACACAACTCTATAAGAAAACATCTAATAATTAGATTTTTAAAAATGGGCAAAACATCTGAATAGACATTTCTCAAAAGAAGACATTTGTAAATGGCCAACAGGCATATGAAAGGGTGCTCAACATCCCTAATCATCAGAAAAATGCAAATCAAAACCACAGTGAGATAGCATCTCACTGCAGTTAAAATGGCTGATATCCAAAAGACAGGCAATAACAAATGCGGGCGAGGATGTGGAGAAAAGGGAACCCTCATACACTGTTGGTGGGAGTGTAAATTAGTACAACCACTATGGAGAACAGTTTGGAGGTTCCTCAAAAACCTAAAAATAGAGTTATCATAGGATCCGGCAACCCCATTCCTAGGTATATACCCAAAAGAAAGGAAATCAGTATATCAAAGAGATATCTGCACCCGCATGTTTGTTGAAGCACAGTTCACAATAGCCAAGATTTGGAGGCAACCTAAGTGTCCATCAACAGATGAATGGATAAAGAAAATGTGGTACATATACACAATGGAGTACCATTCAGCCATTAAAAGAATGAGATCCTGTCATCTGCAACAACATGGATGGAACTGGAGATCATTATATAAAGCGAAATAAGTCAGGCATAGAAAGAGAAACATTGCATGCTCTCACTTATTTGTGAGAGCTAAAAATCAAAACAATTGAACTCAGGGACATGGAGAGTAGAAGGATGGTTACCAGAGGCTGGGAAGGGCAGTGGGGACTGGGGGAAGGTGGGGATGGTTAGTGGGTACAAAAAAAAATAGAAAGAATGAATAAGATCTAGTATTTGATAGCACAACAGGGTGACCATAGTCAATACATTTTGGCTGGGCATGGTGGCTCATGCCTGCAATCCCAGCACTTTGGGAGGCCGAGGTGGGTGGATCACTTGAGCCCAGGAGTTTGAGACCAGCCTGGGCAACACAGCGAAACCCCATCTCTACTAAAAAAGTACAAAAAATTAGTCAGGGTTGGTGGTGTGCACATGTAGTCTCAGCTACTTGGAAGGCTGAGGTGGGAGGATCACCTGAGCCCATGAAGTTGGGGCTGCAGTGAACTGAGATCACGCCACTGCCCTCCAGCCTGGGCAGATGGGAGTGAGACCTTGTCTCAGGGGAAAAAAAAAAAAAAAAAAAAAAAAAAAAAAACTGTACATTTTAAAAAACTGAAAAGAGCATAACTGGATTGTTTGTAACACAAAGGATAAATGCCTGAGGTAATAAATACCTTATTTACCCTGATGTGATTATTACACATTGTGTGCCTGTATCAAAATAGTCTATATACCCCATAAATATATATACCTGCTATATACCCACAAAAGTTAAAAATAAATTTGCAGATTTTTAAAAATATGGAGCCATGGTGAACAGCACTCTTTCTAAAGGCAAGGATTTAATAATGACATTCATATTAGTTATTTACTGCTGTTTAAGAAATGATCCCCCAAATCTATCAACTCAAACAACAAATAGTTAGGTCTTACAGCGTTTCTAAGGGTTGAAATCCAGCAGCAACTAACTAGCTGGGTGGACCTGGCTCAGGGTCTCCCAGGAAGTTGCAGTCCAGATGTCAGCTGGGGCTACAGTCATCTGAAGGCTGGACTGGGGCTGGAGGATCAGTTTCCAAGCTCACTAAGGATAGAGCTAGTGGGGGGCTTCAGTTTTTCATTACATGGGATCCTCCATAGGACTGGTTTGAGACATGGCTTCCCTCAGAGAGACTGATCCGAGAGAAAGAGGAATGGCACACTGCCTTTTATGACCTAGTGTCCAGGTCACACACCATCACTCCCACTTCTTCCTATTCATCAGAAGCAAGTTGCTAAGTCCAGTCCACATTCAACGGGAGGGAACTACGCAAGGGTGTGACTATCAGGAGGTAGGGATCATTGGGGGTCATTTTGGAGGCTGCCTGCCACAAATCTGACTCCTGGTGAGCACTTGATGGCTTACCAATTGTCTCCACATAGCCTTGTCCATCTGACTCAAACGACTCTGGAAGGTTAGGCAGAGGAAGCACTATCTACCATTATTCCTACTTTACACAGGAGGCAACTGAGGTTCAGAGAGGCTAAAGGATTCGCTTAGGCTAGAACCCATATCTTCTACCTTCAAGTTCAGAACTACACACCATGACATCACTCATCCATACACTACATCAAGAAGAAGCGCTGCTGGAAAAAAAAAGCTGCCTGAATAAGAGTAGCACGTGTAAGGATTTCCAAAGCCATATTGGAGCATCTTTCCATGTAACTGGAAGGTACAGGGCACTAATGGAAAACTGGGTGCTCCATTTTATTCACTACTGTATTCACAAGGTAACCATCCACTCTCAGAACAGCTAACAGAGAGAGATAAATGCACACAACTATTTCAGATACTCAAGGGAACACTCCCTGGCAGGATGCATGTTGGGTGTGTACATCAGCTAACCCAAAGGCTGGATTCTGTCAAGAAAACCAAGTGAAGATGGCATTGTGGGGCATCTGAATCACGCACAAATCCTGGAAAATTGGGTTTCCTTCAATCTGGCTCTCATAGGCCAGGCACGGTGGCTCACACCTGAATCTCAGCACTTTGGGAGGCCGAAGCAGGTGGATGGCTTGAGGTCAGGAGTTCAAGACCAGCCTGGCCAACATGGTGAAACCCCGTCTCTACTAAAAATACAAAAATTAGCCGGGCATGGTGGCGTGTGCCTGTGGTCCCAGCTACTTGGGAGGCTGAGGCAGGAGAATCGTTTGAACCCGGGTGGTGGAGGTTGTACTGAGCCATGAACGCGCCACTGCACTCCAGCCTGGGCGACAGAGTAAGACTCCATTTCAACAAAACAAACAAACAAACAAAAATCTGGCTCTCTTGGGGCCCCATATGCTCCCTAACCTATATTTCCTCCAAGGTATGCCCTACCACACTGGTCACTGGTCACAGCCCACTACGGCTCTTAGGTACCTACACCAGTGCAGTGGTGCAGAGTTCAGAACAAGGTGACCAAGAGACCCACAGGCACTGACTCAGCCCCCCTAGGGCACAAAATCCACTGGGGACTCCTGGAGAATTGTCCAATAGGATTTTCAGATTACCAGCAAAGAAGACACACAGCAGAAGACACAAGTTTATAACCGAGGCCCAGGGACCTTCTAATCTGATCAAGGGGCTGAGAGAGTTGACAGAGTAGTTTAGGGGGGTGGTGCTGAGACAGCTTCTTTAGAGAGAGCTATGCTGGGCTGCCTACCCTCTCCCAAGTTACAGGATTTGGGGCAGGACTGTCCCCAAAAGGGCGTGGGCCCAGGGCAACTCAAGCCACTCAATACCAACTTATGATCATCACATCTTCCACAGGCCCTTGGAGATACCGTTAGAGCCTAAATTTCAAGATTTCATATTAATCAAGTACAGAAAAGAAAAGTAAGGTACGATTTTCCCATAGTCCAGGGGACTACCCTAGTTGACCTGACCAAGGGATAAGCCTGGTGGAAAGGTGGCGCCACTTGTTCCTAACCCAAAGCCTTTGAAGGGGGCTTCACTGAGCGACTCAGCTCCATGTGTATGTGTTCCTGTAGGTAAATTACACAGTGGACTGGCACCCAAGTGAGCAAAGGTTAACTTCCAGCAGCAGACAGGGGGCTGTAAGGTGTGGGGATACTGCCACACCCTCTCAACAGTGGGCTGAAGCTGCTTGAACTCTGGACACCAGATGGGGGACCCTATTACAGAAATACTGCCTTAGGGTTTATCTTTTATTTGTATTATTTATTTGATTGATTGACTGATTGACAGGGTCTCATTCTGTCGCCCAGGCTGGAGTGCAGTGGCACAATTATGACTCACTGCAGCCTCATTCTCCTGGGCTCAAGTGATTCTCTCACCTCAGCCTCCCGAGTAGCTGAGACTACAAGTGCGCACCACCACACCCAGCTGATTTTTATATTTTTGGTAAAGACGGGGCCTCACTATGTTGGCCAGGCTGGTCTCAAACTCCTGGGCTCAAGCGATCCTCCCACCTCAGCCTCCCAGAGAGCTGGGATTACAGGCGTGCCCAGCATATGGTCTTCTTAAAAGGAATCCTGGGAGTCTCTCTCAGAACCTATTCTGGTTCCAGGGGCTGCCCAATAAAAAAATAAAGAAAAAAGAAAAGGAATTCCTGCTCAAACGCAGTCCTCCACGATCTGAATCCCTCAACAGAAAGAGATGGAAGGAGGAGGTGATGTAAGGGGTAAATAACTGGGAGGAGGGGGCTGTCAGCCAAAGGACAGGCCCCTGCCCACGACACAGGAGTTACATCCAGAGGGAGCCAGCGAGGGAAGATAACTAAACATCAGCCAGGCCCACAGCACGCAAAGCCAGCTTCCAACAGTGCTAGTCAAGTAACAACTTTCCCTGCCCCTGTCCTCTCCTTCCTGCAGCTGGTGATTAGGGAGAAAAAGACAACACCCAGCTCCTGACCACAGGTCGCTGCCTGCAGGGAGACGGGAGAGGGGTCTGACTTTTGAATGAGGACCAGAGCGTTGATCAGTATCAGCCTGAATCTTTTTTTTTGAGACAGGGTCTTGCTCTGTCACCCAGGCTGGAGTGCAGTGGCACAATCGGCTCATGCAACCTCCGCCTCCCGGCTTCAAGCGATGAGTCCTTTTTAATTCCTGAATTCAGACTGTGTGCGCTCCTTCAAGTGTCATTATGACTTTCTCTGTTATGTAAGGGTGGCTGGAAAAGTCAAAGGAAAGAACTCCCGCCCCAGGCAGGATGAAAAGTGGGAGAGAAAAATCCAGTGGCTTTTGTGATTACACCCTTTGAGTCCAATGGGTTCAACACGTTAGTTACACACACAAACTCAGTTCTCTCAAAGGCTCCTTCCAGCTCTAATAACCCATGACTTCTAAGTACAAGCGAGTATTTAATTAGCAAACACTTCAATTGCACTTGCTATGTGCCAGGGACCAGTCAAAGCACTTCATCAGTAACTCACTTTACCCTCATAAAAACCCTATGAGTAGGTACAACGAGCATTTCTATTTTACTTACGAAGAAACTGAGGCACATGGAGGTTAAGTAATATGCCCAAGGTCACACAGCTAGCAAGTGGTTGGGCCAGGATTTGAACCAACGATGTTTGCAGCCAGACGAGAACAGACTTCCTGTCCCGAGTTCTCCCTCTAGGTATCTACCCAAGAAGGCTGAAAACACATGTTCACACACGCTTTGTATGTGAATGTTCACAGCATCATTATTCGCAGTGGCCAAAAAGTAGAAACAATCCCAAATGACTGTTAACTGGTAAACGGATGAACAAAATGTGGTTCTCCACACAATGGAATGCCATTCAGCCATGAACAACAACGAAGTACCCATACACACCACTGCATGGAGGAACTGCAAAAACAGGACTCAACGTGCAAGAAGCTACATGCAAAACCCCACATATTGTATTCATTCCAAGCATATGAATATCCACAACGGGCAAAGCCACACAAACACAACAAAGCAGATGAGTGATGAGCTGGGGCTGGAGTGGGAATGGGGATGAGTACCAAGGGGCACGGGGTCTGCTAGGTCCAGACACTGGATCGTGGTGATGGCTGAGCAACTCAGTAAATTTACTGAAAACCAAAGAATTGAGTACTTCTAATGGGTGCTTTGATGATATGTCAGCTATACCTCGATAAGGCTGCTAAAAAAAAAAAAAAAAAAAAGGCAGGGCTGACCCTGGCTATAACAGCCCTTCCTCCTGTTCTCGCAGGTTCCTATGTGTGGGGCAAACCCTTCAGAGGAACACAGGGAGGGAGGGCTCCAGGCCAGGAAGTTGACTGAAACCCTCTGGCTCTCCTGCCAGGCTGAGCAACCACAGACCCAGAGTTCTGCACCAACCAGCTGAGATTTCCTTACAGAACTGCTCTGTTTTGCAAAGAGCAATTATATGCGGGGGAATTTCCTAACCAAAATGAGACCCCTTCCTTATTATCCCCCAAACACCCCTGCATTCTTTTGCAATGCAAAATCCGTGCCTCCCCAAGCCAATTACTTGGGAAGTGTGATATGCAAGGATGAATTATACATGTGTTTCTTTGTGAGTTTGTTTCCTCCTCAGGGAAGCTAATTATGAGATAAATTGTTGGGGGTTTTATGTCTTCAAATAACTCCTTGTCATATCAGAGCCCCTCTTGCTATGTATTGCCAAGCTAATTGGTGGCTTCCAAAGAGGAGGATACAAGTCATTTTCAATTAGGGTAGTAAAATGCTAAAAGAAAATGAAGTGCTAGTCATACACACATATTCATATACACACATTGACAGATGTATACGTATATTTATACCAGAAACAATGAATGAAAATTCAATGCACTCTTTCTTTGGGAGATTCTGATAGTGTCCCTGGTATAGTATTTTCCCATTTTCAGGCACATGTACCTCCCCTTGTGTTACAAGTGAGAAGTCATTTTGTGATGTATTAAAATTCTCTTTAGATGGTGAATGTGTCTCCACTGTGGGTGTCCAGTGGCTGACACGCGACAACTCTCTCATTGACAAAAAGTCTTTCAAAGCTGACACATTATTTACCAAAAATAAGACCCAAGCTGTCCACCCTACAGCTTTGGTGACTGCAGAGATAGAGAACAGTCACCTGTCTTTTATAGCTTATTTCAGAGCTATATTATTTTAAGAGCTAATTTTTTCTTTTTTTTTTTTTTTTTTTTTTGAGACAGAGTCTCACTCTGCCACCCAGGCTGGAGTGCAGTGGCACAATCACAGCTCACTGCAGCCTCAACCTCCTGGGCTCAAGCGATCCTCCCACCTCAGCCTCACTAGTAGCTGGGACCATAGGCGCACACCACCACACCCAGCTAATAATTACTATATAATATATGTTATATACATATATTATATATAATCATTATGTATTATATTATATATAACATATAATATATAAATATAATATGTAATAATAATAATTATTTATTTTTTGTAGAGATGGGGTTCTCCCTATGTTGCGCAGGCTGGTCTTGAACTCCTGAGCTCAAGTGAGATCCTCCTGCCTCAATCTCCCAAAGTGCCCAGCCTATGAAAGCTGTTTTTTTTTTTTTCTTTTAAGAAATGGGGTCTCACTATGTTGACCACGCTGGTCTTGCACTGCTGGCCTCAAGTGATCCTCCCATCTTGGCCTTTTAAAGTGCTGGGATTACAGGTGTCAGCCACTATACCAGGCCCCAGCTGTTTCATAATTCCATCAAGCAAGATCTTTGTGATCTTTACGTTACTCCTTGGGGGACTATAAACCTTTACTTATTCAAAAATCAGTACTTCTTTCCAAGGATCAAAGTTCTTGTTATTAGTCAGGTTTAAGCAGGAATTTCCAATAGCCACAAGTAGCTTTTGACCATCATTCTACTTATTGATCTTACAACTGTGAAACTAGCTGGTAATTGTATACCACCCTTTGAACCCAGTCCCTCTCAATGCTCAAGTTATTCCATTACTGACACATGGACAAGAAAATCCAATTCCTCAAAATCACTTAGAATACCATATTCCCCAGGAAGAATTAGCCTCTCTTGGAAACACAATCATATCAAAACACAAGGTACCAGAATTCACTACAGTAACAGGCTATTTTTATGACAGACCAATAAAATGTCTTAATCAGTTGTCTGAGGAATACTGTTATTCAGCATTACCCACGATTTCAGATAATGTGCTATTAACTTTAAAGAGATGTGCTGCCATCTTGCTGATTGGTTGAGTGACCTTCAGAAAGCCTCAGCAGAGGCCAGGCGCGGTGGCTCACATCTGTAATCTATCCCAGCACTTTGGGAGGCTGAGGTGGGCGAATCACTTGAGGTCAGGAGTTCGAGACCAGCCTGGTCAACATGGTGAAACCTCGTCTCTACTGAAAATAGAAAATTAGGTGTGGTAGGGGGCGCGCCTATAATCCAAGCTACTTGGGAGGCTGAGAGACGAGAATCATTTGAACCCAGGAGGTGGAGGTAGCAGTGAGCCGAGATCGTGCCACTGCACTCCAGCCTAGGCGACAGAGTGAGACCCCGTCTCAAAAAAAAAAAAAAAAAAAAAAGAAAGAAAAAAAGAAAAAAAAGAAAAGAAAACCTCAGAACCTCAGCAGAGCACTCCATCTACCCAACTTTTGGATGACAAAGAAGAAAGTAGGGCAATCTTGTTGCCACAAGTAGCTGGCTAGGTGCATCACTATGACAAAGTTAAAACAATTTGAAGTTGGGGACAATCCACTGTCTACTTCAAGTATCAATTGCTCACTCTGCTCAGAAAAGGTGCTCACTAAGTAACGGCTGAACAACCGCAGCTTGTGCAGAAAGCGTAACTCTGGGATGGGCACCCTGTGCCAAGCTTTGGTCCACTTACCAGTAAAAGTCTCTGTGCAGGGGTTCACACCCGCAAGACGTTTCGAGGTTCCAAAATCGGAGATTTTCACCACTCCGCTGTAGGTGTTCACCAGAACATTATCGCCCTTCGGAAAATAACATCATCAAGTGCTTAAAAGACAGGCTGAAACGAACTCATATGAAACAGATCTGGACCTTGGGAAACCGTCACAAGTCTCTAGGAAAACTAGACTTTGCATTTTGGGGACGGTTGTGCTAAATCATACCCCTCTGTCAGCCAGTCACTCAGCAGACACCATCGACAGCTCTCATGATCTGATACGAGCAAAGGCAACCTCGTCAGCTTAAAAAAGCAAGTACCTTTATGTCTCTGTGCACGATCTGGTTTTCATGAAGATACTTAAGGCCCTCCAGGATCTGTTTGGTGTAAAACTTGATTGTCGGTTCCTTCATCGGCCCCCATTTGGATCGCAGAAGAGCAGAAAGGCTTCCTAGAGACAGTCACAGCAAAAAACTTATCAGGAAGAGAAAGTTTCAATAAAAGTTCAGGGAAATAAAGTGAGGTGAGGTTTCTAACCTAACCTAAGTGCTTACACCAACACCATCGGATCTGGGCTAAATGCAACATGTTTCCTCCCCTCTGTAGCTACAGCCAGGGAATGGACTGGAAGCAATTGAGCACATGAACCTAACCAGAGGCACAGGGTGAACATGAACCCCTTGTGCCCCCTGAAATTCAGTGGGGCCAATTGTGGGTTTAGCTCTGTTCAGCTACATGAAGTTAGGAGGAGAGCGAAATAATGCTCTCTCAACTTGAGGGGCATGGCCTGCTGGCGTAGATAACTCAGGTCCCATGACACTTGTTTACAGCAGGTCTGTCTCAGTCATTCTGCTTGGGTTAAAGCCACGTTTTATACCTTGTCTGTAATCAGAGGTGGACAGGTCCACAGTGAGGGGCCCTTTAGGGTGACAAGGACTAGGACTGGAGGAAGTTGGGTCTCTCTGTCCTCAATGTGAGAAAGCCACAGTGGCAAGTCTCAGGGCAGGACTGTCTTGATCAACAACCACTTCCCCCAATTACGCTATTAAACACTGAACATTTGGGCCAAAAGAAAAGCTCCCTTAAGGACACTGTGACCACGTCTCGAAGGACATCATGTGAACTGCGGGATGTCCTGTCCATTGGCAGGAACGGGCCCTCAGACATCGGCTGGTCTCAGATTCCCACTTACACAGTGTTATGGGACCTTGATCTACCTTGGTTTCCCCATCTATAAAAGGGGATGAACACATCTGTCTCTATTTCTGTTGATACCCTTAAACCTAACGCCGGGGATGGGGTTATCAACTAACGTGAAGAGTAAGGGGCCGGGCACGGTGGCTCACGCCTGTAATCCCAGCACTTTGGGAGGCCGAGGCGGGCAGATCACCTGAGGTCAGGAGTTCAAGACCAGCCTGGTCAACGTGGCAAAACCCCATCTCTACTAAAAATACAAAAATTAGCCAGGCGTGGTGGCACGCACTTGTAATCCTAGCTACTTGAGAGGCTGAGGCAGAGAGAATTGCTTGAACCCAGGAGGCAGAGGTTGCCATCAGTGAGCCAATATCGTACCACTGCACTCCAGCCTGGGCAACAGACAGAGAGACTCCATCTCAAAAAAAAAAAGAAAAAGCAGCAATGGACGAGTTTTCTGATAGACTATGACCAACTTAAGGGAAAGACAAACTACTTTATTTATTCTAACATAACCCTGAAAATCTAGCCCACTGCCTGGCTCTTTTTTTTTTTTTTTTTTTTTTTTTTTTTGAAGACGGAGTCTCACTGTGTAACCTAGAATGGAGTGGAGTGGTATGATCTTGGCTCACTGCAACCTCCTCCTCCTGGTTTTAAGCGATTCTTGTGCCTCAGCCTCCGGAGTAGCTGGGACTACAGGCGCACGCCACCACACCTGGCTAATTTTTTGTATTTTTAGTAGAGAGGGGGTTTCTCCATGTTGGCCAGGCTGGTCTCGAATTCCTGGCCTCAAGTGATCCACCTGCCTTGGCCTCCCAAAGTGCTGGGATTACAGGCGTGACCACTGTGCCTGGCTGACTGCCTGGCTCTTAATAAATATACTTAAGACTCTTCCTGTAATAGCAGACTCTTAATAACTGTCAGTTGAATGAATGAATGAAGATTTCTAACTGAAGTTTTAACATCTGTATTCAGATAACTATTATTTAATTAAAGAGTTTGATTCATTATTTCAATGAGCACTTACTGAGCTCTTGTTCTCTGCCAGACAGAATCCACCCAACAGCCCACTGAGACAGCGTTAATTGTTACTCCAATAATTATTACTCCAATTATCAGAGTCATTATTACTCCAATTTTACAGTTCATTTATTCAATCAGAAAACTGAGGGCACAGAGAGGTATAACAATTTGCCTGAAGTCACACAGCTTGTGGATGGAGGAACGGACTCAGACTAGATGGTCTGGGTCCAGATCCCAGGAACTCCCCTCCTGTGCCCTATCTCTTGCATTCAGGGATTTTTGTGGATAAAACACTGATGCTTGATTTCATTATCAAAATGCTATTTTGCACTGTCACTTTTAACATCTATGTTCCCTCTTCTGCACCCTTGTCCAAACCCACCTTTAAACTCCTAGACTGTGAAGGCCTCAAGGCCAAAGACTATGTTTTCTCCATAGACAGTCAATGAATATTTGTGGGTTGAACAAACTGCATCAACAAACCAGAAATAGACTGCTTATATGACATTTGGAAAGTATCCAACTTTCCAACATCTAAAGGGTCTGTTGCTTTTTTTTTTTTTTTTTTTTTTTTTTTTTTTTTTTTTTTTTTTTTTAAAAAGAGTGATGGGTTTTGCTCTGTCGCCCAGGCTGGAGTGCAGTGCTGTGATCATGGCTCACTGCAGCCTTGACCTCATGGGCTCAAGTGATCTTCCCATCTCGGCCTCCCAAGTAACTGGGACTACAGGCGCCCTACAGGCCTGGCTTAGGGGTCTGTCATTTTGTAAATGGCAGGACAACAAATGACATCCACGTCGTAGTGATTTTCAGAATGTGAGACCAGAAGACAGCGACTACTCACCTCCAGGCACCTGCTCCATAAATATCTTAATGTAGCCGTTCTCTGAAACAGAGCCCAGGTACTGAACGATATTGCGGTGCTTAAGGTACTTGTGCAGGGCTATCTCCTCGTGCAGAGGCTGAGAATACCTATTGGGAAAAACAGAGCCAGGGTCACCTGCCAAATCCCAGGGACTCTAGAACCACATCTCACCTCACCAGGACCTGCCCCACTGCTGCCCATCCCTTCTTTCTGGAAACTTTCTTTTCTCTGGCTTCCATGAAACTATTCAACTTCCCATCTGTACAATAGAGGATAAGCCTACAGCCATGCAGGGCTGCCAGGGGCCAAGGCATGTCCATTTCATTAAGCACTTAGTGGAGTAGCTGGTGTGTGGTGAGTATTCAATGAATGACTGCTATTGTTACTACTGTTATTTTTCGGGCCTGAACCCACCAACCATTCTTTACCTCTCTCAACAGCCCCTCTTCCTCTGCCTCCCATGAAGAGTGGTGTTCTGGAAGGTTCTGCCCTCAGCTGCCCTCTCGTCTTATTCTACAGAGTCGCCCCAGACCACAACAGCAGCCACCTAATGGGCCACCCAGCCCCAGCCTCTGGCCTTTTTAATCCATTCCCCAACCTTGGCCATTATACTACCTCTTCTTAAAACACACACTTCACCACATCCCTTCCCCACATAAATTCCACATAGAGACCATGCTATTTAATGTCACATACAAGGACTTTCAAAGATCAGTTCAGGCTAAGCCTTAAAAAATTTTTTTTTGGCCTCATTTCAAGAGCATCTCACTGCCCTGCATCCTACATTCAAGTCATATCAGACAATCTGTTGTTCTCTGAATATACTTTGTGTTTTAACAGCTCTGTTTTTCCATCAGCATAGGCCTCCTTTTCCGCTAAACAAATTCTTACTCATCCCTCAAAGTGCAGCTCAAAGTTGATCTATTTTTTCAAACTTGCCACAACTCACTAAGGAGAGTAATTCATTCCTCTTCTGCGTTCTAAAAACACTCTGTGTACTCCTCTATCATGGCACTTGGCACTTTCACTCAGAGGCAAAGCATCTGCATTTGCCACCGAACCAGCAGAACCCTGGGAAAAGGACACTATCCTAATCACCTTTCGGTCCCCAGTGCCAGCCCAGAGTCTGACACAGAGAAAGTACCTATCATCATAAGTTCAGCCTATAAATTTAGGGAGTTGAACAAAACAGTCTCTAAAGGTCCCTTCTAGCTCTTAAAATCCCAGGAACTACTGATCAGCAACAAAAAGCTAGAACAGCTATTGCTACCAAATGAAGGAGATGGGACATGCCAGAAATTTCCCCAAATAGATACAACTGCAACACCTTATCCATCATGAGAAAAGAGACTGGATGCTGGATGAGGAACTCAAGAGACTCGGATCCTAGTCTTGTTTCTAAGCATCCTTGGGAAAGTCATTTAATCTTCCTCAGTCTTGATTTTCTTATTGGTGAAATGAAGAAATGGAAATAGTTCATTTCAGGTCCTGTCTCATAATTCACGTATCATAACATGCTATCCCACTGAAAATCAACAAATACATGAATGGATGAATGAAGGGTCTTACAGCTGGCAGAAATCCCTTAAAACTCATCCCCAATATATCAGCAATCACCCAGATACATGGGTGTTTACACATTATTCTTCAGCACTCGACACTGAAGGCAATCCTACAGCTGTGGTCTGACACACCTGTGGATCCCGGAATGATTAATTCCAACTGTGTATGTAGCTTCTCTACAGAAACACTTTGCAGTCAACATTGCAATGCTCATTTTGTTGGGGTATAAATTTAAACTTTTTTTTTTTTTTTTGAGACAGGGTCTCACTCTGTCACCCAGGCTGGAGTGCAGTGGCACAGTCTCGGCTCACTGTAGCCTCTGCCTCCGGGGTTCAAGCGATTCTCGTGCCTCAGCCTCCAGAGTAGCTGGGACTACAGGTGTGCGCCACCATGCCCACCCACCTAAGTTTTGTATTTTTAACAGAGACGAGGTTTCACCATGTTCCCCAGGCTGGTCTTGAACTCTTGACCTCAAGTGAGCTGCCCGCCTCAGCCTCCCAAAGTGCTGGGATTACAGGCTTGAGCTACAATGCCCGGCTAGAAACAAACATTTCTTAAAATTAAAAAAAGTCAAAGAAATGAATAAGCAGTACTCATGGTAGAAAAACAGTCCAAAATCCATGTGTGAGGGTGAAGGGTAGGATGTTAAAAAAAATTCTGTACTGCAAAAATCTGATTTTTTTTATCTGCATGTAATTTTCCACAATGATGCATCTGAACAAATCATAGCCATTTTCAACTGCTACAATGTAAATTTAAAATAACCCAGTAATATTTAAAAATTATATTTGCACTCAAAAATTAGACAGGCATGGTGACGTGTGTCTGTAGTCCCAGCTCCTCAGGCGGCTGAAGTGGGAAGATCACTTGAGCCCAGGAGGTGGAGACTGCAGTGAGCCGAGATCTGCCACTGCACTCCTGCCTGAGTGACAGAGTGAGACTTCATCTCAAAAATGTATATATATTTGCAAACAACTACGCAAAAAATGTAAAACTTTAGACCTAGCCAATGGGTGGAAACACAACAAAAGTTTTCTTTTAAAATATGATCCTCTGCAATCCACGTGCCTCTGAAGTGTAGTTCTTCCATTTTCTCAATCTATAATACACAAAACAAAAGCACATCACCCTGGCCGGGCGCGGTGGCTCATGCCTGTAATCCCAGCACTTTGGGAGGCCAAGGCGGGCAGATCACTTGAGGTCAGGAGTTCGAGACCAACCTGACCAACATGGTGAAACCCCGTCTCTACTAAAAATACAAAAAAATCAGCTGGGCATGGTGTAATCCCAGCTACAGGTTGAGCCATGAGAATTGCTTGAACCTGGGAGGCAGAGGTTGCAGTGAGCCAAGATCATGCCACTGCACTCCAGCCTGGGCAATAGAGCGAGACTCCGTTTCAAAAAAAAAAAAAAAAAAAAGATCACCCCTATTACAAGAGAATGACAGGTTTTGTGGTAACACAATGCTTTTGCCCTTAACTCCTCCACACCATGAGCGGTGGGTATGGGATCTGGGGTGTGGAGACGGCACCCGAAATGCGGAAGGCCCGCCTGGACTTGCCTGCTATCTCTCTCCGGGATTTCTTTGATGGCTATTCGCACTTGATTGCTCAGATCTCGGCCAGCATACACAATCCCATACGTGCCTTTCCCCAAGACAACTCTCTCACCATTTGCATCATGGTCATACTCATACTGAAGAAGGAAAAACAAAAGGACAAAAAAGCATACAACTTGTAGCGGAGAAGCCCTCTAAGGCCCCCAGAGTTGTCTAGCAACTAAAAAAAATATAAATAACATTATTTGACTGTCAGGCAAGTCACAGTGCTTAGCTTAGGCCCTTTTCATTAAATGACTTTAAAGGGGCAGAATTCTCCATTGTTCACCTGTTCATAGTATGACTTTATGAAATGGAATCCAAGAAAATTAAAAATATGGTTTGCATATAATTGGCTCACCTTTTGGAAATTCTTCCCCATTTTAACGCTGCAATTTAAAACTGCTTCTAAGCATGTTGAATAACCCAACTAGGTGTCTTCCTGCATAATCCCTTATCAAGTTGTCAGGAAACAAATATCTTTCAATAACCCAGAAAGGAATTGAAGGTCAATATAATTAACATTATCTTAATACAAAAAGTAAATATGCTGGGGCTTCCCCACTCTTTCAGGCATACGGATCTAGTAGTAAACACCTAGTACAAAAACTTGATTTACAATTAGCATTACTATTTTGTTCCCCCATCTTCCCATCAAAAGCTGTCACATACAGATGCATTTGATTCTTCTCGATGATTAAAACAAATGTGACTGTACGCTGAGCAACACTTATTTAAAGCAGAGAGGCAGCAATCAATTTTTTCTGTTATTTTGCATGCTCCACTGCTTCTACTTACAGAAGTGCAGCTTATACACGGAATAGTCGGCGGGTATGTGGGTGTCCTTTCCCATCTACTTCTAGGGATGTTCATGACAATTAAGATTACTAAAGGGTTGGCTGGACACTGTGGCTCATGCTTGTAATCCTAGCACTTTGGGAGGCCCAGGCAGGAGGACCACCTGAGACCAGCATGGCCAACATAGCGAAACCCCATCTCTACTAAAAATACAAAAATTAGGCCAGGCGTGGTGGCTCATGCCTGTAATCCCAGCACTTTGGGAGGCCGAGGCGAGTAGACCACCTGAGGTCAGGAATTCGAGACCAGCCTGGCCAACATGGTGAAATCCCGTTTCTACTAAAAATACAAAAAATTAGCCAGGCGTGGTGGCACGTGCCTGTGGTCCCAGCTACTCAGGATGCTGAGGCAGGAGAATCGCTTAAACCTGGTAGGTGGAGGTTGCAGTGAGCCAAGATCACGCCACTGCACTCCAGCCTGGGTAACAGAGGAAGACTCCATCTCTAAATAAATAAAATACAAAAATTAGCCAGGCGTGGTGGCGGGTGCCTGTAGTCCCAGCTACATGGGAGGCTGAGGCAGGAGAATCGCTTGAACCCAGGAGGCAGAGGTTGCAGTAAGGCGAGATTGCGCCACTGCACTCCACTCCAGCCTCAGCAACAGCGTGAGACTCTGTTTCCAAAAAAAAAAAAAAAAAAAAAAAAAAACATGGTTAGTAAAGGATCTCCATCAGTGTCTGATGTAACTGGCAATCAGCCTGCTCCATAGAAGACTTTTACCTCACACCTCCCTCCGATTCCCACACCTGCTGCCCTCAAAGCACCATTGCTCAGTTCATTTCTACAACAAACTCTGGTCCTGACCTAAGAATTCTAGTAGTTAACTCAATTATTAAAATGAATCCCTTTGATATTTTCTGAAAGAAACATTAAGGAATTCCTTTCAGTCTAACCTGAAAGTACAGTAAAATCTCATTAAATTGTAATCACTGGAAGAACCTGAGTGAGTGGCAAATCTGAATAACTGGGCAAGATTTAAACACCTGTACAATGGTTTAGCAACTGTGGACTATAACTGTGCTGTTAAAAAGAGCTGATGAGCCTACTTTTTAAAATGATTTTAAAGTTGTTATATTTCATATAGTATATGCACATAGCTATAACTAAAGTCATTTTAAGCATAAAACGTCTGCTCTCAGTTGGCCAACTAATTCTCTTGTAGTCTCACAGACATTACTAATTAGCCTAGAGAAAACTTTCATAGGTTGTTCACAAAAGGAAATTTTAGTCTAGTCCATGGCCAAATTTTTCTTAAGCATTCTAACTGAGAGAATCCCAAAGAAATGAGATTCTTCTCTGGAGACACATTCAACATTATCTCTGGGAACCATGCAGTGATGGCTGGCAGGTTCATAAAACATACTCAACAGAGGATTTTTATAGAAAGATGGGACATTTTCTTGAAGCATCGAACACACAATCAATGTTTTCCATATTCTAGATCGTCCATGACTCACCTCCAAGGTGTCTCCATCGGTCTCTCCCTCCAGCTCCACCGTACTGCCTGCTGTATTGGTTATCATCTCTTTGACCAAAGAGAAAAATCTAGAACAGCAAGTGTCACAAATACGTTGCCAACTCAGAACTGCTCTCATTCCTTGTTTTTAACTTAGCTTTATTAAACTGTACTTAAATATAAACCAAACTTTTACAAGTCATGGAACAATCGATCCCCTCCTTGATTTGACGTGGTACTTTAGTGGTTATCAAATCTAGGGCAACTACCAATGTGATACCTGAATCCCCTCTGTATAGTATCTCCACCAACTGGTTGACCAATTGATGCTTGAGTACCTCCAGCAACAGAGAACTCATTACCTCCCAAAGACAGCTCATTCTTGGAAGATCTTAATGAGAAATATTTCCCTTTTACTGAACCAAAGACTTCTTTCATGTGGGTTCCATCCACAGTTTGCTTAGAATTAACCATTTTTCTACTTAACACCCCATTAGAAGTGCACATAATTTTACCATGTCCCTATAAGTCTTTCCTTTCTGTCCCATCACTGTTTTCCCCAGGACGTGTGAGTTACTCTACTAGCAGGTAATTCTTCAGATGACGTCCCTGTGTTACTCTTTTTCTTTTTTTTTTTAAAGACAGGGTCTCGCTCTGTCGCCCAGGCTGGAGTGCAGTGATGTGATCACAGCTCAATGCAGCCTCAGCCAGCCTCCTGAGCTCAAGCAATCCTCCCACCTCAGCCTCTCAAGCAGCTGAGACTACAGGCACCCATCACCAAGCCCGGCTAATTTTTGTATTTTTTGTAGACGGGGTCTCACTATGTTGCCCAGCTTGGTCTCAAACTCCTGGACTCAAATGATTCTCCCACCACGGCCTCCGAAAGTGTTGGGAGGCATGAGCCCCCGCACCCAGCCTCTTGTATTATTCTTGAAGTCTGGCCCCAAGACCAGTGTTCAGAGGGGATCTAATCAATGCTAAGGATAGGGGGACTATTGCCTCTCAAAGTACAGACAATCTAGTTCTCAGTAAGATACAGGGTGTTGTATAAGGGGAATGGTGAGGAGGAAACGCATAAGGTGGCCACATCATTCTGCTGACACAGAACAAGCTTAATATTGACCCATAAATCTTTCTCACAAATTCTACTGGGCCACGTGGGCCACTTCCTAGACTTGTGCAGTTTTTATTTGGATACAAGTCATCTTGACTCATTAGAACATTTTTACTCACAATTCTCTCTTAAGATGTCAAGGAGGAATACTGTACATTTCAGGATAATTTCCATAAACCATTAAAATGCTCTTTTTTCTAACTAACCCATCTTACCTTTTCTTCTAATCTTTGAAAGCTGGATAACCCAATCGTCAGGCTTCTTAAGAGACATATGGTATGCACTCACAGAACAACTAAGATTTAAAAGACGGTATCAGCCAGGTGTAGTGGCTCATGCCTGTAATCTTAGCACTTTGGGAGACTGAAGCGGGAAGACTGCTTGAGGCCAGGAGTTCGAGACCAACCTGGGCAACGTGGCCGAAACCCCGTTTCTACAATTTTTTTTTTTTTTTAAATTAGCCAGGTGTGGTGGCACACACCTGTAGTCCCAGCTACTCAGGAGACTGAGGTAGGAAGATTGCTTGAGACCGGGAGGCAGAGGTTGCAGTGAGCCAAGACTGCGCCACTGCACTCCAGCTGGGCAAAAGAGCAAGACTCTGTCTCAACAGAAAAAAAATAAAAGATGATATCAACTGTTCTTAAGAATACGGAACAACTGGGACTCTCATACATTGCTAGTGGGAGTGTAAATTGACATGACCACTTTGGAAAACTCTTGGCAGTATCAACAACCAAAGCTGAAGATAAACCTACCCTATAATCCAGTAATCCACTCCTAGATATATACTCAATAGAAATCAATATATATGTTCACCAAAAGGCATATATAAGAATGTTCATAGTCATTTTCTTCATAATAACCCCCAAACAGAAACAATCCAAGTCTTCATTAATAGAAGAACAGATAAATTGGAACACAACGGAATGCTACACAGAGAAAGAATGAACTGATATATACTTCACAGTTGGATTTCATTTTGTTTCTTGTTTTTGAGATGGGGTATCACTCTGTCACCTAGCCTGGAGTGCAGTGGCGTGATCATGGTTCACTGCAGTCTCGACCTCACAGGCTCAAGCAATCCTCCCACCTCATCCTCCCAAGTAGCTGGGACTGGAGGCGCACACCACCACGCCCAGCTAATTTTTTTATTTTTTGTAGAGACGAGGGTCTCCCTGTGTTGCCCAGGCTGGTCTTGAACTCCTGGGATCAACCGATCCTCCTGCCTTGGCCTCCCAAAGTGCTGGGATTACAGGTGTGGGCCACCGTGCCCAGCTATGAATATTATTTTAAGGGAAAGAGGTGAGAAACAAGGGTACAAACTACATGATTCTGTTTATTTGTAGGTCAAGAACAGGTGAAACTAACCATTGGTGGTAAAAATCAAAACAGTTATCACTGGAGGGAGTTTAATGACTGTGAAGGGGCACAAAGCAACTTCTGGGGTGCTGATCTGGGAGGCAGGTACAAGAATGTATATATGTATCAAAATTTATCAAGCTGTACACTTAAGTGCACATTACAAACTTGTTTATACGTTACACATCAATAAAAAAATTATTAAAATGTATTTTTAAAAAAAGGCACTGAGTACTGAATGAGGGTCAAAAGGGCACATTTTGTAGTAGTAAAAGGATGTTCTGCTTAATATTAGGTTTTTAATGGCAAAAACTGCAATTACTTTTACACCAATTTATATTTGGCAGCATTTTTTCTACTGTAAATTGAAGGTTATGATCCAATGATTCCCTAGTCTGCTATTTATTCTATTCTTTTTTTTTTTTTTTTTTGACAGGATCTTGCTCTGTCGCCCAGGCTGGAGTGCAGTGGCATGATCACCACTCACCACAGCCTCAACCTCCCAGGCTCAGGTGATCCTCCCACTTCTGCCTCCTGAGTAGCTGGGACTACAGGTGTATGTCACCATGCTGAGCTAATTTTTTTTTTTTTTGTACTTTTTGCAGAGACGGGGTTTTACCATGTCGCCCAGGCTGGTCTCGAACTGCCCACTCAAGCAATCCTCCTTCCTCAGCCTCCCAAAGTGCTAGGATTACAGGCATCAGCCACCACACCCAGCCTAGCCTAATCTTTAAATATGTTGTGACAATGATTGTCTGAGACACAATGAATTAAGACTTTCTCAAATTACATGATACAAATGAACTATGAATAAAGGGAACTTCCTCAATCTGATAAAGGTTATCTATGAAAAATCTGCTGCTAACATCATACTTAATGATGAAAGACTAACTTCTTTCTTCTTAAAAACAGGAACAAAATAAAGATGTCTACTCTCCCTATTTCTATTCCACATTGTGCTGGAGAGTCTAGCTAGGATAATTAGGCAAGGAAAATAAAGGCATCTAGGTTGGAAAGGAAAAACTAAAACTGTATCTGCAGATGACATGATATTGCACATAGAAAACCCTAAGGAATTCAATAAAACCCATTAGAGCTAATACATGAGTTCAGCAAGGTTGTAAGTTACAAAATCAACATTTACAACTCAAGTGTATTTCTAATACATTATCAGTGAACATCCAAAAGTGAAATTAAAAAAACTCCAGTATCAAAATAATAAAATCCTTAGGTATGTACTTAATAAAAGAAGTACAAAATTTGTACACTGAAACTACAAAACTATCATTGAAAGAAATTCAAGAAAACCTAAGTAAATAGAAATCCATCTTGTGTTCATGGATTGGAAGCCAGGATGGTTAATATGGCAATGCTCTCCAAATTGATCTAGATATCCAACGTATTCCCTGTCAAAGTCCTAGCTGCCATTTTTCTACAGAAATTGATAAGCTGATCCTAATATTTACGTGGAAATGCAAGCATCCACAATAACCAAAACAATCTTGAAAAACAAGAACGAAGTTGGAGGGCTCACATTTCCTGATTTTACAACTTACTACAAAGCTACAGTAATAGAGAAAGCATGGTGCTTGCATTAAGAATAGACATACAAAACAATGGAACGGAATTGAGAGTCCAGAAATAAACTCCTACATTTGTGGTCAACTGATTTCCAAAAAGAGTACCAAGACCACTCAATCAGGGAAAGAATAGTCTTTTCAAGAATAGTCTTTTCAACAAATGGTGCTAGGACAACCACATATCCACGTTAAAGAATAAAGTTGGAACCCCTACCTTACACCACATCCAAAAATGAATTCAAAATGGGTCAAAAACCTAAACATATAAAAGTTAAAACTATAAAACTCTTGGAAGAAAACATAAAAACCATAGAACACCTCAGGCTAGACAAAGCTTCTAAGACAAGAGCCAAAGGCACAAATGACAAAAGAAATAAATAGGTAAGTTGTACTTCATCCAAATTAAAAACTTTCGTGCTGCAAGTGATACCATCGAGAGAGTGAAAAGACAACCTACAGGATGGGAAAAAGCATTTGCAAATCATATCTGATAAAGAACTTACATAGAGAAAAAATATATCACATATATATGTATATATCACTCTTAAAATCAATAATAAAATGATAAATAACCCAATTATAAGTGGGCAAAGTTTGGAGATAGCTGGCAAACACCACTTTCACCAGATGATCCACGTTAACATCACCAATGATGACACAGAAATATTGTGTCCCTTGTTATGAGGCACTGAGAAGGACACAACATCATTTCTGTGATATTCCTGCCAAATACATAACATCAGTGTACTCATGAGGAAACGATAAACAAATCCAAGTCAAAGGACTACCCAAAATAAACTGTCTGTACTCTTGGAAAGTATTAAGTCAAAAAAGACAAAGACTGATGATGAACTCTTTCAGGTGAAAGGAGACTATGCAGACGTGACAACTCAATGCAACATGTGATCCTGGATTGGAACGTGGACCAGAGGAAAAACCTTTTGTTTTGCTATAAAAGACATCATTGGGACACTAAGTAAAATTTGGATAAATGTTGTAGATTATAGTACTATATCTATCTTAATTTCCTCATTAGATAACTGTACTGTAATTACACAAGTCAGTATCCTTGTTTTTACGAAATACACTCAAGTATTTACAGGTAATGGAGCATTGTCTACAACTTACTTTTAAACAGTTCAGAAAAAATAACCATATGCATAGAGCGAGAATGTAAAACCAATGTGGTAAGGGGTAAACCCTGAGAAATTCTGTGTGAAACGTATATGGAAATTCTTTGTATTGTATTTTGAAACTTTCCTATGGCTGTAAATATTTTCAAAAATAAAAAGTTTAATTTTTTTAATTGGACTAAGAATTTGAATAGACATTTCTCCAGAGGTATATAAATGGCCAATAAGCACATGAAATGATGCTCAGTATCATTAGTCGTCAGGAAAATGCGAATCAAAACCACAATGAGATCCCACCTCACATCCACTAGGATTACAATACTCAAAAGACAGATAATAACTAGTGTTGGCAAGGACGTGGAGAAATTGGAAGCCACATACATTGCTAATGGGAATATAAAATGGGAAAATGGTCTGGCAGTTCCTCAAAAGGTTAAACGTAGAGTTACCATAAGACCCAGCAATTTGACTCCAAGAGAAATAAAAACATGTCCTCACAAATACTTGCACGTGAATGTTCAGGGAAGTACAATTCATAATTGTCAAAAAGTGCAAACAATCCAAATGCCTATTGGCTGAAAAACAGATAAACTGTGGTATAGCCATACAAAAGAATATCATTCAGCCACAAAAAGAAATGAAGTACTGATACGTGTTACACATGGATAAACCTTAAAAAAATTACGCTAAGTGAAAGAAGCCAGTCACAAGAGACCACATACTGTATGATTCCACTTATATGAAATGGCCAGAATAGGCAGAGCCATAGAGACACAAAGATTAATGGTTACCTAGGGCTGGGGCCAAGATGGGGCGAGGTTGAGGGAATGAGGAATGACTCTATGGATAGTGTGTTTCTTGTGGGGGTGACGAAAATATTCTAAAACTAGATTATGGTGTTGGTTGGAAAACTATGACTATACTAAAAAATGCTGAATGTTATGTTATTTATTTTTTTGAAGTGGAGTTTCGCTCTTGTTCCCCAGGCTGGGGTGCAATGGCACAATCTCAGCTCACTGCAACCTCCACTTCCCGGGTTCAAGTGATTCTCCTGCCTCAGCCTCTCAAGTAGCTGGGATTACAGGCATGCGCCACCACACCCGGCTAATTTTGTATTTTTAGTAGAGGCAGGGTTTCTCCATGTTGGTCAGGCTGGTCTCAAACTCCTAACCTCAGGTGATCCACCCTCCTCAGCCTCCCAAAGTGCTGAGATTACAGGCGTGAGCTACTGCACCTGGCCAAGTTGTGTATTTTAAATGGCTGAATTACCTGCTATGTGAATTACAGAAATTTTAGAGCTTTTTTGAGATGTAAGTTAACATTTCAAGAAAGACAGTAATAGCAAGTAAATATCTTTCAGAACAAAGGCCCTTTAAAAATGATTCGCCATAATTACATTGCAAATACCTGAATTGGCTGTAACTCACCTACTGCACTGCTCTTCGGTGGAAAAGTAGATTTGAAAGTCATCAGAATTATCATGGACATAAAGAAAACAACACCTTTCATCAAACTTTGATAGGCTGTAAAATTTCAAAGCATAATGTTTATACATAAGTTATGATACCCACTCTAAATCTGCAAGACAATCTTTTCTTCTATTTTATCAATTCCTGAAAGATTCATTAATGTTTTAAACAAACACCCCCCGAGTCTGCCTTTTATTTCTCTATGAAATTTAAATACCAGAGACATTTATCTTGCTTATATTTGAGTTTGTATTTATCAACTGACCTTAATATGAACTTACTCTTAATATAATTCAGTGCTAAGCAAAGCATACGGGCAACAGAAAGGGGAATAAAATATGGTTCTCTGTCCTCAAGGGGCTTATAATCTCATGAAAAAGAAAGGCAAGGTATTTGTGAAATAATTTATTGTGGTATTAAGGGAATTTCTAGATTCGGAAAGTATCAGGACACAGTATTTGTGGCCACACAAGGGAAATGGAAATAAACATGGCACTGTAGCTCAAGAAAGGCCTTTAAATGTTTGTTATCTGGTCCATCTCCACCCAGGGTCTGTACCTGATTCTACAGCTCATCCAACAAGCAATATTCAGCTTGCCTGGACATAGCCAGTGACAGGAAATCTGCTAGTAGATTGTATGTCAGAGAGCAGTGGCCCTCATGCCAGGAGGTATTATGGAGAGGAAGGCTAGATTCTCTTCTATCATTGTCCCTTCAAACAACTGAAGCCACTTTATCTCATCCTTTCTAAGTTATCTCTTGCTGAGATCCAAACTGTCCTAGACCATTCTTTATGTTATAGATTGCATGACAAACACTGGGTTGGAACACCAAGAGTACAGAGGAGATTCAAAAAGAATTAGAACTAGATTATAAGTGAGCAGGTTTTGAAAATCAATCTGTAAAGCAACCACCACAGTTAGTTGGAGAGCCTCTGGAACGCTCAAAGTATACTCTTCAGGTCACATGGGTCCCGGGGAGGGGTGGGGCGAGGATGATACGCCCTCAGGCCCTTTGTAAATCCCCACTGATGGCTGAAATGGCACCTAGAGGTATCTCTATGAGGAGGCACAAACAGAAGGATCTTGACTACCTGCTCTAACACAACTTAATTACTAAGTAACACATTTTTGAAAATCTTCACAAGGCACAGTGGCTCATGCCTGTAATCCTAGCATTTTGGGAGGCTGACGCGGGCGGATCACTTGAGGTCAGGAGTTCGAGACCAGCCTGACCAACATGGCAAAACCCTGACTCTACAAAAAATACAAAAATCAGCCAGGCATTGTGCCACACACCTGTAGTCCCAGCTACTCTGGAGGCTGAGGCAGGAGAATCGCTTGAACCTGGGAGGCAGAGGTTGCAGTGAGCCGAGATCGTGCCACTGTACTCCAGCCTGGGTGACAGAGCAAGACAAAAAAATAAAATAAAATAAAATAATTTAAAAAATAAAAATACATATTTTACTAGCAGATTTTCTGTCACTAGCTATGCTCAGGCAAGCTGAATATTGCTTGCTGGATGAGCTGTAGAGTCAGGTACACACACTGGGTGGAGATGGACCAGATAACATTTAAAGAAAGGCCTTTCTTGAGCTACAGTGCCGTGTTTATTTCCATTTCCCTCGTGTGGCCACAAATACTGTGTCCTGATATTTTCCGAGTCTAGAAATTCTTGTAATACCACAATAAATTATTTCTCAAATACCTTACCTTTCCTTTTCATGAGACTATAAACTCCTTGAGGACAGAGACCATATTTTATTCCCTTTTCTGCTGCTTTGTGTATGCTTTGCTGAGTGTATTTCAAATTGCCTTGTATTTCCTGGGCAGTATCATCCCAATGCACTACTTTGTACTTAAATTATTTCCCTCCTTTTAAGTGATGTTGATGGTATCCTAATTTCAATACTGATGTTTCCAGGACAGGATCACACTATGTCTAGAAGTAACTGGGGATTCATTCAGTGGCTGAGGTAGCCTCAGAGTCAGAGAAAGGAATGTTCTAGTACAAGCCCTTTATTTGAAGAAAATAGGGAAGAAACTGAGACTTAGAGAAGCTGAGTGACTTTCCTAACATCACCCAGCAAAGAGAGATTAGAACTCACATCTACTTCACAGCCAGTCTCACCCTCGAATGAGCTGCCAGGGTGACAAGTGCAGCTGAGATGTTTAGCCCTGCTTGGGTAAGGCCACACAGCTCAGGCTCAAACTGTCATCACTCCTGAACCAAAATGCAAGAGCTACTCCTCTCCCGAGAATACACCACCTCATGCCCTCCCTGAAAAAAATCTCCCAGCTCCATTACTCTGTTCACAAGACCCCAACCCGAGTGTTGCCACTAATCATCTCCTGGCTTCAGTTCTCAGAGTCACTGAGCACTTGAACATCTTTGGCTCAAAAAAGATACATCTTCTCTTCCTACCGATCACTTCTTTAAAAAAAATGGCACAAGTGAGTTTAGTCTGCTGAATATGAGCAAAGCTACTCTATTATAATAACCCAAGAAGTTCTCACTAGGAGTACACTAGTATTAATAACTAGCTCAGGAAGGACAACATAATAGAGAGTCCACTTTGGATTCCATTAAAAATAAGAACATTCCATATTATGAGTAAGTGGAAACATTAAAGTGCATAAAACATTATCATCATTTGCATTAAAATAGTAACTCCATTTTCTCCTATGTTCTTACCTTATTCCCTTTATGGAAGAGGCTGTAAAATTCCATTCGTGCATCTGTTTCTGCAAGTTATCAAAGACAGAAGTCAATAGTTTGAGTTTTTTAAAGCAAATGATTTTTTTTGTTTCATTCTATGGTCAATCATTTCTGCTATTTTACCTGCAGTGGTGATTTTTTTACGGGTTACAGCAATACACCTTGTATAACATGGAACACCAGAAACATTTTCTTATGTATTATAAAAATTCATTTGTATCTCTAATCCAGTTTAAATGATGTAAATTTGAAATAATCTAAGTTTCAG